>NC_000002.12:2737272-3040303 GCF_000001405.40 Homo sapiens | reverse complement strand
CTCACGCCTACCTGGTCTCTCTGGTTCTCTTGTTTATTTGTTTTCCTTGGTTCCTCCTGCCCAGTCTTCCTGGTTCTCCCTCCTCCCTGGCCTCCCTGTTCTCCCTCCACCCTGGCCTCCCTGGTCCTCCCTTCCTACCTGAATTTCCTATTCTCCCTCCTACCTGAACCCTGATTCTACCTACGTCCCCAACAGTGTGTTCTCCACTGAGCAGCCAGATAGGTCCTGTGAGAACTCTAGTAGGATGGTGTCATTGTCCTGCTCACATTCCTCCAGTGACTTCCTGCCTCGTGGAGGGCACAGCCCTCTGCTTGTATTCACCCCATCGACCTGCTGCATTCCGCCATTGTGTCCCCTCTCTCCTCCAGCTCCTTCGGTCTCATCCACACTGGCACTGTGCTGCTCCTTGGAGGCTCCAACCTCGTCTCTGCCTTCAGCTCTGCCCTTGCCCATCCTAATGGCTGGACACGGTTGTTCCTGGCGACTGCAGTGCCCAGCCCTTCCTTCTGGCCTCATTTGCTGACCACCTGCATTATTTAGGGTAGGATTAACCGTCAGAGACCCAAAATAATAGCGCCTGAACAAAATAGAAATGAATACATTTCAGTCCGACTATGCAGTTTGGGTTGACATGGCAACTCCAGCATCGTTTGGGACCCAGGTCTCTCAACTGTGACCCCAAATGACACAGGCTGACACCTGTGGTCCACCTGGCCACTCCAGCTCCCACCTTCAGGCTGAAGCCCAGCCCACGGGAAGAAGAGAGAAAACAGGGGGGCACCTTTCTCCCTGAAAGGGCCTGGCCTGGAATATGCACCCACATTTCCCCAGGGCCCATTGGCCAGAATTTGACACAAGCACCCGTAGCTGTGAGGGGGTCAGGAAACGAAGTGTCCAGTTGCAAGGCAATGTGCCACATTACAAAAGAAACACAGGCCCCTCTGTTCCTGGTCTGATGCCCTGGTCCACCGTCTCTGCCCTGGGAGGTCTTTCTTCACCCACTGTCTTTCACGATCTCATGTGAAGTGGGCATCAGGCCACCTGGTCTCCTGGGGGCTGTGAAGCTCTGAGAGCTGTTTTCTCTTAAGGGGGTTTTGGGGGGCACAGTTTGATTTAGGAGTAGAATCCTTAAGTTTTGTAGTACAGACTTTTATTTTTTGACGGAATAATTTCCACAAAGACTGTTGGCCGTGACTTCAAAATATATCTAGAATGCAAATACAGCCACTGTCAACATGTCTGTCCCTGTGGGCCTCACCTGGATGGGCTCAGCATCCTCTGTTTGTCATGTGCACTTGTGCCTCTCAGCAGCCAGAGGAGCCCATTGGAATGACACTTGGAGTGAAAGCCCACGTTCTCACACGGGCTGGGAGACCCTAAACCCTCTGTGCCCTGGTCACCCCAGGGGGTCCTCTCCTGACTGACACCCCACCAAATGCAGTGGACTCCCGGCTGTTGCCCGAACTCGGCCGTCTCTCACACCTGAGGCTGGCCCTGGTCCTGCCTCTACCTCGGGAAGCACGTCCTCCTCACCCCATGCTATGCCACAGCCTCTTCCAAGTCGTGGTTCATACCACAACCCCATTGCCACCTCCACGGGCCTGTCCGCAATGCTCCTTGCAAATTCCAACCCTCAAACCTCCTACATGACGAATCCCCCTATCCTACTCAATGATACACAGGACTTACAGAACTGACCACTTCTTAAATTTGCTATTTAATTCACTTGCTGGGTACCTAGAACATGAGTTCAAGAAGGCAGAGACGGGATTTTGCTACTTGTTCTACCCGCTACACCTACCATAAAGCCAGGCGCACAGTAGGGACTCAACAAATATCTGCCCAGTAGTTGAACAGTGGGTGATATTATTAACATGCACATTCTAGAATCAAATCAATTTAAAGGAGGTGGTATTTTGTTGTTGTTTTGCTAATAGCTAGCATGTAACTGGCACCAACTAGACTCCACGAGGTTAACCAGGCGGATTGAAAAGCCTTGATTTGGTCATCTCATGCCTCATAGCATTTTCTATTACATTTAAACATAATATCCTTCCTTTGATAAGTAAGTATCCTTAGTCAGCTGCTTTTGTGAGTATTGATCCAGATAATTTATACATTTCAATTTAATGCAACCATCTTTGATTGAATCTTTAATTTGTGCAGGCACTGCTGAAGGTGGTGGGGGAGGGTGAGGGGACACATTCATGGATCCTGACCCCCACGGAGCATCCATCGTGAGGAAAAGACTGATGTGCAAACACAAAACCATAGCACACTGGGTGAGGTCACGGAAACGCACATGGAAACAGGGCAGTGGAATGCGGAAGAGGGAGAAGTCAGCATGTTTCGACACGGAGCTTTCCAGGAGGTGTGGCGTGAAGATACCGCTGCGCCCAGCTCACAGGCTCTTGACATCACTTCTGATTTCAGCCTTTCTCGGGCACCGACTCCCTTCCTCTGAGGCCGCCTCACCCCGAGAGCACCAGCGGTCCTGACTGTCTTACCCACAGGCCGTGTTAACTCTCTTGCTCTCTGTCATAAAGCAATCAACAGGGTGCAGTGGCCTGGACCTGCTGCTGCAGTCTCTTGGGTCCCCCTAAGTTGACAACACCAGGCTAACTGGACCTGGAGAACAACAGGCAGGTGTTCTGGGGGTCCTGGTGAGACCACGCATGCCAGAGGAGCCCAGGCCGACCCTGCAAAGACTCAGACTCCCCCCATGTCAGAGCGAGGTTTCACATGCGAGGGTCCGGGACATGCTGGGACAGTCCTTTCAAGGTAAAAGACAAATTATTGTACCTTGTACCTCTTACCACTCAGAAGCACAGAACTGTCCCTGGAAATAATGATTTGACTCATCTGTGCGGAGGGCTGAAGGCTGAGGAGGCTCTGCTGCAGGGCGAGGCCACTGTGTCAGCTGTACTGACACTCAGGCCGGGACCCCGTGGACGCACCGGGGATGGGTGTAGCCTGGCAGAGAGGTTTGCTCTGGAGTGGGTCCTGTAGCAAGCCCAGGAGGGAGTCATGGCCTAGACCCCCTGGTTTTCAAAGCAGAGTTACACCTTCTGCGCCAGAGAACCATTCGCCATGGAAAAGAAGCCCCTAGCAGGCTACTGGGCTCTGGTAGATACTGAGGGCTCCCCATGGGCCAGAGAACCATTTGCCATGGAATAGATGCTCCTAGCAGGCTACTGGGCTCTGGTAGATAGTGAGGGCTCCCCATAGAATATGGGTGGCCATGGCTGGCTCTTGCCTTTGTGAGCTGGATTTTCTCAGACACAACAAGTCTAAGGGGCTAGGGGCAGCCACGATTTACCACATAGTGAATAATCTACCTTTGGGGTTGGGCCTGCGCAGGGCCATGGAGCAGAAGTGAGTTGATGGATCAGGGGGGTCAGGTCCCCGGGCTGGCGCCCGACACCTTCTCTACCAACTCACAATAGTGGTTCCATCCCAGTTCCCCATAGCCAGTGACAGGAACAGGCCCTGTTTGCAGCCGGTCACCCCAGGGATGGGGCTTGAAGCAGCACATTGGGCCTTTGCTGTGTGAAGCGAGAAGGGGCCTTCGGGAAAGGTATGCAGGATCTTGGGCAGTGATGAATGGTCCAGCTGTTTGGTCAGAGCCTGGCAGGAAGGTCAGGAAATGGAGGTGGTCTGGGAAAGGCCGCGGGGGTGCACAGCGTGCAGGTCTGTAAGTCTCACGGGACACGCACCACCCACCAGAAAGCACATTTGCTAAAGAGGCTTCGGGACTAGGGCGATGGGCCGGCCTCTGTCCGGGGCTGCCCAGTGGGCTGCCCCAAGGTGGAGGAACCAAAATGGCAGGGGTTGAGGCTGTGCCTGGCCCAACACCACGGGTCCTTCTCACCACGGCTGATCTACCCACGACTGCTGCATGCCTGGCCTGCTCATTGCAGGGATCCACAGGAGTCCTGGAGGAGGAGGCGGCGTCATCTCAACAGCACCGCGTGGGTAGAACCCTTTCCAGATTTGGGGAGGGGGAAATCAATGACTGGTTTTCACTCGAGTGTTCACATGCTCTGGATACGATATTGCCTTTTATGCTCACAGTGCCTCTGTCGGCTCACGAAGCTGAAGGGTAACAGAATGCCTGATTAACCAAAAGGTGATCTTGTTGAATGTGGGTCGGACCTAGGTGCCAATTTTGTGGTGAAGGAGGTGCAGCTGTGGGTATGTGGCCGGCATGTGGGCTTACCATACAGCCTACCACCTGGAACCACCTGGAACCAGAGAGCCTGCTTAGATGACAGAATGGGTTTTAAGGCTCAGCTAAGCGGCCACTCAGCTCTGCTTGGCGAACCCTGCTAAGCCTGTGTGAGGTACAGGTGTGGCCTGACAGGGCCTGTGATGCTTTTCAGGTGGATCGTGATTAGAAGTGCAGGGTGCAGGGAGCAGGCATGAAACCGGTGAGGGAGGGGATGAGGCGAGGGCTACTGGGGCTGGGACGTCACATGCAAAGGGCATCAGGGAGGTGACATGGGGCCTTTTGTGACAGGCTTCCTGTCTGTAGGCAGCGCTGGGCCTGCAGCGGCATGCAGGAAGGTGCAGAGGTGACTTCTGGCTTCTGCCCCCAGGCGCGGCCTCCTGACCACCTTTCACGTTCTGCTGGGAGACCTCCAACACTGTGCACCAAACACCTCACACCCTGGGACGGAGAGATGAGGCTTTATCCTTCAGGTCAGCGGCTGGTGGACAGTGACCCACCGGCCAGCGCAGCCCAGCCCAGCTTTCACAGCATTCTTGGGGAGCACAGTGAGGCTGCTGCATGCTGCTCTCATGCTGCCATGGCAGAGCTGAGTCACCGCGACGGAGACTGCAGGGTGGCAAAGCCGAAATACATCCTCTCTGGCCCTTACAGCCAGGGCTCTCGGACCCCTGCGCTGGGCAACAGGGGCCCAGTGAAAGACTTTCGGTAGGGAAGTGATAAGGTCAGGTGTATCTTTAGAAGGCCTCTGTGCCAGCATGTGTAGGAAGAAGGGGTGGCCTGGCCATGTGGGCATTGTCGGGCTGCATGCAGTAGCCCCAACAAAGGCAGTAAGGACAGGCGAAGACAGCGGCAGGGGCTGGGAGAAGACGCTGAGGACAGGAGCTGAGCAGAAGTGCTGGGAGGCGAGGTGAGGACACAGGTGCAGCCCCACACAGCGCAGGGCAGGGGTTGGGAGGAGACACTGAGGACAGGAGCTGAGCAGAGGTGCTGGGAGGCGAGGCGAGGACACAGGTGCGGCCCCACACAGTGCAGGGCAGGGGCTGGGAAGAGACACTGAGGACAGGAGCTGAGCAGAGGTGCTGGGAGGCGAGGCGAGGACCCAGGTGCAGCCCCACACAGCACAGGGCAGGGGCTGCCTAGCGGCTTCTAGTGCAGCGAGGGTTTCCCTTTGTGCTCTGACTTAAGCGACCCTGGTGCTTCCTCATTAGGGGCCTGTGGTCATTGCAGAACTTAAATCTTCATGGGCTGTTTTTGGCACAGCAATAAACGGGCTTGCCCTCTCTGTTACTTTTTCACATAGTGTCAGTAATGTGGCAAAGCACACGGCTTATGTTGGGGAGAACACAGTTTTAAGGCCCGATTATAGATTTAACACCCAATTTGAGAGTACTTTGAATGCCATGCGTGTTGGATTGCACACAGCTCAATGACATTAGGAATGGGGTTTGAGTCAGCAGGCTGGTGGGAGGCACCTGTGCTTGTCACCACGGGCAGGGATGGACACTGTGTTTCACGTCCCTGATTGCCAACGTGGACTGAGAAGTCACAGAAGGCTGGGCCAGGCGGGGCACAGAGACCTGGGAGATGCTTCTGAAATGCATTCCTGACAGCAGGTGTCCTCTGTTTATCTTTTAGTCATATACACCCCTCTTGTAAATGAGGACTCCAGGAGGAAAACAGAAAACATGTGGAAATTTCACTCAGGACTTTAGTTTGTTTCTCTCCATGATACTTGAAAGAGCAGTAGGTGTAACTTCAGTTTGATTTTGTCTCAACCTTTAAACTTGTACTTCTGCTTTGTCCTTTTTCTTTCTCATTTGTGTATGTTCTCAGCTTTTCTTATTTATAAATTATTTGATACTGTTCAACATTTAATATCATGTTAAAAAGTATCTTTGATTGCCAACTACTCTATCTCCCCTTGACCAAACTCTAATCAATTTTTAACTTCTTATTCTGTGCAAGAAGTTTCACAAGGGCAATTACAGCTGGACTTTCTACATTTAAAACAAAGAAAACTCTTGATGAATATTTCGGAATTCCTTGGCTAACTCGCAATACTCTCAAAGAAATTGCCCCATAAATTATACTAAACCATTTGAGCTTTAAAGTAAAAAAAAAAGTAAAATATACATCCTTCTCTATGGCAGCATAATTATTTGATGTGACTACTTTACATTTGATGAGGCATTAACTATTTTTCTATTAGAAGAAAATATTATCTAACCTTTTTTTGTGTGTATGGAAACTTTCTGGGACTCCAATTCTGCAGTTCTTGGGATGAGGTTACACTGTTCAACAGCTTTTGCCGTATGAGTCTCACCACACTCTTCCAGCTCTTCCACGTTCGCCTGCCTCTGCTGTGAGCTGTTCTGCCTAAGTCCAGACTCTAAATGTCGGTGTGTCTGGGACACAATCCTTCACCCTCTTTTCTATGGCACCTTCTCCTAGACGGTGTCCTGTGATCCTGTGACTGCATGTGGATGTGTGCAGATAACTCTCCAGTGTGCTTCCCCACCTCCGACCTCTCCCCTGGGTTAGGGCGTCCTCTACGGAGCACTGATCTTGTGGCTCTCTGCCTGATGTCTAGTCAGCATCTGAAAACCTCATGCCTGAACTGCTCCTCTCCAGCCCTCCATGTCTTGGCTGTTGGCGTTGTTATCCACCAAGGAGCGAGGTCAGAGGCAGGAATCATCCTTGAGTCCCTGCTCTCTTTCATCTCCATGTGAAGTTAATCCTGGTGCTCCACCTCCGACACATCCCAAACCTGACCCCTCTCCTCCGGGTGCTGCTGCCATGGCCGCTCACCTCTGTCAGCCCTGGCCTGCCCATCAGATGGCTCTCGAACGGGTTTATATTCTGTTGATTTGGGGTGGAGAGTTCTGTAGGTGTCTGTTAGGTCTGCTTGGTGCAGAGCTGAGTGCAATTCCTGGATATCCTTGTTAACTTTCTGTCTCGTTGATCTATCTAATGTTGACAGTGGGGTGTTAAAGTCTCCCATTATTATTGTGTGGGAGTCTAAGTCTTTTTGTAGGTCACTAAGGACTTGCTTTATGAATCTGGGTGCTCCTGTATTGGGTGCATATATATTTAGGATAGTTAGTTCTTCTTGTTGAATTGATCCCTTTATCATTATGTAATGGCCTTCTTTGTCTCTTTTGATCTTTGTTGGTTTGAAATCTGTTTTATCCAAGACTAGGATTGCAACCCCTGCCTTCTTTTTTTTTCCATTTGCTTGGTAGATCTTCCTCCATCCCTTTATTGTGAGCCTGTGTGTGTCTCTGCACGTGAGATGGGTTTCCTGAATACAGCATACTGGTGGGTCTTGACTCTTTATCCAATTTGCCAGTCTGTGCCTTTTAATTGGAGCATTTAGCCCATTTACATTTAAGGTTAGTATTGTTATGGGTGAATTTGATCCTGTCATGATGATGTTAGCTGGTTATTTTGCTCGTTAGTTGATGCAGTTTCTTCCTAGCCTTGATGGCCTTTACAATTTGGCATGTTTTTACAGTGGCTGGTACCAGTTGTTCCTTTCCATGTTTAGTGCTTCCTTCAGGAGCTCTTTTAGGGCAGGTCTGGTGGCGGCAAAATCTCTCAGCATTTGCTTGTCTGTAAAGGATTTTATTTCTCCTTCACTTATGAAGCTTAGTTTGGCTGGATATGCAATTCTGGGTTGAAAATTATTTTCTTTAAGAATGTTGAATATTGTCCCCCACTCTCTTCTGGCTTGTAGAGTTTCTGCTGAGAGATCAGCTGTTAGTCTGATGGGCTTCCCTTTGTGGGTAACCTGACCTTTCTCTCTGGCTGCCCTTAACATTTTTTCCTTCATTTCAACTTTGATGAATCTGACAATTATGTGTCTTGGAGTTGCTCTTCTCGAGGAGTATCTTTGTGGCGTTCTCTGTATTTCCTGAATCTGAATGTTGGCTTGCCTTGCTAGATTGGGGAAGTTCTCCTGGATAATATCCTGCAGAGTGTTTTCCAACTTGGTTCCATTCTCCCCATCACTTTCAGGTACACTAATGAGATGTAGATTTGGTCTTTTCACATAGTTCCATATTTCTTGGAGGCTTTGTTCATTTCTTTTTTCTCTAAACTTCTCTTCACGCTTCATTTCATTCATTTCATCTTCCATCGCTGATACCCTTTCTTCCAGTTGATCGCATCGGTTACTGAGGCTTGTGCATTCATCACGTAGTTCTTGTGCCATGGTTTTCAGCTCCATCAGGTCCTTTAAGGACTTCTCTGCATTGGTTATTCTAGTTATCCATTCATCTAATTTTTTTTCAAAGTTTTTAACTTCTTTGCTATTGGTTCGAACTTCCTCCTTTAGCTTGGAGTAGTTTGATCTTCTGAAGCCTTCCTCTCTCAACTCGTCAAAGTCATTCTCCATCCAGCTTTGTTCCATTGCTGGTGAGGAGCTGCGTTCCTTTGGAAGAGGAGAGGTGCTCTGATTTTTAGAGTTTCCAGTTTTTCTGCTCTGTTTTTTCCCCATCTTTGTGGTTTTATCTACCTTTGGTCTTTGATGATGGTGACGTACAGATGAGTTTTTGGTGTGGATGTCCTTTCTGTTTGTTAGTTTTCCTTCTAACAGTCAGGACTCTCAGCTGCAGGTCCGTTGGAGTTTACTGGAGGTCCACTCCAGACCCTGTTTGCCTGGGTATCAGCAGTGGTGGCTGCAGAACAGTGGATATTGGTGAACCACAAATGCTGCTGTCTGATTGTTCCTCTGGAAGTTTTATCTCAGAGGAGTACCTGGCCGTGTAAGGTGTCAGTCTGCCCCTACTGGGGGGTGCCTCCCAGTTAGGCTACTCGGGGGTCAGGCACCCACTTGAGGAGGCAGTCTGTCTGTTCTCAGATCTCAAGCTGTGTGCTGGGAGAACCACTACTCTCTTCAAAGCTGTCAGACAGGGACATTTAAGTCTGCAGAAGTTATTGCTGCCTTTTGTGTGTCTGTGCCCTGCCCCCAGAGGTGGAGCCTACAGGGGCAGGCAGGCCTCCTTGAGCTGTGGTGGGCTCCACCCAGTTCAACCTTCCCAGCTGCTTTGTTTACCTACTCAAGCCTGAGCAATGGCGGGCGCCCCTCCCCCAGCCTCGCTGCCACCTTGCCGTTTGATCTCAGACTGCTGTGCTAGCAATGAGCGAGGCTCTGTGAGTGTAGGACCCTCCGAGCCAGGTGGGGGATATAATCTCCTGGTGTGCCATTTGTTAAGCCCGTTGGAAAAGCACAGTATTAGGGTGGGCGTGACCCGATTTTCCAGGTGCCATCTGTCACCCCTTTCTTTGACTAGGAAAGGGAATTCCCTGACCCCTTCCTTGCACTTCCCGGGTGAGGCGATGCCTCGCCCTGCTTCGGCTCACGCACAGTGTGCTGCCCCCACTGTCCTGCACGCACTGTCTGGCACTCCCCAGTGAGATGAACCCGGTACCTCAGTTGGAAATGCAGAAATCACCCATCTTCTGCGTCATTCACGCTGGGAGCTGTAGACTGGAGCTGTTGCTATTCGGCTGTCTTGGCTCCACCCTCCTCCTTTAGCCATTCTTTTAGGGTAGTTCTGCTGGTGACAAATTCTTTTAGTTTTTTTTTTTCTTTTTTCTAATTTGAGACTGTCTTGATTTTCCTTCATTCCTGAAGGATATTTTTGTTGTACATAAGATTCCACGTTGACAGTTCTTTTCTTTCAGCACTTAAAACTGTGCCACTGTTTTCCAGCCTTTAGTTTCTGATGAGAAATCTGCTATCATTCAACTTGTTTTTACGATATAAGTGTAATTTATCTCTCACTGCTTTCAAGAATTCTTTTCCTTGTCTTTAGTTTTCAAAACTTTGCCTCTGATGTGTCTTGGCATGGATTTAGTTGAGTTTATCTGGCTTGAGACTTGCTCATCTTCTTCAGTCTGTAGTTTATGTCTTTTGCCAAATACGAGGTTTCACTCATTATTTCTTTGAGTACCATTTCAACCCTGCCTCTTTCTTCTCCCTCTGGGATTCCAATGACATAATTGCTAGATGTTTAGTTATAGTCTCACAGGTCTTTGAGGCACTGTTTTTTTTTTTTTTGTTTGTTTGTTTGCATTTTTTTCATTGTGGTTCAGTTGTTTAATTTCTATTATTATGTTTTTAAGTTCAACAATTCTTTCTTTTGTTCCCTTTATTCTACTTTGGAGACCATCCATTGAGTTTAAAATTTCGGTTATTGCACTTTTCGGTTTTAAATTTCTATGTAGTTCTTTATATCTTCTCTCCCTGTGTTGAGACTTTCTATTTTTTCATTTGTTTCTAGTGTTTTTATAATTGCTTGTTAATATATT
Organism: Homo sapiens; assembly: GCF_000001405.40. Taxonomy (NCBI): domain Eukaryota; kingdom Metazoa; phylum Chordata; class Mammalia; order Primates; family Hominidae; genus Homo; species Homo sapiens. Next base: position 3,029,757 of record NC_000002.12, on the reverse strand, counting down.
TTTATCATGGGTGCTTACAATTTTTGCTAGGTAATTCCAATAGGTATATCATTTTGTTTTTTGTCTGTTCATTGTCTTTTCTCATTCAATTGAGGTATTACTGGTATTTAGTATGACAAGTGATTTTTATTGGAACCTGAACAACCTCGGTATTACAGTATAATGCTGAATCTTATTTAAACATTTTGTTTCATATTCTTTGGTGTGGAAAGAGGGTGTCGCTTCATACTGCCAAGTAGGGGTATAAGGGCGTGTTCCCCACTTGGCTTCCATTGACACCAAGGTGAGGGAACTCCCCAGTACTGCTGGGCAGAGGTGGGAGTGTTGATTTCCCAGTAGGCCCTCTTTGAAACCTCCCTGTCTGGAAGTGGTAGGACTTCCTGGTTATTGTTCTCCACCTGGCCTGGCACCATGGTGGTAGGATAAGTTTGTTATTACTGGGTGTTAGTGAATGTCCTGACTCTCCACTAGACTTCCTCTGATACCACCCTGCTGGGGGCTTGGTGCACCTTATTAAACAGCCTGGTGCGGGTGGAAGTCTGTCCTTCATGCTTGGGCTTTGCTGGCTTGTGGAGAATAGGGGAGCCACATTAGTTTTTCTGTGGTGTTTGTCTGTAATAGAGTGGTTATTTTTCAAGAGTTTCATGTCTTGCTTGGCTGCCCATTTTCTTGTCCTTTGCCTATAGAGAACAGGCTTTCATTGGGAATTAAATATATGTGCCCATTTGGTGTTTCCAAGGTTGCAGACTTCTTCAGCTCCAAGTCTTGGATATGTGAGGCAAAATGAAAACCCAGAGAACTAACCACTGTGTCAGTCTTTAGGTTCTGAGGTCCCTAGTGGATCTTTCTTCTTCCCTTCAGCTTTTAATACATTCCTTTTTGTTTTGTTTTATAAATAATTTCCAGAGTTTCATTATACTTAGTGGGCAGAATGCGGAAAAGTATGTCTACTCCATCTTCCTGGAAAAAGAACTTGGGTTGATAATTTTTGGCTACAGCTGTACTAGGCGCTCTAGAAACCTTTTCTCATTTAATTATCTCACTTCTCTGAGCCAGATGTTCTCACATTAATTCTAAAGATGAGGAGACTGAGGCTTGGTGGAGTCGAACAACTTGTTCAAGGTAAATGGTTAAAGCTAGGCTACAAACACAGGTTAGTCTGGCTATGAAATCTCTGCTGTTTTCCCTGTATTATAAAGGGAAGTTCCTTGCTTATCATTTTCGTCTGTTATGGTCTTCAGCACATAGATAATCATATAGAAGGTGCCCAGTCAGTACCGGTTGAATGAGCTTCACGTAGGAGCTAGGTTAATGCTTATTGGAGGAGCACCTCTTTTCCAGGGGGATTAGTAGTTAGTTTTTGTTCAGCTGCATGTCACTTCCAAACTGCGTAGCTTTTGCTTTTCTAGTTTCTCTGTTTATTTCAAAGGGCTCTGCCCAACTGAACATCACCATCTTCCATTCATCATCAATCTGGTGTAATTGCAAATTCCTGGAAAAGAGAAGCTTCCTGGACGATTTCTACTGCTCTCGGGGCAAAGCTGGAGTTGCATTACAATCACAAGATAGGATTTGTCCTAGGCGGGGTGCAGTGGCTCATGCCTGTAATCCCAGCACTTTGGGAGGCCGAGGCAGGTGAATAACTTGAGTTCAGGAGTTTGATACCAGCCTGGCCAACATAGTGAAATTCCATCTCTACAAAAAATACAAAAAATTAGCTGGATGTGGTGGCATGCACTTGTAGTCCCATCTACTCAGGAGGCTGAGGCAGGAGAATTGCTTGAACCCAGGAGACTGAGGTTGCAGTGAGCCGAGATCATAGCGCTGTACTCCAGCCTGGGTGACAGCAAGATTCTGTTAAAAAAAAAAAAAAAAGGATTTGTCTTGCCCTGCCTGCATTCATCCTAGAGCCCATAGGATTTCTCTTAGATAGCTCTGTGAGGACCAGGAGAAATGTGCCATACATATCTGGTGAGTGAGGAGGACTGCCTGGTGAGGTAGTCCTCTCAGCAAGAATGTTGAGTCTCTGCATTGTAGGAGAGTATGAATTCTTGTGGAGCGGGCTGCCAGGGTTCAAAGCTCAGCTCTGCCTTTATCAACAGTGAGATGTTGAGTAGATTCCTAAACCTCCATGACCCCTACTTCCTATACTGTAAAGTGGGGATAATATAATGCTATATAGTGAGAGTTAAATGAGTTAATATGCGTCAACTGCTTAAAATAGTACCGGCCACACTGTCTTCCACAATGGTCGAACTAGTTTATACTCCCACCAACAGTGTAAAAGTGTTCCTATTTCTCCACATCCTCTCCAGCACCTGTTGTTTCCTGACTTTTTAATGATTGCCATTCTAACTGGTGTGAGATGGTATCTCGTTGTGGTTTTGATTTGCATTTCTCTGATGGCCAGTGATGATGAGCATTTTTTCATGTGTCTGTTGGATGCATAAATGTCTTCTTTTGAAAAGTGTCTGTTCATATCCTTTGCCCACTTTTTGATGGGGTTGTTTGATTTTTTCTTGTAAATTTGTTTAAGTTCTTTGTAGATTCTGGATATTAGCCCTTTGTCAGATGGGTAGATTGCAAAAATGTTCTCCCATTCTGTAGGTTGCCTGTTCCCTCTGATGGTAGTTTCTTTTGCTGTGCAGAAGCTCTTTAGTTTAATTAGATCCCATTTGTCAATTTTGGCTTTTGTTGCCATTGCTTTTGGTGTTTTAGTCATGAAGTCCTTGCCCATGCCTATGTCCTAAATGGTATTGCGTAGGTTTTCTTCTAGGGTTTTTATGGTTTTAGGTCTAACATTTAAGTCTTTAATCAACCCTGTATGTTGTGCACATGTACCTAGAACTTAAAGTATAATAAAAAAAATAGTACCCGACACATGGAATATAATACATTTGAGCTGTTTTTATTGCTGTCAATATAATCAGTTAGGAAAGGTGTGACATCTATCATCTGACTCCTTCTCTCCGGGGCTCCCTGGTCATCTTTCTTCTCTTGGTCACCGTCTGCTGCAAAAGCTGCCAGGTGTCGAGCTCCTCATGCTGAGATCAGGACCCAGTTCAAGGAGAGCTGGCTGTGCTTCTGCAGCTGCCACAGCTGCTGAGCCCAGATGGAAGTCACCTTGCACTCCTGGGTGGACCCTCCCTACCCGTACTGCTTCTTTGTCCTGGACAAACCTGCACACCTCTGCCTGTCTTTGTGGGGTGCCCTCCATCACACACTAAATCACTCTCTTCTATTTCTATTTCTAGAAACCCTCCAAAATCTTCAAACCCTGACTCAGCTCCTCCTTCCAGAAGAAGGCTGAGGCTTCTGTGTCTCATACACATGTGGGGCATCTCAAAGGTGGCTGCTTCCTCTTCCCTCCTCCACATTCTTCCTGAATCCTGAGTCTCCAAGGAAGATTGCTCACTCCTCCAGGACTCCAGGGTGTTCAGGCCACATCAGTCTAGGGCTGTGTGAGTTTCCTGGAGCTGCTATAACAAGTGACCACAATCTGGGTGGCTTAAAACCACAGACTTTTATTGTCTCACAGTTCTGGAGGCTGGAAGTCCAAAATCAAGATGTTGGCAGGGCTGGTTCCCTCCGAGATCTGTGAGGAGAATCTGTCCCAGGCCTCTGCTTAGCTTCTGGTGGTTTCCTGGCAACCTTTGGCATCCTGTGGCTTCTAGATGGATCATCCAGTTCTCTGCCCTCATGTTCACATGGTGCTGTTTATGTATGTCTGTATCCAAATTTCCCTCTTCTTGTAATGACATCAGTCATATTGGATTAAGCATCCACTCTTTTCCAGTCTGACCTCATCTTAATTTAACTAATTACACCTACAAAGACTTTATTTCCAAATACAGTTACCTTCACAGGTACCAGGGGTTAGGACTTTAACATGTCTTTTTAGAGGACACAGTTAAACTTACCGTAAAGCATAATAGCAACATCTCAAACTTGGACCTCTGCTGAGTTAGAGATGTCACTCTAGGGGCAGTATGCAGAGAATTTTGGAGGGAAAAAGTGTCCTGGGAACAGGTGTGTGAATTAGGATGCTGTTAAAATGGTTACAGAAAGAGATTACATTCTGAACCAGAGTGAGGTTGGGGTAGATTATTTTGTCTCTATTTAAAATTTTGTATCTGGAAATTCAAAGGCGTTTTCAAAAATGTATTTCCCTCCTCCCCTTCGGTGCCAGGTGTCTGAGCTTTGCAAACATGGATTTTCTTGCAGCTCTTCTGCGTGTTGTTGGAGGCCAAGCTCATCAAACTGCCCATAGTGGGGACTGAGCAGCTGTGCATCGGGCTGCTGAGAGCTGAGTTTGTTTATGTAAATGTTGTTTTATTTTAGTCTTTCCAACGACTGCCATGGGGCCTAATTCTCAGCCAAGGGCTAGGAGGAAGGCCTTTATTGTTTAGATGTAGGCATTTGGGATAATGTGGGAAGCAAACTCCACCATGTAATACGTGAGCCCTTCCTGGGCAGCTCTCCTCATCCAGTGCTTCATGGAGAAGCAAGACTGTTGCCGCCTTGGGAGAGGCTGCGGTCTCATTGTGAGTCAAGCATAATTTTTCCTTTTTAATTTCCACAGCTTTATTTAGCTTTGGAAACATTCCTTTTCAATATATTATGTTATTCTGGTATATATTTCCTTCCTTTATAATAAAGCTGTGGAAATTATTCTAAGCATAGCCTACAACAAAGAAAAAATACTCAACCGCAATAATGAACCCATAGGCAATTACATTCTTATAAATTCTTGTATTCTAAATACAAGCATCTTTCCAAATTTCATATATTAAGTAGATGGGCAGGAAAAGGGTATAAAGAAATATTGTTTAAGTAAGTAAAATAAAGTTTAAGTCTACATATGTGTTGTAGTTGAAAAGGGCATTTAAGATGATTGAGAAACCTTGGTAAAAGCATTAATTCCTTGAGGAATTATTTATTGACACTGACAATGGCCAGGAAATGGCTACAGAGATGGGGAGGGGAGCAGGGCTTGGTCTGGCCGTGAGACCTCATGCGGTGAAGGCTTCCGTGATTTGTCTGCAGACGCCTGCTGCAACACTGATGCCTGACCCTACTGACTACCTGACTTCAAGTTCCCTCTTTTCCACACGATTCCCGGAAACTTTCCAACATCTTCAAGCACTGACTGAGCTCCTTGGTCCAGCAGGAGGGCGGGGTGCCTGGCGCTGACACCTGCATGAGGCCTCTTGGGGGCGGTTGCCTCTCTTCACCTCCTCTCTTGGGGGCGGTTGCCTCTCTTCCCCTCCTCTGCACCCTCCCTGTGTTCTTGGTGCCCATCTCCTAGGAAGACACTTTCCCTCAAGTGCCCTTGATCCCATTCTCTCCACCTGACATAATGCGATTTTACACAAACCTGAGCAATAAACATTTAGACGTGTACCGTCGCCCAGCAACACCAGTGGAAGATTGCCTAGTCCACCCCAACCCCTGAGGTTCAGCCTGGCTCTTGGAGTTGAGGGGATGGTATGGAGAGGCCGCTGGGGAGGGCAGGCCACGGGCAACGATGATAACAAGAAGGTCCGAGGTGTTCAGTGGGAAGAAACACGGCATATCAGTACTTTAACGTGGCTCAGAATCGCCCTTCCCAAATGTCTCCAGGTTCATAATCTCCTGTGCTGCCCAGCAACTGCTTCCTTTCTCCATCAATCATCTCTTTGCATTTTGCATCTTTGCTCACCTCCCTGGTCCTCTGCTGTGGCCATAAAATTCATCAAGCATTCCTTATTGGGAAATGCAACAACAACAAGAACAAAACCAGGAAGTGGTGACCGACTTCTCTGGGCCATCTTCCCTCTCTCCATCTTCAAGGCCTGAAGGGGACATTCTTTCCCTCTTACTCTTTCCAACTCAGTATTTCTTGAAAGAGTATCTGACTCGGGCAACCTCCTTTCCATTCTCATCCCCGCTGCCTCCTCCATCTTTTGCAGCTTGGCTCTGTCCTGTGTCCATTTTCGGTTGTCCTTCTCTCCTGAGCCCCCTCGAAACACTGTTGCGGCCCTGGGATCCTGTGCCTGAGTCAGTACAGTTGCACCCAGGGAGGTCCTGCCCTCAGCTCAGGGTGCAGCACCTGCAACACGTGCAATCCAGCTCAGGCAGATCTCTCTGCTGTGTGCTTCGTTGTACAGGGTAGGAAGTGGTTCTGGGATTTTTATACCTATGTATTGAGACATGTGCCCAGACATCCAGATCAAGTGGATTCAGGAGGAACCACATAACCACCATGAGAGATATTTTGAGGCATTGGCATGTGCCTTCTTTCTCTGCAACTTTTCTTCCCTGTCCTCCCACTCAAGCCATTGCCTGGCCCTGAGCTCATTGCATCAGGAAGGGGTGTACAGACATGGCCTGAATCCTCCTGGCCCTTCCCTCCGACTGTCTAAATCTAGATTTGGATGAAGATCCTTGGAAATAGAATATTTGGGGGCACAATCAGTGAGGAGAGAAGATTTACCCGGGCTTGGGAGATTAAATAGAAAAAAGAATGGATGAGAATTGGTATCCAGAGAGAGAAAGAGGAACTGCTCTGTCTGCTTCCAAAGCAACGCCTCTGGAGAGGGAGGGGCATTGCTTCCAGAGAGGATGGCCACTGGGAGACGGATCCAGATGGGAGGTGGCCACTTCCAACAGCTTCCTGTCCTCACTCCTGTGCTGGCACTGCAGAGACAGCCACGTGCAGTTATCAAGGCTGAGGAGGAAATGGCTTAGAGAGGACTAGGAGGACTGGCAGCCCGGATACCAATAACCCAATGCCACCCCAATGCCTTGGAATGGTGGCCTGACCCAGGAAGCGTTCACTCTAAGTTGGTCGTCAGCTTCGGGTGGGAAGTGAAAGCTTTGAAACAGGACTTAATGTAGTTAAGTTGAGAATAAGAACTGCAGCATGTATTTTATACTTGAACTTGAGAACCCAACACTCAATGAAGAGTCGTTCTCTCCTTAGGAGATGTGCTTGGACCTGTGAGGAAAGTGGCCCGTCAGCAGACACACTGTCCAGGTCCAACCTCCCCGATCATCTTGGACCTCAAAAATCGTGTCTACTAATTCCAGCATTTTCCTTCCCCAGTTCATCACGGCACGGCAGCCTGGGATGGGACCAGGAGTAGTTGGTACTCTTGGCACAACTTCAACTGCTTCTACTTTGCTAGAGTCTGACTTGTTTAGCAACAATTGAGTGACTCCTGGGTTGCAACAATGTTTCCCACTGTCTTGAGGACCAATGTCTACATTCCTGTTACAAGGCCAGAAATCTGTTTTTTTTTTTCCCCCCAGATTTGCCACTTTATGCTGCCAAGGACCATCCTAGGACTGACAGGTGCAGTGCACAGCGCATTGCGTCTTCAGCTTCTGAATCACCCACAGCCTTGGAGTGGGCCACTCTGAGCCCTGCGTGTGCCTCCTTCACATCCCAGTTTCTGTTTTGCACTGTTGTTTTTCACTTGGATGCCAATCCTGTACTCCATGCTCTTGGTTTCTGACAAGTACTATCTACCATGGGTAAATTTCTTGCCTCTTGACTTTGTTTCTGAGCCATCAAAAGGCAGAGCGTCCTTTACAGCCTGGGCAGGCCCACTGGTGGCCTGCTTAGGTCCCCAAGTGGCTGGCCCCATCTTCATCACCCTCAGTTTTCTCATGGCATGTTTTAACTTTTAACGAAATTTCCATGTGAGAGGATGTGCTTATGCTCCCTCCCTGTGGCCCACCCTTCCTTGTGAGAAGTCCTGGGAGGGCAATCTTCTGATGACCTCACATGAGACTGCGACCGCGCCTGTCCCTGTCCACCCGGAACACTCTGAGTGTGCACCACAGCTGCCCCAGGGGCTCCAGTGGCCCCTACTGGCCTCTCTTGCTCTTGGAGGGCGCTCTGGGGACCATCACTCCCTGTGCAGGACCCACTGTGCGCTGTCAGCTTCATGTTTCAGACCGGCTCAGTTCTGGATACAGCATGAGCTTCACATGCTCCTCCTGGAAACTTTCCTCTTGGAATTAGGTTCCTTCCTTTAGTCCTGCAGATTGTTCATCAGCTTCCTTTGGAGAGGAAGAAGTCAAGATCAGCCTTATGCTTTTTCCAACCCTCATCTCTGCAGGTTGATCCCTGTGCCATCTCCAGACCCTCAAACAACACTGACCCGATGCTGGGTGAGGACCAAGGACCTGGCTGGTCACTTCTCCATGTGGTTGCTGCTTCAGCAGCTCTTCCTTGAGGCACACGTCCATGCACAAGCAATGTGTGTTTTTAAAAATGAAATATTTTTAAAAACTACAAAAAATCATTGATGTTTAGGTATCCACCATTGAGATTAAGCAGGGGTTACTATTTTGACACATATTCTTTATCTCTCTAGTTTAAAGAAATTAAACAAATAAAAAAATTATAGCGCTGGGTGCGGTGGCCCACACTTGTAATCCCAGCACTTCGGAAGGCTGAGACAAATGGATTGCCTGAGGTCAGGAGTTCAAGACCAGCCTGGCCAACATGGTGAAAGCCCGCCTCTACTAAAAATAAAAAATTAGCCGAGTGTGGTGGCGTGCGCCTGTAATCCCAGCTACTTGGGAGGCTGAGGCAGGAGAATCACTTGAACCAGGGAGGTCAGAGGTTGCAGTGAGCCAAGATCATGCCATTGTACTCCAGCCTGGGCAATGAGCAACATTCCATCTCAAAAAAAAATTATAGCTACAAAGATGCTATAGTGATGGATACATGCCATTATGCACAAAGAGTGAACCCTGAAGCAAACTATGGACTTTAGTTAATAATCATGCCAATATTGGATCATTAATTGTAACAAATGTGCCTCACTAATAGATGTTAATGGGGGCTGAGTGTGCTGTGCTCTGTGTGTGTGTGTGTGTGTGAAGGGGTATATTGAACACTCTGTACTTTCTTCTCAAGTTTTCTATAAACCTAAAGTTGATCTAAAAATCAAACCTAGTAAATGTATATTAGATTATTGAATATACTTACATATTATATAAATAGCTACAGCCATATTCTCCCTCCATCCTCCTCCCTCTGTCCTCCTCCCTGCTTTCCTGGAAGCACCTGCCACCGAGAGTGGTGTGTGGCTCTACCTGTCACTCTGAGAGCGCCGCCCCTCCCCTAGCTCTTCCTGTAACCCAGTCTGTGGCATGGCCACCCTGTCCTGCCTCTCCACTGGCCAGCCTTCTTCCTTTCAAAGACGCTGTGGGCCGTTGCTTGAACTCTTCGGTCAGTTTTAAATGATGAAAGCCCCTCCAGGCTCTTGTAGGCATAAGGAGGTCTCATTTGTGTAATTAAAATACCCATTTATGAAGGCAAATATCTAAACTTGTGATCCCATTTAGAACCCACCTACCTGGATCACTGGGGAGACTTCTCCATCTCAGGATCCTTCACTCAATCACATCCGCAAAGATCCTTTTTCCATATCAGGTCACATTCTGAAGTCCCAGGAATTAGGACCGGACATCTCGCGGCCATTATATGACCCACACACCCTCTCACAGGTTTGCCTCTGCTGCCCGAGGTTGGGCTATGGGGTGTGGGGCAGGGATCAGAAGGAATAGGTAGAGTCCTCCTGGACTGCATGGAGGTAATTCTGCCTTGGTGCCTTCGGGTGTTGGTAGCTCCCAATATTGACCTTCTTATTTTTATGATTTTTAAACATTTCCCTGCTTTATCTGGCTCTTGCTTCCTGGGAACATCTCATAGGTGAGGCCAGGCAGTTTCAAAGGGCTGGCTCATGGGTAAGTCAGGTGATGGCTATGCCCACCACTTGTTTATTTTTAAGACAGAGATAATAGTAACACATCTCATAGGTTGCTGTGAGGATCCCAGTACATGGAAAATCTTTAATGAGTGCCTGCATCACAGCATCTGCTTGGGGAGAATTGGCCATTTTTGTTGGTAGAAGCTGCAGCTTCTCTGATAGGGCAGTGCCTCCCCCTCATAGCCCTCCACATTCAGTGCTGCTGAAGCACCTGCCAAGGTGGACTCTTCCCAACAGGAAGCTTCTCAATTGTCTATGAACAATGTTTATTATGTTCTATCCTCTTTGTCTGATTTAGGATCTGATCAAGGATTGTACATTGTGTTGGCTGTTGTGTGACCTTAGTCTTCTCTATTCTAGCTGTACCTGGGACTTTTAGAAAGTTTCCATGCTGTTTACATTTTTTAAGGCCCAGGTTGATTGTTTTGCAGGATGCTTTTCAATTTGCATTTATCTAGTTGTTTGCTCACCATTAGATTACTTTTTGGCAAGGACTTCGACAGGCGATGTTCACCCTTCCCACTGCGGCCCATCAGGAGGGACACACTGTTAGTTCATCCCATCACTGGGATGTTCAGCTTGGTCACTTTCTTCAGTTGGCATTTGCCGAATTTCTCCATTATAAAGGTATCTTCCTCCCTTTGTGCTTAATAAGTAACCTGTGTTGTAATTCTCTGAGACTTTGTGAATATCCTGCTCCTCCATGCTCTTTTCCCCAGTGGTTTCAGCGTTCATCACTAATGCTGGAGGCAAAGTAGTGATTTTTTATTTCCCTCATTTCTTTTGTTTCAGTTTTAGTTAACACATAATAATTGTACATATTTATGGAATATAAAGTGATGTTTTTATACATGTATACAATATGTCATGATCACATCAACATAATTCACACAGACATTACCTCAAACATTTATCATTTCTTTGCATTGGAAACATTCAAAATTCTCACTTCTAGGGAGTGTAAATTAGTTCAACCATTGTGGAAGACAGTGTGGCAATTACTCAAGGATCTAGAACTAGAAATACTATTTGACCCAGCAATCCCATTACTGGGTATATACTCAAAGGATTATAAATCATTCTACTGTAAAGACACAGACACACATATGTTTATTGCAGCACTATTCACAATAGCAAAGACTTGGAACCAACCCAAATGTCCATCAATAATAGACTGGATAAAGAAAATGTGGCACATACACACCATGGAATACTATGCAGCCATAAAAAAGGGTGAGTTCATGTCCTTTGCAGGGACATGGATGAAGCTGGAAAACATCATTCTCAGCAAACTACCACAAGAACAGAAAACCAAACACCACATGTTCTCACTCATAAGTGGGAGTTGAACAATGAGAACACATGGACATAGAGAGGGGAACATCACACACTGGGGCTTGCCGGGGAGTGGGGGGCTAGGGGAGGGATAACATTAGGAGAAATACCTAATGTAGGTGACAGACTGATGGGTGCAGCTGTATACTTATGTAACCTGTATACCTATGTAAACAAAACTGCACATTCTGCACATGTACCCCAGAACTTAAGTATAATTAAAAAGAAAGAAAAATTCTCACTTCTAGCCTTTTGAAAACATGCAACAAATCATTATTAACTATACTCATCCTACAGTGCTATAAAATATTACATTGGGTTGGTGCTAATAATGGCAAAAACTGCAATTACTTTGCACCAACCTAATAACTCATTCCTCCTATCTAGATGTAATTTTGTGTTGGTTAACCAACCTTTTCCTATCTTCCCTTCTCCTCGCCCTTCCTAGCCTCTAATAAGCAGAGCTCTACTCTCTCGTTATAGTTTATAATAGTTTACGTCTATGAGTGCAATTTTTTTTTTTTTTTTTTTTTTTTAGCTTACACGTATGAGTGAGAATCTGCGGTATTTATCTTTCTATGCCTGGCTTATTTTACTTAACAAAATGTCCTCCAGACTCATCCATGTTGCTCTGAATGATAGGATTTCATTCATTTTTATGGTTGACTAGTATTCCATGGTGTATTTGTACCATGTTTTCTTCCTTAATATCTGTTGATGGACACTTAAGTTGATTTCACATGTTGGCTATTGTGAGTAGTGCTGTAATAAACGTGGGAATGCAGCTATCTCTTTGATACATGGATTTCCTTTCCTTTGGAAAACTACCCAGTAGTGGGATAGTGAGATCATATGGTAGTACTATTTTTAGTTTTTTTCTATACTGTTTTCCATAATGTCTGTGCTAATTTACATTCCTATGAAGACTGTATAAGAGTTCCCTTTTCTCTTCATCCTTACCAGCATTTGTTATTTTTTGTCATTTTGATAATAGCCTTAGTGGAGTGACATGGTATCTCATTGTGATGGTGATTTGCATTTTCCTTATGATTAGTGATGTTGAGCATTTTTTCATATAGTTGTTGGCCATTTGTATGTCTTTTTTTGAGAAATATTTATTCAGATTCTTTGCCCATTTAAAAATCAAATTATTAGTTTTTTTTTTTTGCTATTGAGTTGCTTGAGTTATTTGCATATTCTGGAAATTAGTCCCTTCTCAGATGAATAGTTTGCAAACACTTTCCTCCATTCTGTTAGTTATCTCTTCACTCTGTTGATTGTTTCCTTTGCTGTGCAGAAGTTTTTAACACAGTCCCATTTATCTATTAGGTTGGTGCAAAAGTAATTGCAATTCTTGGCATTTAGTTTACTTTTGCCATTTGCTTTTAAATGGCAAAAACTGCACTTACTTTTGCACCAACCTAATATTTTTTATTTTTGTTGCCTGTGCTTTTGAAGTCTTACCCATAAAACCTTTGCCTAGACCAATGTCCTGAAGCATTTCTTCTACGTTTACTTCTAGTATTTAATAGTTTTGGGACTTACATCTAAAGCTTTAATCCATTTTGAGTTCATTTTTCTATATAGTGAGAGATAGGGGTCTAGTTTTTCTCATCTTCAAATGGCTATCCAGTTTTCCCAGAACAATTTATTGAAAAGGGAATTCTTTCCCCATTGTATGTTCTTGGCACCTTTGTTGCAGATCAGTTGGCTGTAAATATATAAATTTATTTCTGGATTCTCTATTCTGTTTCATTCATCTATGTGTCTACTTTTATGTCAGTACCATACTGTTTTAATTAGTATAGCTTTGTAGTATATTTTGAAGTTAGGGAGTATAATTTCTCCAGTTTTTTTTTTCTGCTCAGTATTGCTTTGCCTATGTATGATGATCTTTTGTGGTTCCATACAAATTTTAAAGTTTTTTTTCTATTTCTGTGAAGAATGTTATTTGTATTTTAATAAGAATTGCATTGAATATGTAGATTGTTTTGGGTAGTAGGGTAATTTTAATTAATTCTTTCAATTAATTCTTTTGATTCTTTCAAGTATTAATGCTTTCAATGCATGGGAAGGGGATGTCTTTCCAATTTTGGTGTGTCTTTAATTTTTTTCATCAGTATAAATCTTTCACCTCTTTGGTTAAGTTTATTCCTGAGTATTGTATTTTATTTTGTAACTATTGTAAATGGGATTGATTTCTATTTGTTTTTCAGATAGTTCATTAGTGGTGTATACAAATGCTACTGTTTTTGTCTGTTGATTTTTTATCCTGCAACTTTATTGAATTCATTTTTCAAGTCTAGGAATTTTTTGGTGGGGTCATTAGGTCTTTCTACATATAAGATCATGTATTCTGCAAAGACAAACAATTCAACTTACTCTTTTCCAATTTGGATGATCTTATTTTCTTTCTTTCATCTAATTATTTTGTCAAGGGTTTCCAGTACTATGCTGAATAAGAGTGGTAAAAATGGGCATCCTTGTCTAGTTTCAATTCTCGGAGAAAAAGCTTTCAGCTTTTCTCTGTTCAGTATGATGTAAACTGTGGGTTTGTCATATATGGCTTTTCTTGTGTTGAAGTATGTTCCTTCTATACCTAATTTGTTGAGAGATTTTATCATGAAGGGATGTTGAATTTTATTAAATTCTTTTTACTGAATCCATTGATATGATCATATGGTTTTTGTTCCTCATTCTGTTGAATGATGTATCACATGCATTCATCTGTGTATGTTGAACCATCCTTGCATCGCTGAAATAAATCCCACTTGGTCATGGTGGATTATCTTTTTGATGTGCTGTTAGAGTTGGTTTATTAGTATTTTTGGAGGATTTTTGAATCTATGTTTATCAGGGATATTGCCATGTAGTTTTCTTTTTTGTTGTGTTCTTGTCTAGTTTTGGTATGCTGGATTCATAGAATGAGTTAGAAAAAAATTTCCTCCTCTTCCATTTTTTTTGGAATAATTTGAGTAGAATCGATGTTAATTCTTCTTTATACATTTGGTAGAATTCAACAGTAAAGCCATCTAGTTCTGGGCTTTTCTTTATTGGGAAAGTTTTTTTTTTAATTACTGATTCCATCTCTGCTATTATTGGTCTGTTTGGGTTTTCTGTTTCTTCTGGGTTCAATCTCTGTAGGTTATATCTGTTCAGGAATTTATTCATTTCCTCCAGGTTTTCCAATTTGTTGGTGTATAGTTGTTCCTAATAATTTTTAATTATCCTTTGTATTTCTGTGGTATTAGTTGTAATGTCTCCTTTTTTGTTTATAATTTTATTTATCTGAGTTTTTTTCTGTTTTTTCTTAGTCTAGCTAATGACTTGTCTAGTTTCAAAAAGACTTTTTTGTTTCATTAATCTTTGTGGGTATTTTCGTATCTGTTTTGTTTAGTTCTTCTCTGATCTTTATTATTTTTTTCCTTCTACTCTTTTAGGGTTTTGTTTTTCTTTTCTAGTTTCTTGGGATGCATTGTTAGGTTATTTATTTGAAATCTTCCTGCTTTTATGATGTAGGTGCTATTGTTATAAATTTTCCAATTAGTACTGCTTTTGTTTGTATCTCAAAGGTTTTGGTATGTTGCATTTTTATTTTCATTAGTTTCAAGACTTTTTTTATTTCCTTCTTAGTTTCTTCATAGACCATTTGGTTAGTCAGGAGCACGTACATTGACAAATACATGTCAATTTCCATGTAATTGTATAGTTTCCAAAGTTCCTCTTGTCAGTGATTTCTAGTTTTATTCCACTGTGGCTTGAGAAGATAATTGATATTATTTTTATTAAAAATTTTTTTTGAAACTTGCTTTGTGATCTAACATATGGTCTATCCTCAAGAAACTTCCATGGATCAATGAGAAGAATGTGTATTTTTGCAGCTGTCAGATAAAACATTCTGTAAATATCTGCTAGGTCCATTATGTCTACCATACTGTTTAAGTCCAAAGTGTCTTTGTTCATTTTCTGCCTGGATCATCTGTCCAATGCTGAAATTGGGTGTTGATGTCCCCCAGCTCTTACTGTGTTAGTGTCTACCTCTCTTTTTAGCGCTAATAAAATTGGTTTTAAATGTCTGTGTGCTTCAGTACTGGTGAATATATATTTACAATTTTTTATTTTCTTAGTGAATTGATACCTTTGCCATTATATAATAACCTTCTTTGTCTCTTTTTATTTTTTTAACTTAATGTATATTTTGTAAGAAATAAGTATAGCTGCTACTGCACACATTTGGTTTCCATTTGCATGGAATACCTTTTTCTATCTTTTCACTTTCAGTCAATATGTGTCTTTACAGGTAATGTGAGTTTCTTGTGGGCAGCTTATAGTAGGGTCTTCTTTTTATCCATTTATCCAGTATATATCTTTTAATTGGGAAATTTAAACTCTTTACATTCAGGGCTGTGATTGTTATGAGGACTTACTCCTGTCATTTTGTTAATTGTTTTCCACATGTTTTGTATACCCTTTGTTCCTTTATTCCTCTCTTATTTTTTATCTTTTTGGTTTGATGGGGTTTTTTCTTTATAGTGATATTGTTTGATTCCTTTCTCTTTCTCATTTGTGTATCTGATTTACCAGTGAGTTTTATACTTTCATGTGTTTTTATGATGATCGATATCCTTTTGCTTCCAGGTGTGGGATGTTCTTAAACATTTCTTGTAGGGATGGTCTAATGGTGATGACTTTCCTTGGTTTTTGCTTGTCTAGAAAAGACTTTGTTTCTCCTTCATATCTGAAGGTTAGATTTGCTGGGCATAGTATTCTTGATTAGCAGTTGCTTTCTTTCAGCACTTTGAATATATCATCCCATTTTCTCCTGGCATATAAAATTTCTGCTAAAAAAGTCTAATGTGGCTGGGCATGGTGGCTCATGCCTGTAATCCCAGCACTTTGGGAGGCTGAGGCAGGTGGATCACTTGAGGTCAGGAGTTTGAAGCCAGCCTGGCCAACATGATGAAATTCTGTCTCTACTGAAAAAAAAAAAATACAAAAATTAGCCAGGCATAGTGGGGCATGCCCGTAATTCCAACTACTTGGGAGGCTGAGGCACAAGAATCTCTTGAACTCAGGAGGTGGAGGTTGCAGTGAGCCCAGACTGCACCACTGCACTCAAGCCTGGGAAACAGAGTGAGACTGTCTCAAAAAAAAAAAAAAAAAAAAAAAAAAAAAAAGAAAAAGCAAATCTAATGTTAGTTTGATGAGGATTCCCTTATATGTGACTGGAAGCTTTTCTCTTGCTGGTTTTGAAGAGGACTTTTTTCAGGGGGATAAATGTTTTTGGGATGCTTTGAGTTCCCTATGTTTAGATGTCTCTATCTCTCCCAATACTTGGGAGCTATTCTTTCATGAAATAGTTCTTCTTTGCATTTTCCCATCTCTGATAATTTTGGAACTCCCACATGTGAATATTAGTTTACTTTATGGTGTCTCGTGTGTCATGTAGGCTTTCTTCATCCTTTTAAAATTAATCATTTTTTAATTGTCTGACTGGATTATTCAAAAGATAAACTATCTATCTTCAAGTTCAGAACTTTTTTCTTTTGCTTGATGTAGTCTATTGTTGGAGCTCTCAACAGTATTTTGAATTTCCTTCATTGAATTCTTCAGTTTCATGATTTCTGTTTTATTATTTTTATGATATCTATCTCCTTGATTTTGAATTATTTTCTTTTCATGAATTGTTTTTCTTTGTACTGCCTACCTGTGTTCTCTTCCATCTCACTGAGTTTCCTTAAGATCATTATTTTGAGTTCCTTTTCAGGCATTTCATATATCTTCTTTTCTTTGGGGTATGTTACTGGAGAATTATTGTGTTCCTTGAAGGTGTCATGTTTCCTTCCTTTTTTGTTTCTTTTGTCCTTACATTAATCTAGTGCATCTAGATGCATCTAGTGTAACAGTTGACTCATCAAGTTTTATGGAGTAACTTTTGTAGGGAAAGACTTTTTCTTGTAGATCTGTCTATACTGTTGTTTGGGTAGAGTGCTATGGCTTTGGTCCTGGGTAGATGCAGTGGTATTATCTCCGTGAGATTTCTTTGGCTCTAATTAATATCAGCAGTGTCTGTGAGTTATCAGTGTCTTAGGCTGCATTTGTGCATTTCTTTCTGTGGGGCATTTTTGCTGGGGACAGGGACATCAGGTGGGCCAGTCCTTAGGTCCCTGAATGGCACATGCAGGCACTGGTGGTGGCAGCAATGGGTGGGGGAGGTCAAAGCAGGCTGGTACTCATATTCATGGGTGGAATGCACAGGTGTGTGATGACCTTGCTGCTAGAGAGGCAAGGTTGCTATTGGCAGCTGCAGACCCAGGAAGGTGAATCTCAGGCTCTGGGAAGCATGTATTTTGGCTTTATATTTGTCCTGGGAGCAGCCTCCCTGATGTGCTGGACCACTTATTACCTGCAATGTAGGGTGTTGTGTGGACTTGAGTGCCAGAGACCCAACACCGGGGTTGTATCACTGAGTTCTGCTGGTGTTGCAATGTTGTAGCCCTCTGGGTGGGGGTGGGGGAATGTCAGCTGGGCCCCAGAGATGTGGACATGCAGGGGCTATTAACCCCCAGGGCAAGATGGACTCTGGACTCTGCTCTCACAATGGTACCCTACTGCAGCAGTTTGGGTCCTGTGGGCCTGGGAATGGGGGGTGTCCCAGTGTGGATTCCCTTTCTGGGACAATGCCGTAGCATGGACTCCAGGCACCTTCTTATACTGGGTTCAGGGCTTGTGAAGGCTGAGGGGCTCTCCTGCAGCCAGCATTGCAGGTGTCTGTCATGAAAATGAGAGCTGCTTGGACCTCTTGCTTATATTTTCCCCACAGTAGGGATTTCCGCATGGCTGTGAGTTGATCCCAGATCCCAGCCAGCTGTGTTGCTTCCCTCTCTGTGCTGTCTTCTTGAGTTTCTGTGCCTTGGAAGGTCTTTGTCATTCCTTTGATGAATTCCAGTGTTCTCCTTTAGATCCTCTATTTGACATGTGGTTACCTATTTGTTGTTTTGGTCCTTTTTTGGGAAGGAGGTGAGTGCTGGGTGCCTCTAGCCAGCCATCTTGATGATCTCTATTTTCATAATTTTTTTTTCTCATCAATAAGTTAGCATTTCTTTATCCTGAAGACCTTCTTTTCAGGTAATTTTAGTATCAGAATAGATTAATGGATTCTTTTCTTAAAAAAATAGATTTAAAGAATTACAATTCATTCTTTATTATTTATTTTGATGTTTAAATTGATCCAAATTCAGTTAATGGACTCTCTTCAATCTGGCTTCTGGGTCGTTTTTAGAAATCCAAATCATTTTTTTGAGAACTAAATGGTGTCTTTAAAAAATTATACTTTTCTATGTTTCTTGCTTGTATAACTGATTTTGCTATATTGACCTTGCAGCCAGTGACTTTGCTGAACTTTTCTGTTAGTTCTAATATGGTGACTGGAAATTGAAGACATTTTCTATCTTGATAATCATATGTTTATGCATAATGACAATTCAATTTTATTCTTTTTCAGTTATCTTTTTCTTTTGTTATTGAGATGCCTAGAACCTTTTATATAAGGCTAATTCTATGTAAGAAAAAGATGTGCAAGCACTAGCTTCTTCCTGACTTTGAAGTTTCAACATTAAATATGTTTGTTCTGGCTTATGAACTGCTATCCTTTCTCCTAGTATGGAAGGTCTCTCTCTTTCTCTCTCTCTCCCTCTCTGACTCTCTCCCTCAATAAGTTAAAATATCACTAATGGGTTTTGAATTTTATCAATTTGTTCTGCATATGTTAAGATGATTATAAGTGTTTTCTCCTTTAATATCTTAATGTGGTAAATTACAATAATATCTTCATAATGTAAACCATCCCTGCATTATATATTGATATAAACCTTATTTGATATCTTTTAATATACTTTCATATTTAGTTTGGCAATATTTTATTCAGCCTTTTGTATTTACATGTGAGATTGGCTTATATTTTTCCTTTCTTATATTTCTCTTTTTCCAATACTTGCCTGAAATCATTTGTGTTTTCATGGTTTGTGTATTCTGTTCTTGAATGTATGGAAAAGGGTGTTTATACTTATCTGGACCTGTTTTGTGTGGGAGGTGGGGGCAAGTAGGAGGAGTTTAAAACACACACTAAATTTCCTTAGTGAACGTACCTCCATTCAAGCGTCTAGGCTTTTGAGTAGCATCAGTAGCCATAACATCTACAAGAGTCCTCCAGTGTAGGTCCCAGCCATACAGGGTCACACAACAAAGGAGGAAGAATATGGAAAATTGGGCTTGGCCCTGGGGGTTGGGTCCCACAGCCCAGGTGATACTCAGAGGCAGGGAGCTGTGCAGCCTGGACCCCGGAGGGCTCTCTGTCTCAGCCATGTGCTCCTGCCTCAGTGTCATCACTTCTCCTTATGTTCCCTGTCACTCACAGTCTCTGCATGCTGTGAGCAGGCATTCAATACTAAGGAGGGAGCGGTGAGTTCTGAGACTCTAATTGGGGTGGAAAAGATGTGTGGAAGGGCTGTGTCATGCTGGTTGCTGTTTGGTTCTCTTTAGGTCTCTACAAAGTGGGCACGTCTAGCACTGTGAGGATTAATCTCCTGCCCAAGACCGTCTTCAGGGGTGCCTAAGATTTTCATTTCAACTCTCATCAACCAGGATTTCTCCTTATGATGCCCACAGAAATCTTGCTTTTTCTGCCCTAGCCTGTATTACGAGATTGCTGGCACTGACAAGGGAGGGCAGGGAGCCTGACTCCTTGGGAGGCTGCAGCTCTCCCCACTGTAGAAGGTGTGTGCATGTGCACGTGTGTGCATAAGCGTGTGTGTGTGTAAGCATGTGGATGTAAGTGTGTGCATGTGAGCATGTGAGAGAGTGTGAGTGTGTGCAGGCATTCTCGTGTGCATGTGAGAGGGTATGTGTGCACATGTGCAACAGTGTGCATTTGTGAGTGTGCACATGTGATGTGAGCACAGTTCATTTGCGTGCATGTGAGTGTGCATTTGTGAGTGTGTGTATGGGTGAATATGCATTTGTGTGTATGTGCATTTGTGACTGTGTGCATGTGTGATATGCAAGCATGTGTGGATTCATTTGTGTGCACGTGTGTGCATTTGTGTGTATGTGTGTCATTGGCAAGTATGTGTATGTGTAAGTGCGTTTGTGAATGTGTGCACGTGTGATAGGTGTGTGTGGGTTCACTTGTATGTGTGAGTGTGCAATTGCGATTGTACATATGAGTGAATGTGCATTTGTGAGTGTGTGTGAGTGTGCCTGTGGCTGTGGCAGGGGAGTCAGAGGCGAGTCCTGCTTGGTGAGTTCGTCCCTCACTGCACCCTCTCACAAGCTTCTGCTCCACTAACCAGGTCACCAATTGTCCTGGGAACCCACCCTCCCTTTCCTGGTTTGTTGCCTCTGCTTCTGCTGCTCTTTGTGTCTGCAGAGTCTCTACTCTCCTCGCCCGTTTACGAGTTGAGTCTTCTTCTTTTCTTCGGGATCCAGATGAAATGCCTTGTTCTCCCTGACATAGCTCAGTCGGGGATAAACACTTCCTCCTCTTTTAAGACTTAGCACATCTGCCTTGAATTATACATGCGAGCAGCAGAGGCTCCTGTAGGATACAGATTATGACTTATTTATCTTTATATTTCCCCCAGTAACTCTCTCCAGCCCAGCACTTAAGACAGTGTCTGGCACAAAGAAGGTGCTCAATAATTATTTATTAAAATTGGCTAATTCCTGCCTCTCCTTTTTGATATGTTTAGTGAAAATTTTCAATTCAGGGATAAATGATACAATCTTGGTGAGAAATTGGAGCTTTCTGCCTTATGCCCGAGGCTAAAATCATCCCACATCCCTTTCATCACGTCTTTCTGTCTCCCTGTCTTGAGCAGCCATCCCTCACCACCCCCCAGCCCCGTTCTGCAGCTCTGACATGGGCTTCTGCACCATTCCTACCTCCTTCAGCTCTGAGTGCACACACACAGATCATTCACACACCCTGGGCAGGGTTTTATGTGATGCCTCAGAGCAGTGTTCCCAGATCCGGATGCTAAAATGACTTGAGTTGCATTCTCATGCATTTCACACCTTCTGGGAGAATTAGTGGAGGGCTAGAGAAACGATTCCTAACCCCTACCATGCCTTGAATTATCCCAAAGGAGGTTGGAAGTTTTCAAAACAAAGTTAATTGCAATTCATGGTAATCACACATGTATTTAATGCTACACAACACTTTGAGGCTAAGATAAATGTTATGAAAATCGAAGTGTCAGAACTCTAGGAAGACTGGGATACAGGGCAACTGAATTATTTTTCTCTAAAAAAGAAAAAAAAAGGCTCTGGAAATCGTGTGACTTTACACACTTGAAAGTCACATAAGCCTGTGTGCTGTGGCAAAGACCCCAGGGAATGTGGCTGCCTCTGACACCCTCCAGCGTCGAGAGCCTGGGGCAGCCTTCCTGAGCCTGGGTTTCCTCGACTCTCAGGTTCTTCTCTCTCCGAAATCCCATGCCACACCATTGGTTTAGATTTGCATATTATGATGGTGGTATTCAATCACATTTGCATTTACTTAGTACCTACTGCATGCCAGGTTTCTGGAAGCACTGATGACATGGGTAGTTTATATGACACCTAAAAATGTAGAGGGAGCTGCCTGCTTCTCTGCTCATTTCTCTCTCTCTCTTTTTTTTTTTTTTTGGCAGAACCACTTTTCTTGTCTTGCCTACCAACCCCCAGGCACCAGGTGCCCGAGAAACATCTCTCTAAACTCACAGCTGCCATCGGTTCCCCTCTAAGCACGTTGTTTGCTTCATTTCCTCATAAGGACCCATGGAGGCTGGGGACAGCTATCGTTCCCACTTGCTAGGAGAGGAGAGTGAGGCAAAGAGGAGTTTCATGGATCCCAGCTTCCATCCCAGTCTCTGACTCGGCATGGAGAATGGTCCACACCTCCCCACAGCTACAGGTCACGTTTCCTTGTGTCACTGAAGCTGACCAGACCTTGGAACTCACGCTTGATTCCATCCCTGCCTCTGCCGAATGGCTTCTGTCTGAGGTGGACATCCTCAGGGTCCACCATCTTCCTGCGCCCTGGGCTGGAAACATCTCCCCTTCCCTGCATGCCCAGCGCCATCTCTCCATTCTCCTGGGGCGGTTTGTGCTTTAGGCTTTGTATCAGAATCACTGTCATAGGTCTGTTGGCTCCCGTTCTAGATTGTCAGTTTCCTCAAGGTAAGGTACCAATCTAAGTGACTGTCCGAGTTGAGACTCTTTGGGAGGGAGTGAGAGTGCTGCTGATAAGTACTCCTGAACAGCAGGTGGAGTCTGGGACTGTCCCAGGCAAGCCATGCTGTCTAGACGCTCAAATTACGGGGAGGACATGGGACATGTGAGGGCACCTCTGTACTTCCCACAGCACTTAGAACACAGCTGGGAATATTGTAATTATAACACAAGTGTTGAACAAAGGGAAGAAGGAACATGCCGCCATTACATGGAGAATGCATTTTTATTTAGCTTGTGCTCTTACTGTGCGTGAGGCATTGTCAGTGCCTATGAGGGAAGGATGCTATTGTTGCAATTATTCTTGTTTTCAGCTGTTAAAGAAACACAAGATACCCGCAGTCAACAGGGAGATGGCATTTTCCATAATAAGGGGATTTTCATTTCAACATCTTGGACAGTGGAAATGAGAACTGACTGATCTCTTGATGTCCGTGAGAGCACATCAGCAGACCCTCAGAGCATAGCAACGGGGGAGCCAGAGGAATCTCTCAGCCCAAAGACTCCATTTTCTGATAAGGAAACTATAGCCTAGAGATAGGATGAGGAGCTCAGACCTCCTGACTTCCGAAAAGGTACATTTCCTGGTAAAACTGTCCAATAAAAAGATAAATGTAGTTGTAGTCTAATACAATGGATTATGTTTATGGGATGTTAATGCTAATCACTCAGTGCCCTTCAGTTTGGGAAAATAACTTGAAGGAACACTGATTATAATTTTTCTTTTTGCACTTAGCATGTAGAGAAGACTGAGAGCCAGGGAACACTACTTGAAATATAATTCATACAACTTAGCAGAAGAAATTATTCCAGTTAATTTCTGAGCCATGAAACTCTTGACTATACTCAAATTTCCTGGAGAATGTGGGGTATGTGTGTATGTGTACACATGTGTATGTGTGTGTTTATACATGGTCTTCACAGCGAATCAAACATGCTATGAACGCTCATGTATCTTTCCAATGTAAAGTGATTCACCTTCCGTTTCTGATCAAGACAGTCACGTCTTTGGCTGGCCTCTCCTTATGCTGCACACAGGCATTTTAAATCACTTCACCGGATCCAGCACAGCATGACAGGAGCCAGAAGTCACTGTTGAGTTATATATCAAGTGACATAAATCATTCCGACCTCTTTTTACTTCCTATGGGGAAGAGACTCATATGACCAGAACTGACCTGCCATTTAGGGTTCTCAAGAGAATGGCCGTGAAGTGAGTGGGGCAAGGAGCCTGTCATTTTCTTTCTTGGCAGGTTTGCACTCCACACGTTCACATGCACATGAGCCAGGTGCCCGCCTTTGTCCTCCACCTTGGCCGTCGCTGACCCAGGTAGGAATCCAGGTGTGTCTAGTCCTAGGAATGCCACCAGTTGGGTAATCACATTCTCCAAGTTTCCGACCTGCTTAGGGTCCTCTACTAGGGTCAGTAGGGGAACACTCAAAGATAATGGTTATGGCATCTCTCCCTCAAGGAACTTAGCAGGAGTTGGAGGCAGGACATATATACTTTTTCTTTGAACTATAAAAGTAACACGGGAGAATTCAAGTTGAAGGTGATGGAGAGAAGCTAAATCTTGAATGATTGTCACAATACCACGGAAAATACAAGTAGAAAACAGCAAACACATTCACTGGCAGCTACCAGACATTCAGCCTTCCTCATACATTTGAAGCTGGGAGGCTCAGTAAAGGAGCAGAGTCTGGCACAGCTCTTGATGGCTCCCACTGTGCCTGCCCCCTCCCACCCTGAAGTAGAGCAAGGAAAGAGGACTAAATAAAATAATCAGAATTTCACCACATCCTTAATTTGGAGGGAAGCCAACTGTGCGGGTGAGTTGGCAGTTTGTTCTAGGACTAATACGAATATTGGGGCAGAACCACAGAAAAATTAAAGAGGCAACAGTGGATAAGTTTCACACATCCTCACACTGAGAAAGCATTTTGAATCCTAAGCAGAATGAATAAATGAATAAAGACAAATGTAGCTAAGAATGCTACAGTAGGCCAGGCGCGGTGGCTCATGCCTGTAATCCCAGCACTTTAGGAGGCCGAGGTGGGCGGATCACGAGGTCAGAAGATCGAGAGCATCCTGGCTAACATGGTGAAACCCCGTCTCTACTAAAAATACAAAAAAATTAGCCGGGCGTGGTGGCGGGCGCCTATAGTCCCAGCTACTTGGGAGGCTGAGGCAGGAGAATGGCATGAACCTGGGAGGCAGAACTTGCAGTGAGCTGAGATTGCGCCACTGCACTCCAGCCTGGGTGACAGAGCGAGACTCCGTCTAAAAAAAAAAAAAAAAAAAAGAATGCTACAGTAACAATATTAAGGACAAACAGAATCATGAAAGCTGAGAGACAGAGAGAGAGAGAGAGCGAATCCCAGATAACCTACGAAGAAAGAACAACAATTAAAGCGACTTTCCCATTACCAACCACAGGACAGCTGAAGGTGGAAGACAATGGAGTGTCTTCAGTGGGTTAAGAACAGGCTTGCAATGCTGTACCACGCTGACTTTCATTCAAAGTTGAGGGCAATATGAAAAGCATTTTCAGACACACTAAATGTGCTTGCTCATAAAAAAGAACAACTAAAGGATAGCTCCAGTAAGAAGAAAAGCACACCTAGAGGGGAAGAAGTGGCAGAAAGAAGAAATGACAATTAAATAGGTGAGAAAAGAAAAGTTTTATGTGAGGAATGCAAGTCTTTTTCATTACCAGCCCCAGAGAGACATTAAAAGGAGACAGCAACCAGTCCCCACTTCTCCTTCCCTTGAGCTGTGCACCCGTCTCTCAAAGCGGCCTGCTTTTGCTACAGGTTGCTATGAATTAACCTAATAATGCTGTGCTGGACGTTATAACCCATATCCTGTCGACTAACAATGTGTAGCCAATCACTACTTAGTACTGTTCCTGTAAGCCAGTAAGATTCCTGACCAACAACTTTGCATCAGCCCACTCTCTGTTCCCCTTTTCCTTTAAAAGTCCACTCGGAACTGTGGCTAATCTGAGCGTAGATTCAGGCAACTTGAGTCCATGCTCTTGGGTGCGGTCCTCAAGCTTGCCCTGTATCAATCCTTTACTGACATTCATGTTGCCTCCCCTTCTTCCTATTGGATAAACATGAGTAAAATCATATTGCTGTGAAAGTGTTATAGGTATTTTTTCATAATTTTAAAGCAAGACGGATTGAAAATACACATTAGACAACAGTAATGTGAAATTTGGGAGAGGGGTTTTGTAGGAAAATTATGGATTCGTAAGTTTTTGTTTGGCGACAGTGTATGAAAATCGACTAACTTTATATTTTGTTAGCAAATACAAAAAATATGGAAGTTGGAAAAAATAAAAGTAATCACTAAAATAATAGAAAGGAATATAATACTTTTAGGGAAGTGGAGGAAAAATAGGGATTGAAAAGACGATGACTTACCTAATAGAAGGCAGAAAAAAGAAGTACAGTAGAAAAATTAAAGATAATACATGGAGAACACAGAATAAGGTGGTAGAAATTTATCAGTAATCATGGTAAGTGAAAACAGATAAAATTCACTTCTTAAGAGACAAGAGACTTGATATTGAAAAAATCCTGCCATATGCAATTTGTAAGGCATGCTTAAAGCACAGTTACACTTAAAGGTTGAGGATAAAATCTTAGGAAAATGCATACAGAAAAATATCATCTGAAACAAAATTAATGTAGCTATGTTATGGAATAAAGTATATTTTTAGGAAAAGTTATGCATATAATAGATGATAAGAGCAATAATCTGTCAGTAACACACTGCAATTACAACCTTGTGTGAACCTAACTTTGCAATCTTGCAAACTGTATGACATAATTCAACACAATTACAAGTAGAAGTTGAAAAATCAGTAATCAGAGTGGGAGTGATTACTAAGGCTCACTGATAGAAGAGGGTGACAAAAAGTAGAGCTGTAGATTATTAAATAATACAACTAATCTTGATTGTATACACACATGTGCAAATAACAAATAATGCATATATTCATTAATAAATAGAAGATTTAAAAAACTATTCATAAGTGGGCCACAAAGGAATTCTCAATAAATTCAAGAAATTTATATAATAAAGATCATCATTGCTGACAATGGCACAATACAATTAGAGATAAAAGGTGAAATACCATTTTGTCCCCCAAATCACACATTTGAAAATCAAGCTTATAATTATTAAAAATCATAATGGTCATGATATGATTCCATTTGCTTGTGTGTGCACACGTGTACATGAGTGCATGTGCATAAGAACATGGGAAGGTGGTATGTGATGGATAATTAGCAACATAGAAGATGGTCATTTAAAAGTGGTGACATTCAAGTATTTTTAAAAATATTCTTCACTATGCTTTTATTTAGTCATTGTTTTTCCATGGAACATGGTTTATATCTATTGTAGATATCGATATATATTGACATATATCTAGTATTTATATTATATTAATTTAAATTTATATCTATTATAAACAAATAGAATTTTTATTGTGAAAATAATTCAAAATAATTTATTTTTAAAAATACAATTGAATAAAAAGTGAAATTCTTTGTATTGAACAATAACAAATGCACTAGGCATCTAAATAGCAAAGGAAAGTTCTTAGTTTTAAGTACAAATATTCAAAAAATTATTAATAGACTTCAATTAAAGAAAATAAACAATCGAATTAATTTCAAATAAAGCACAAAGGAGAACATAACAAATATAAAAGCAAGAGGAATACAATAGAAAATAACACATCACTAGAGATGGCTTAAAAATTAGTTTTTCCAAAAATAAAAATAAAAATGTTGATTTAAATAAAAAGAGAAAATGCAGGCTAAGTGGTATTAGAAACACACGAACATACACAAGATCGAACTATAAATTAGATGGAAGTAAACAAGAAAGACAGAATACAGGCATTCCTCACTTTGTGTGGCTCCCATAGGCAGGAATTCGTTAATGTGGTTGGTTAAATAGTATCTGTTCCCACAGGCACACAATAAATGCCTGTGAACCTTCACAGGATATGGTGGACAGTGGCTTTTATTTGCCTACTTGTCTGAGGCAAGGACATTTTAATTCATATTTGGGCTCCTCTATCCTGTTGTGAAATTTTGGAGGGTGTAGGGAGAACTGCCGGGTGACCTGAGAGAGTTTGCCCGTACAGTTGTCACTCTAGTTTGTGTGTTCATGTTTGGATACTGGATCAGAGTAAAGCTCGCATTGATCACAGTCTCTTCCTTTCTCCATCATCCCTGTTGGTAAATCACATTGTTCACACGCCCTCCCTCCATTGTCTTTTGAGCCTGAATTAGTGAGCATGGCTAACATCTGAAGAGGTCACGCAGTGAGCAGGGGGGAATCGAAAACCAGAACAAACCCATCTCCATGTATCCTGGCAGGCAAGCTTGTGCATCCTCAAGACTGCCCTCCCGAGAGAGAACTCGCCCATGAATCTTAAAGGATTTCCGTCTACTATTGATTTGTGGCCTGTCAGCATCCAACCGGTTAATTTAATTTGATGCAAAAGCATGCGGAACTGAGAGCGAACCCAGTATGTCTGGGCAGGGAGATGGGGCAGAACGTGGTCAGTAGCTAAGAAAACCTCACCACCTACTGGCAGGGAGAAGAGTGGAGGAAGCTCACAGCGTCCTTCTGGTTCTGTGGGAAGTCATGTTCACTTAGAAGGTTTCGAGGCAGGAAAAACTGTTTTCTTAGTCTAAAATGATGACTTGAGTTATTAATTATGTTATTAATATGTAGAAAAATCTGAATTAAAAAATCTGAGACCATATTCAGGCAAAATGTTGGTCACAAATTTCTGACAGTTTATTCTCCAAATATACTTAGCCTTTTGTTTTTCTAAGTGGGTTTTTGCCCCACTGCTTTTTCTTCCTCCTGCATCTCCCAAAGTTCTCGGCTGGAGCAGAGGGGCTGTTCTAATACTCCAGACTCTGTTGAGTCCAAACTCCAGAGGAAATTTACACATTTACATCAGCAGGTAGGTGAATGTACAGCGTCTTTGGTTCTTCTCTGATTTAGACCATTTATTCTTCAGTTACTTCACAGAGATTTGTTTGTTTGTTTCAAAAACATCAATAGTAACAAAAACTCAGTTTGACTGAAAGTTGCACCATCCCCTAGCATTGCTGTCGCTCTCTTCTTTCAAACTAGGGATGGCTCTCATGACGTCAGTCCCCAAATCAGGTTGGGCTTTCATAAAGAACCTTGTGTTCTTTGAAGGAAAAAACTCTCCTGACAAAAAAATGGTATCAAATTCCCGTTTAAGGACATGGCAATACGTTTGTGCTAATAGCAATGTTATGTGCAGACAAAGCCATGGCTCATAAACATAACAGCTTGATCCTCCAAACTGTGGATTGAGAGATGGCTTTTTTTATACGGGTACTCCCTCTCCGACGGTGGCTGGTTTAGGAACTGGCAGTGTCACCTTTGACCACTGAAGTTTGAGGGCAGAGATGCTGGCGTACTTCTGGGAGATCTTTGGTGCTCTTAAAACATTTCTATTCTTAAGCTCTTTTGTGCTGTTTGAATTTTTACAGCCTGAAATATACAACTTAATATATATAGATGTCATATAATTTATTCAGCAT
The DNA here is from genome assembly GCF_000001405.40 of Homo sapiens. Taxonomy (NCBI): domain Eukaryota; kingdom Metazoa; phylum Chordata; class Mammalia; order Primates; family Hominidae; genus Homo; species Homo sapiens. The sequence goes on along the minus strand of NC_000002.12, from coordinate 3,000,766 downwards.
TCAGATTGTTTTTAGCATTTTATTTTTATTTTTTTCTCATGAACAATTTCACATTTGATCTCTCCATATAGATATATATACACACACACTGTGCATACACAGACATCCACACATATCTATACATAGATGTGTACGTGTCTGTCTGCATACACATGTTGGGGCTTTGAAAAAGATCTCACTAGCCAGGTGTGGTGGCAGGTGCCTGTAATCCCAGCTACTCAGGAGGCTGAGGCAGGAGAATCGCTTGAACCCAGGCAGTGGAGGTTGCAGTGAGCTGAGATCGCACCACTTCTGTATTCCAGCCTGGATGAAAGAGCGAGACTCTGTTAAAAAAAAAGAAAAAGGAAAAAAAAAGAAAAAATGTCACTAGGTGAATGGGCAGGTCAAACGCTGTGTGCAATGTTGAGATGAATGGGTGTTGCCAGGTCAGTCTCCAAGGCCGTCCTCTGATCAGCACATCTGGTTGTGTTCATTTGCCTGCACCCGTGTCAGTCCTGGAATGAGTAAAGATTTTAAAGACATGGGTTCATCTGATGATAAGCATGCCTCTTTCTTTTCGGATTCCTCGAGCAGTCGGGTGTCTTTTCATGGGAACATATCTATCAGTTGCATTTCCTCTGTCCTGAATTGTCTATTCATAGATTGTGTCCATTTTTCTTGGGTTGAATTCCATTCTTTTTTTTTTTTTTCGAGGCAGGGTCTCGCTCTGTCACCCAGGCTGGAATGCAGTGGCGCGATCTGGGCTCACTGCAAGCTCTGCCTCCCGGGTTCACACCATTCTCCTGCCTCAGCCTCCTGAGTAGCTGGGACTACAGGCCCCTGCCACCACACCCAGCTAATTTTTTTGTATTTTTTTAGTAGAGACAGGGTTTCACCGTGTTAGCCAGGATGGTCTCAATCTCCTGACCTCATGATCCACCTGCCTTGGCCTCCCAAAGTGCTGGGATTACAGGTGTGAGCCACTGTGCTCTGCCGAATTCCACTCTTAATGCTTGTTTTTTTTCCTATTTTATAGTCATGTCTTAGAATAAATGCCTGTATAAAAGAAAAAAATTACCATTCAAGAAGAAAATTAATTCTTAGCAAAAATTTTGAATTTTCTTCCATTGCGTACTGAAGGCCTACATTTCATCCATTTGAGATTCAAAACAAGTTTCTATTTAATAAAATATTATTATAAAATGCTAAACTATTAATTAAAATATTAATTTTACTGTATTATATTTTATCTCTGGGAAATAAATGAGCATTGGAAGGAGTGGAGAATACTTTTAAGATAATTGTTTTAGGTAATAGTATTTTAATTGTAAATACAATTACAGATTTTCTTTGCAGTGAACAATTTTATATCATGAAAACTTCATTTTGGTTTTCTAGTGTGACATACCATTCATGCCCATAATTAGATTTCTCAAAACTGACACTTCTTTCTGAATCTTCATGCTTTTTAAGGGAATACCTGCTCAGCGACAATCCGAATTAATCAGTTGTGACTGACTTAAACGAAGCCTAATTGCCTTATTGCGGGCGCTTATTTGTCTAACAAACCTGAATGAGGCCAGTGGCCCGCAGCCCTGCACGGGATGTTTTACATTGTGTCGCTGGGGCTGCTGTGATTGGTCACTTGGAGCCTGGACACCCAGCTGTTCGTGGGTCATTGGTTGGTTTTTCTTATTTGGGGAGAAAATAAATGAGAGTGTTCTTCTTGGCAGATGATGATATTCCCAAATTTCCTTCTCAATATGCAGAATGAAATGGATTGTGAAATGGAATCCACTGGGAATTGAATTCTTTTTGTCATTCTTTTCTTCAAGAATGCACCTTGCACTCTGATAGAAAATTGTTCATTAATCCCCACAGAATGACCAATTTTCCAATGCAGTCACTCAAGGGTACTAGAGCTATAAAAAATTTCCAAAGACCTTGGCTGCCATTAATTGCTTGCTGTGGCTTTCATCAGGCTGTGCATCCCCACAAAGGACTCCGAGTCCCTGCTCATCACCATCTCCAGGTTGTTTGCTTTATTATTATTATTATCTCCAGTTTGTTTGCTTTATTATTATTATTATTATCTCCAGGTTGTTTGCTTTATTATTATTATTATTATTTTACCAAATTGTGAACAATATCTTCTGAGCACTGTGAGGCTGAGACAGAATTTTCAGGGCATAAAATAGCCACAGCCTGGGAAGGATCCACTGTTACTTAGTATCGGAGTCGAGCCACCCATGGGGTGATGTTGGATAAAATAGGAGGCAGTTTGGGGAATAGGTTATATATTTAATTATGTTAATTCTGAATATTAGAAAGGCAAGTGGCGCCCGAGAAAGTTGAATCTAGGATCAAATCTTATGAAAGGAAGTGAGATTCATTTGAAAATAAGGGAAAGGACTGGTTGGTAACTATGGTGAGAGCTCACTTAGAGGTGGCAGTGGGAAAGCCTTGGCTTTCCTCGGCTGTGACTTATATGGGGTCACACAGAGGCTCTGGAGGGTCAGTCGTGGTGGAACCAAGGTCTGGAGAATGGATGGATTAAGGTCCAGTGACATGAAATATGACCGGGCTAGACAATTAAATTTATGAAATTTTCTTGGCACCTGTTTCTTGGAATAGCAAAATGTTTCCTCTCCAGAACTGTGGCTCCCACTGAATGAATTGCAGTGTTTCAATCCCAGGAAGGCAGGATTAAAGCTGCAGACTCGAGATAAAACCCCAGCTCTGTGATATAGCCCCGGATGTGCCATTCCTGCATTCCGAACTCTGTGCCTTATCTGTAAATAAGAAAATACTACCAACCTTGCAGGACTATTATGAAAATTAAATAACATAAACATATAGGAGAGCATTTTGTAAATCGGAATGGAGTAAACAATTGCACAGCAGCCACACACTCGGCCCGACTATGGTGCTGGCATGGCTGGCTGTATTAGTCTGTTCTCGCACTGCTATAAAGAAATACCTGAAACTGGGTAATTTATAAAGAGAAGAGGTTTAACTGGTTCATGGTTCCACGTGCTGTACAGAAAGCATGGCTGGAGAAGCCTCAGGAAACTTACAATCATGGTGGAAGGTGAAGGGGAAACAGGTATGTCCTACACGCCAGAGGAGGAGGAAGTGAAGGGGGAGGTGCTTCACACTTTTAAACAACCAGACCTCGTGCGAACTCACTTGGTATCATGAGAGCAGCAAAGGGGAAATATGCCCCCATGACCCAATCACCTCCCACCAGACCCCTCTTCCAACACTGGGAATGACAATTCTAGATGAGATTTGGGTGGGAGTGAAATCCAAACCGTATCGCTGGCCTAGTTAGGAAAGGTATTCCAAAACATGGCAACTTTGCTCTTTTTACATTTAATGTTTACTAAAAATGATACATGTACTTAGTCTGAAGAATAAAATAACACTTTAATATCAAATAACAAAATACAACTTCAATGATACTGGCCACACCGTGCTCTTTGCCCAGTAAGCCTCCCAAGAAGAAACCATTTCCAACTTTTCTGGGAGATTTCAGACTTGGTTAAATGCTGTGACTGTGTTGCCATAATTAATTCACCAATTTCAGACATCAGTTAATGGCCTCTTTTGCTTATGTGTAAGGATTTAGCTCTCATTTTCCACCCCTTCTCAGCTCTCTTCCTTCCTGTATTGTTATGTCACTGTTGTAGTTAAATCTGTAATCAGTGCTTATATCATTAAACTGCATGAATATTGTTCTTTGTAGAAGCATGTCATGCACTGTGATTGCATCCTGCTTTTGTTTTGTCTTGTGTTAATGCAGTCATTTTTGCTACCTTTTTTTCCCCAGATGTTTTATCATATCACTTACCATGGTATTTGAATGTATGAATATTGTTCTTGGTAGAACCAAGTAGGCAACCAGCATTATATTCTTTGTTATCTTTTTGTTTTTCCTTGATTTAATAATTGCTTATTTTCCTCCCCCATGTTCAATTTTCTAAACAAATATCCTCAATTCTTTCCTGATGAGCTGTTGCATAATCTTCCAAGGGCATCCACTCTCTCCAGCCAGCTGTTTTCCTGAAGCCCCCAGGCATCATTGCCACTCTCTGTCTTTCTAGGACTTCTCTGCTCTGCTCTTCCTCCTTGAATCTGTTTCCTGGGGCTCTTTCTTGATTTATTTTCTTGTTTTGCTGGATCACACCCTCCAGCAGCTTCCAAAGAAAGAGTGCATCAGAGGAAAACCTTTGGCATTCTTCTACACCTCAAAATATCTTTAATCAGCTTCCACACTTGATTAGGAGCTTGGCTAGGTAGAGAATTCCTTTAGAATTTTTAAAATCAGCATTTGCTCCTAGGAAGTATAATCTTACTTTGAGTTTGCCATTCAGAATTGTTGTTAAGAAATCCTGTCTCATTCTGATCTCATTCTTTTGGATGTGGTAAGGATACTTCCTCCACTTCCCCCATTCTTTGGAATCTTGAACTTTGTTTTCTTCACCTCTAATGTTCTGAGATTTTATTAAGATGTCCAGCCTTGTAGACTTTTACCAGTCCTTGTGTTAGGCATCCAGCCAGCCCATTCTAGCTTATAATTTATGTTTTTATTTTAAAATATGGGAAATGTTCTTGAATTACTTTTTTCTGTAATAACTTCCACTTGTTTTCTTTATCTGTTTTTCTGGAAAACGTTAGGTAAGATGTTACACCGCCTGGATTAATTGTTTAGGTCTCTAACACGTTCTCACATAAATCCATCTTTTTGTCTTTTTATCTTACTTCATGAGAGATTTCTTAAATTTTATTTTCCAACCATTTATTAAATTTTTACATATATGCTATCATGCTTTTAATTTCTGATATATTTTTTCTGTTCTCCAGTGTTTCTGAGCTGGATGTTTTATTGATGAAATATTTAGTCATAACACTGAATACATTAATTAAGATATTTTTGATGTTTTCTTCTGTTCTCTCCATTGTGTCTCCTTTCTTATGCTTTCTAGTTTTCTGTCTTTTGTGTTAGCGACTTTTCTTCAACTCTGGGATGCCAATCCTATACCTGTCTATCCATCATCTGTCATCTCCATCTATATGTCCATCCATCCGTCCGTCCGTCCGTCTGTCCATCCATCCATCCATCCGTGATGGTTAATTTTATGGGTCAATTTGACTGGGCCATGGAATGCCCAGCCCAGATATCTGGTTCAACATATTTCTGGAGGTGTTTGTGAGGGTGTTTCCAGAAGAGATTCACATTTGAGTTAGTAGACTGAGTAAAGCCGATGGCCCTCCTTAACGTGGACAGGCATCCTCCCATCCATTGGGAACCTAAGTAGAACAAAAACTGGAGAAAGGGAGAATTCCCTGGCTCTCTGCCTGACTGCCTAAGCTAGAAGATCAATCTGCTCCTGCCCTCAGTTCTCATCCTTCTTAGCCCTTCAGACCTGGTTGCAATCTACATCATTGGTTCTCCAGTTCTCAGGCCTTCAAACTGCACCACTGACTTTCCTGGTGACAGCATTCAGGTGACAGATTGTGGGACTTTCCAGCATTCCGGTGACAGATCATGGGACTTCTCAGCCTCCATAATCACATAAGCCAATTTTTAAATAATTTACCTCATTTTATATACATATATATAATATATACAATTAATATGTAATAAATTATAATTATGTCATTAATATATATTAATAGTAATATATATGTATATACAATAAATATATACCTATATAATACAGATTGAATATCCTTTATCTGAAATGCTTGGTACTTGAAGTGTTTTGGATTTTGATTTTTAAAAAAAAATTTTAGAATATTAACCTATATTTACTGGTTGAACATCCCAAATCTAAAAATCTGAAATCCAAAATGTGCCAGTGAGCATTTCCTTTGAGTGTCATGTCAGTGCTCAAAAGGTTTTGGATTTTGGAGCATTTTGGATTTCAGAATGATTTGGGATACCGAACCCAGAAATATTTGGGATATATGTATATCCTAAATCTCCCTCCCTCTCTCTCTCTCACACACACACATCATATATATGTATATATAGGAGTTAAGAAGAAATCACTTAGGCAGATAGTAAGGGTATAGGAGTCCTTGGTAAGGCTTTTCTATTTAATGAAAAGCAGCCCCAAATAATTTTCTAACAAAGAGCAGCCTGTAAACTCAAGCTGCAGACATAGACAAGCAAACTGGAAGCTTGCACAGGTGAATATATATATATGAATATATATATGTATACATATAGATGAATATATGTGAATATAGATGTATACATATAGATGAATATATATGAATATATGTATACATATAGATGATATATATGAATATATGTATACATATAGATGATATATATGAATATATGTATACATATAGATGATATATATGAATATTTGTATACATATAGATGAATATATATGAATATATGTATACATATAGATGAATATATATGAATATATGTATACATATAGATGAACATATATGAATATATGTATACATATAGATGAATATACGAATATATGTATACATATATACGAATATATATGAATATATGTATACCTATATATGAATATATATGAATATATATGTATACCTATATATGAATATATATGAATATATATGTATACCTATATATGAATATATATGAATATATATGTATACCTATATGTGAATATATATGAATATATGTATACCTATATGTGAATATATATGTATGCCTATATATGCATATATATGTACACATATGAATATATATGTATACATATGAATATATATGTACACATATGAATATATATGTATACATATGAATATATATGTATACATATGTATCTCCATCTGTATATCTACCTGCAGGAAAATATTATATGTAGTTTTATATATACATATATTCGGTGTGTGTGTGTGTATAGGTGTGGATGTGTGTTTATGCGTATAATTTTTGGTTATTTGTTCTGTTTCTCTGAAGAACCCTGACTGCATCACCTCATCTATCTGCCTATCTGTCTATCATCTATCTGTCTACCCACCTACCTACTGGGACCTCTGTGTGTGCATAGGTGGTTGCATCACATTAAGAGCACCACTCTGGGTTGGCAATTTCATGAGAAGACTTCTCAATATCAGTAGTTGGAGACTGTTCTTCCCCTGAGCCTGTTGAAACGGCTGTGTTGTGTGGGGTATATAGCCTTGGGTTCATTGTCTCTTGCTGAGAAAGAATTCAGGATGCGGACACATGCGGGTGGGTTAAGGAGTGGAAAGTTTAATAGAAGAAAGGAGAGAGGACAGCGGCTCCTTTCAAGAGAGAACTGTCTGAAAAAGGGGGAGTTGATGGACTGCAGCAAATTTTATAGACAGGCTGCAGAAGGCGGTGTCTGATTTACTTAGGACTCACAGATTGGTTCCATGAGGTATGATGTTTACATAGCATGCAGGGAAGGCTGATCTCCCCACCCTAATGTTATTATGCAAATAGGGTTTCCAGTTGATTGGCACCATCTTGTCTGCTCTTTACTGTAAACGTGGCCGACAAAGAGAAGGGAAGATGGAGCCGCTATCTTGAACATGGCTGGTCCCTAGTTCCTGCGGGCATTCACCTGTGCAAGCTTCCAGTTTGCTTGTCTATGTCTGCAGCTTGACTTTACAGGCTGCTCTTTGTTAGAAAATTATTTGGGGCTGCTTTTCATTAAAGAGAAAAGCTTTACCAAGGACTCCTATACCCTTACTATCTGCCTAAGTGATTTCTTAACTCCTATATCATTATTAGCTTTCTCCAGAGGGAAATTGTGTGAGCACCAATCTGGAGGCCAATGTGGGGAGGTCTGGGTGTCTATCTCCAGACTGTCAATTGTACAGTGTTCAGCCCTGCCCACCACATTCACGAAGTGCCATGCATCTCCCATTCAAATTCTCCAGAAAATGACCTAGGTTCCTAGCTAGGGGTCAGTATCACATTGCTACCCTAGGACAAGGCAGTGGGGCTTAGACTTCCAATGAGCCCCTGATTGCCACCCTGTTTGGTGTGAGTGTCCTTTTAGAGTCATGAGGCTCCCATAGTGTCTCTAGGGACACTTTGAGAGTGTCTCCCTTCCTGCTGGTGTCACAGCATTTCCTTCTGTGGCTTTCTTCCTTCTGCTAAACCACTCTTCTTCGTGCGACCTGCCTGTCAAACGTCAGCTGGAATTGCTTGTCTGCTGATTCCCCTTTTCCATTTGACTCCGAGGATTTATGCCCCTTTATTCCTTTAACTTTTTTGAGGGGAGGTCACAGGAAGGAGAAGATATAAATTTATGTTCTCAGCCCAGTAAATTTAACAGAAGTCCACAAGATTTCATTTTGCAGAAAGGTTGTTGAATGATTGGGTTTCAGTTGATAGAGCTTATGGGAAATTGAGGACAGAACACCTTTAGGTATGAGGTTTGGAGACTTAAGCTTTTATCTCTGCTAGAAAAGTAAATCCTACCCTTAATCGGATACAATTGCATTAGCATTGGCCCACAGATTTAAGCAAGGAGAAACCAGCTCACTTCCAAAAGAAGTATGATCTGAGGTGAGAACTGGAGTGATTTAGCCCGTGTAACTGGAGCGGTTCTTTATAATTCTAATTCTGCTGCTGTGAAGAAGGTGCCTGTTCTCATGGTTGTTGCTAAAGGTAGCACATGAAAAGAGCTAGGGAAATTTTGTGTGGGCAATTAGATTTTTTTTTTTTTTTGGAGACAGAGTCTCACTCTCTCGCCCAGGCTGGAGTACAGAGGCTCAGTCTCAGCTCACTGCAACCCCTTCCCCAACACTGCCGGGTTCAAGCGATTCTCTTGCCTCAGTCTCCTGAGTAGCTGTGATTACAGGCATGCACCACCACACCTGGCTAATTTTTGTATTTTTAGTAGAGATAGGGTTTCGCCATGTTGGCCGGGCTGGTCTCGAAATCTGACCTCAGGTGATCTGCCCAGCTTGGTCTCCCAAAGTGCTAGGATTACAGGTGTGAGCCACCAAGCCGGGCCGGCAATTAGATTTTAAAAGTTGGATTCTAGAGGAATAAATCACAGTAGGTCAAACTGCAATCACTGATGAAACTGCTGGTAAGACGAAGAGGTGAAAGATAGGTATAATGGCTGGTAAGTGCGTCCGTCACGGTGCTCTCATTTTCTGTGTAGAGTGCTGATGAAGAAGGGCTCCTTGCTCTCTTGGAAAGTTGTGTGTTGGGTATTTTTGGAGTCACAAAGGAATGTGAGTGCGTGGTGAGTGACAAGGCATGTTAGGACGTGCCTGAGTAGGGAGAAAGCCTGCAATTGGAATGATGCTTACCCAAATGAACATTGAACCAATTTGCCTTTGAGGAAATAGTGACAGATTTGGCTAATGAGAGGTTGTTTTACATTTTCCTCTAAAGAGGGTCAAATTTGACATAGTGAAATTACCATGTCGCTGTGATGTGATTCTTGTTCAGCTGTTTTGTTTCAGACTTTGGGGATATTTTACTATGCTGGAAGACATGTGAAGGTTAAATGGGATGAACGTATGTTCAGATTTCCCTGACGGCCTAAACACGGCCTCCAGTGTCAATGTGCAGTCATTGTCCCGGTCTTGAGCAGAGGAAGATTTTCTTACATCCTCAGGGTCTTGGTTGGCTACTTCTCCATCAGGGAATGCATCACCATCAAGACCAGAGTGACCTCACTGAGGGTGGGAGGAGTGAATGCATTTTTGGGAGAAGACCATAGCCTGGCCCTGCTGTGCAATTTCCTCATGTGCTCAGTTACTCAGCCTCTCTTGAGCCCCTGGGCTGTGAGGCCAGGCCCAGTGCTGTGAGGGATGTAGCTGTGTGAGGAATGGTCTTAGCTGCTTGCACTCATAATAGTGAGTCGTCCTAGAATTTGTGAAAATATGGTGAATATTACAAGGGGAGCATGCTGCTAAATAATTGATGGAACAGAGACCAATGTTGTCCAAGATGTTCCAAAGAACACATGCACCAAGAGATGTCCCACGACCAAGGATTCCATGGTCAGGTCGATTGAGGACTTTCACGTGCATCTCCCTCTTTGCTATTCTCCTTATAAATCAGGACGAAAGACTTTGAGAAGTTCCATGGCAGAGTAACCTATTTCACTTCAACTCAGCACTTTGGACACTGGTTTGATGATTGGCCTGTCTTCAGGAAAACATTCTTAACGTCGTGAGGAAGGTGGGGCTAGGCAGTATTAGGGGAATGGAAGTTCAGTAGGAGACTGGGTCCCTATTTCCCACACATGCTGAGGTCAGCCCCTGTGCTCTGGGGTTGTCATGGGCTGTGGCCTCTCCCAGGCTCCATGGTTGGGTTCAGGGATGGAGTCATGCCTGTGTGCATCCTGCTCTGCTCGGTTCTGCTGTTTCCTTCTCCCCCTTCCCATTCTGTTACTGCCTTCCCTGGCCTCACTTTTCTTTTACTTTTGTTCTCTCCTCCCTCCCTTCCTTTCTGTTTAATCAGTAAATGAAAATGGAGATGGATCTGGCAGGAGGTGTATCCAAAGTCTTAAATAAATTTGATCTTAGAAGACAGAAAAAAAGCGGAAATCAGCATGAGATTTCCCTACTTTCTGGATTCTCAACTTCCAATAAAAAGAACCAAATGAAAATTAGTCCAATCATTGTATAAGACAGTGTGGTGATTCCCCAAAGACCTAAACATGGAAATACCATTCAACCCAGCAATCCCATTACTGGATATATACCCCCCAAAATATAAAGAGTTCATTCATAGAGACACATGCATAGAAGTGTTCATTGCAGCACTATTCATGATAGCAAAGACATGGAATCAACCTAAATGCCCATCAATGACAGGCTGGATAAAGAAAATATGGTACATATACACCATGGAATACCACACAGCCATGAAAAAGAATGAAATCATGTCCTTTGAGGCAACATGGATGGAAATTATGAAAACTTACAAATATGTGGAAATTACATAACATACATGTAAATAATCAATGGATCAGGGAATACATCAAAAGAGAAATTAGAAAATATCTTGAGATAGGCAAAAATAAAAACACAACATACCAAAACTTATGAGATGCAGCGAAAGCAGTGCTTAGAGGAAAATTTATACCTGTAAATATCTATGTTATTGATATGAGAAAGATCTCATATCAACAACCTAATTTTCACATTAGGACACTAAAAAAAGAAGAGCAAACTAAACTAAAAGCAAATAGAGAGGAATAATAAAGATTAGAGAGTTAATAAATAAAATGGAGAGTAGAAAACCCATAAAGAAAATTAATTAAACCATAGATTCAGTGCTATTTCTATGAAACTACCATTGATATTCTTCACAGAACTAGAGAAAACTATTTAAAAATTTATATAGAACCGAAAAGGAGCCAAAATAACCAAAGCAATCCTACACAAAAGAACAAAGCTAGAGACATCACACTACCCAACTTCAAACTATACTACAAGACTACAGTAGCCAAAACAGCATGGTACTAGTACAAAAGTAGACACATAGATGAATGGAACAGAATAGAGAACCCAGAAATAAGATTGCACATCTACAACTATTTGATCTTTGACAAACCTGACAAACACAAGCAATGAGGAAAGGACTCTCTATTCAATAAATGGTGTTGAGATAACTGGCTAGCCATATGCAGAAAATTGAAACTGGACCCCTTCCTTATGCCATATACAAAAATTCTCAAGATGGATTAAAGACTTAAATGTAAAACCCAAAACTATAAAAAGCCTGGAAGACAACCTAGGCAATACCATTCAGGACATAGGCATGGGAAAAGATTTCATGACGAAGATGCCAAAAGCAATTTCAACGAAAGCAAAAGTTGACAAATGGGATCTAATTAAACTAAAGAGCTTCTGCATAGCAAAAGAAACTATCAACAGAATAAATAGACAACCTACAGAGTGGGAGAAAATGTTTTCAAACTATGCTTCTGACAAAGGTCTAATATCTAACATCTATAAGAAACATAAAAGAAATTTACAAGAAAAAAACAAAACCATTAAAAAGTGGGCAAAGAACATGAACAGACACTTCTCAAAAGAAGACACACACTTGGCCAAAAATCATACGAAGAAAGCTCAACATCACTAATTATTAGAGAAATGCCAACCAGAACCACAATGAGATACCATCTCACATCAGTCAGAATGACTACTATTAAAAAGACAAAAAATAACAGATGCTAGCTAGGTTGTGGAGGAAAAGGAATGCTTATACACTCTTGATGGGAGTGTAAATTAGTTCAGCCATCGTGGAAGACAGCATGGAAATTCCTCAAAGAATGAAAGACAGAAATACCATTCGACCCAGCAATCCCATTACTGGGTATATACCCAAAGGAATATAAATCTTTCTGTTATAAAGACACATGCATGCCTATGTTCATTTTAGAACCATTCACAATAGCAAATACATAAAATCAACTTAAATGTCCATCAATGATAGACTGAATAAAGAAAGTGTGGTGCATACACATGATGGAATACTATGCAGCCATAAAAAAGAATGAGACCGTGTTTTTTGTAGGGACATGTTTGGAGCTGGAGACCATTAACTTTAGCAAACTAACGCAGGAACAGAAAGCCAAATACTGCATGTCCTCACTTAGAAGTGGCAGCTAAATGATGAGAGCACATGGACACATAGAGGGCAACAACACACACTGGGGTGAACAGTCTCTTACTAGCTTTTGTGTGGATATATGTTTGTATTTTTCTTGGGTGTACACCTAGGAGTAGAATTACTAAGTCATCTGGTAACTTTAACATTTTGAGGAAATGCCAAACTACGTTTCAAAGTGGCTGCATAATTTTACGTTACCACCAGCACTGCATGAGGGCTTCACCTTCTCCACATCCTTGCTAACATTTGTTATTGCCTGTCTTTTTTGTCATAGCCATTTTAGCAAGTGTGAAGTGTATTTCATTGCGGTTTTGATTTGTATTTTCCTAATTATTAATGATGTTGAGCACTTTTCATATGTTCATTAGTCATTGTATATCTTCTTTGGATAAATGTCTATTCAAATCTCTGAGCACCCTGTCAGAGGGTGGAAGGTGGGAGAAGGGAGAGGATCAGAAAAAGTAACTAGTGGATACTAGGCTTAATACCTGGGTGATGAAATAATCTGTAAAACAAACTCCCTTGACACATGTTTACCTATGTAACAAAACTGCACATCCTGCACATGTTCCCCTGAACTTAAAAGTTAAAAAAGAAAGTCAACAAAATCAATTCTATTTTTATACTCTAGCAATCAACGTTTAAAGTTTTTTAAAAAAATTTTATTTAAATTGGTTTTGAGGGAACAGGTGGTGTTTGGTTACATGAATAAGTTCTTTAGTGGTGATTTCTGAGATTTTGGTGCACCCATCACGCCAGCAGTATACCCTGTACCTAATGTGTAGACTTTTATCCCTTGCCACCTCCTACCCTTTCCTCTGAGTCCCCAAAGTCCAGTGTATCATTCTTATGCCTTTGTGTCCTCCTAGCTCAGCTCCCACATGTGAGTGAGAACATATAATGCTTGGTTTTCCATTCTTGAGTTACTTCACTTTGAATAATAGTCTCCAGTCTCATCCAGGTTGCTGCAAATACCATTATTTCATTCCTTTTTGTGGTTGAGTAGTATTCCATGGTATGTATATGTGTGTGTGTATATGTATATATACCACGTTTTCTTTATCCACTCATTGATGGGCATTTGGGCTGGTTCCATATTTTTGCAATAACAGTCAACGTTTTGGAATTAAAATTAAAAACACACTTCCATAATGTCATAAAGAATAAAATACTCAAGCATAAGTTTAACAAAAGTAGGGCATGAATTATATACCAAAAACTATAAAACAAGCAACAAAAGAAAAATATAAATACATTTGTTGACACTAAAATGAAACCAAAAATTTGTGCTAAAAGTGATTTCATCAAGACAGAAGAAAGACCACTCAGAGAATGGAAGAATCTATTTGCAAATCATATATCTGATAAGAGGCTTTTATTCAGATTATATAAAGAACTTTTAAAACTCAATAATAAAAAGACAAGAAACTAAAAAAAAAGGCAGAGAATTGAACAGACTTTTTTTCCAAAGAAGATATACAATGGCCAATGAACACATGAAAGGTGCTCAATATCATTCATAATCAGGAAAATACAAATCGAAAGCACAGTGAATTACCACTTCACACTTGCTAAGATGGCTAGGACAAAAAGATAGGCAATAACAAGTGTTGACAAGGATGTGGAGAAGGTGGAGCCCTCATGAAGTGCTGGTGGTATGTAAAATTGTGCAGCCACTTTTGAATATAGTTTGGCATTTCCTCAAAATGTTAAAGTTACCAGATGACTTAGTAATTCTACTCCTAGGTGCACACCCAAGAAAACTGCAAACATATGTCCACACAAAAACTAGTACAAGATGGTTCATAGAAGTAGTATTCATAGTAGCCAAAATGTGAAAACAACCTTAATGCTCATTGATGAGTGGATGAACAAATAAGGTACATTTTGCAATGGAATATCATTTGATGATGGAAAGGAATGTAGTACTGATGCTTGCTGCAACATGGATGAACCTTCAAAGCTTTATGCTGAGGGGAAAAGCCAGTCATAAAAGGACACATATTGTGTAAAAGCATTGATATGCAATGTCAGGAACAGGCAAATTATGAAAACAGACAGTAGCTTGATGGTGCCAGTGGCTGGAGAAAGTTTGGGGGAAGGAATGAGGAATGACTGCTAAGAGGTGCAGAGATTTCTTTGTGAAGAGATGACAACGTTCTAAAATTAAACATTAGTGATGGTTGCAAAACCCTATGACTATACTGATAAACATTGAGTTGTATTCTTTTCCTCTGTATTTTTATTGTGTGGATTTAAGGTATACAACATGTTTTGATACATATATAAATAGTAAAGTGATTATTATAGTCAATTATCTTAACATATTCATCATCTCATTCTGTGTGTGTGTGTGTGTGTGTATGGTAAGAGTATATAAAATCTACTTTCTTAGCAAATTTCCAGTATACACTGTAATTTTATTAACTGTAGTCCTCATACTGTACATTGTATCTCCAGACTTAGTTTCTCAAGATAACTGCATCTTTGTAGTTTTTGACCTACATCTTCCCATTTGCTCCAGCCTTGGTAAGCACCTTTCTACTCTCTGTTACCATACGCTCCATTTTTTCCCAACTATTACTTTAGATTCAGAGGGTAGATGTGCAGGTTTGTTACATGAGTAAATTGTATGTTGCTAGAATTTAGTGTACAAATAATTTTATCACCCAGACAGCGAGCATAGCACCTAATAGGTAGTTTTTCAACCCCTACCCTTCTCCCACCCTCCCTCCTCTAGTAGTCCCTGGTACCTGTCGTTCTCATCTTTGTGTCCATGTGTACTCAATGTTTAGCTCCCACAGCAAGCAAGAACATGTGAAATGTGGTTTTCTGTTCCTACATTAATTCATCTAGGATAATGGCCTCTGGCTGCATTCTTGTTGCTACCAAGGACACCATTTCATTCTTTTCAATGGCCATGTAGCATTCTATGGTGTTTATGTACCACATTTTCTTTATCCAGTCCACTATTGACAGGCATCTAGGTGGATTCCATGATTTTGCTGTTGTGAATAGTGCTGTGATGAAGGCGTGAAGCATGCTTGTGTCTTTTTCTTTTTCTTTTTTTGAGACAGGGACTTGCTCTGTCACCTAGGCTGGAGTGCAGTGGCATGAACTTAGCTTGCTGCAACCTCTGCCTCCTGGGCTCAAGCAATCCTCCCACCTCAGCCGCCCAAGTAGCTGGGACTACAGCGTGTGCCACCATGCCTGGCGAATTTTTGTATTTTTAGTAGACAGGGTTTCACCGTGTTGCCCGGGGTGGTCCCGAACTCCTTCACTCAAACGATCCACCTGCCTTAGCCTCCTAAAATGCTGGCATTACAGGCATGGGCCACCATGCCCAGCCGAAGCGTGCGTGTGTCTTTATGGTAGAGTGATTTATATTCCTATCGGTATATATCCAGTAGAGGGACTGCTGAATCAAATGGTAGCTCTGCTTTCAGTTTTCGAAAAATCTCCAAACTGTTTTCCACAGTGGCTGTACTAATTTACATTCCAATCAGCAGTGTATAAGTGTGCCCTTTTCTCTGCAACCTCGTCAATATCTGTTATTTTTTGACTCTTAAATAACAGCCATTCTGACTAATGTGAGATGGTATCTCATTGCAGTTTTGATTTGCATTTCTCTAATGATTACTGATGTGGAGCATTTTTTCATATGTTTGCTGGCCATGTGTATGTCTTTTTTTTGAGAAGTGTCTGTTTGTGTTCTTTGCCCATTTTTAATGGGGTTGTTTGTTTGTACTTGATTTGTTTGAGTTCCTTATAAATTCTGGATTTTACACTTTAGTTGAATGCATAGTTGGAAATATATTCTCCCATTCTGTAAGTTGTCTGTTTATTCTATTGAGAGTTTATTTTGTTATGCAGAAGCTCTTTACTTTAATGAAGTTCCACTTGTCTATTTGTGGTATTGTTGTGTTTGCTTTTGGGGACTTTGTCATGAAAATCTTTGCCAAGGCCTCTGTCCAGGATGGTATTTACTAGGTTTTCTTTTAGGGTTATATAGTTTTAGGTTTACATTTAAATCTTTAATCCATCCTGAGTTGATTTTTGTATATGGTGAAAGGAAGGAGTCTAGTTTCAATCTTCTGCATATGGCTGGCCAGTTATCCCAGCACCATTTATTTTATAGGAAGTTCTTTCCCCATTGCTTGTTACTGTCAACTTTGTCAAAGATCAGATGGTTGTAGGTGTGTGGCTTTATATTATATAAATACATTTAAAATGTTTATAGAAAATATATACATTTTTAAATTTTTATATGGTGAGAGGTACAAGTATAGATTTCTTAACGCATATACTGTGTCATGGTGAAGTCCGAGCTTTTGGTGAACCCATCACCCAAGTAGGGAACATTGTACCCAACAGGTAATTATTCAACCCTTGCACCCTCTCACCCCTCCACTTTTGTAGCATCCAGTGTCTATTATTTCACTCTATATGTCCATGTGTACCCATGTTTTATAGCTTTTGCTTATAAATGAGAACAAGCAGAATTTATCTGTTTCTGAGCTATTAATACTAGGTTGGTGCAAGAGTAATTGTGGTTTTTGCCATTACAAGTAATATTGGCCTCCAGTTCCATCCATGTTACTGTACATAACATGATTTCATTCTTTTTTTATGACTGAGTAGTATTTCATGGTATGTGTGTGTATATATATATCAATGTATAAATGCATACATATATATACATACTGTATAAACACATACCATATCAATGCAGGATTGGATAAGAAAAAATGCATATATATATATATATATATATATATATATATATACATGATGAAATACTACTTAGCCATAAAAAAGTACATATATGTGTGTGTGTGTATATATATATATATATATATATATATATATATATATATATATATATTTTCTTATCCAGTCCTCCATTGATGGACACTTAAGTTGATTACACATCTTTGCTATTGTGAATAGTGCTGCCATAAACATTTGAATGTAGGTATCTTTTTCATACAATGATTTCTTTCCTTTTGGATATATATTCAGTAGTGGGATTGCTGGATCAAATGGCAGTTCTATTTTTAGTTCTTTGAAAAGTCGTCATATTGTTTTCCATAAAGTTTGTACCAATTTACATTCCTACCAACAGTGTATAAGCATTCACTTTGCTCTGCATCCTCACTAACATCTGTTATTTTTAGATTTTCTAAATAATAGTGATTCTGACTGTTGTAAGATGGTATTTTATTGTGATTTTAATTTGATTTTTTTCTGATGATTAGTGATGTTGAGTAATTTTTATGTTTCTTAGCCACTTGTATGTTTTCTTTTGAAAAATGGCTGTTCATGTCCTTTGCCCACTTATAATGGGGTTGATTTTATCTTGCTAAGTTGTTTGAGTTTCTTGTAGATTTTGGATACCAGCCCTTTGCCAGATGCATAGTTTGCAAATATTTTTTCCCATTCTGTAGATTATCTGTTTACTCTGTTGATTGTTTCTTTTGCTGTGCAGAAGCTTTTTAGTTTAATTAAGTCTCATTTGTTTATCTTCGTTTTTATTGCATTTGCTATTGAGGGCTTGGTCATAAATTCTTTGGCTAGACCAATGTGCAGAAAAGATTTTCCTAAGGTTTCTTCTAGTATTTTTTTAAAAATAGTTTCAGGCCAAGTCTTTGCTATTGTGAATAATGCCGCAATAAACATACGTGTGCATGTGTCTTTATAGCAGCATGATTTATAATCCCTTGGGTATATACCCAGTAATGGGATGGCTGGGTCAAATGCTATTTGTAGTTCTAGATCCTTGAGGAATCGCCACATTGTTTTCCACAATGGTTGAACTAGTTTACATTCCCACCAACAGTGTAAAAGTGCTCCTATTTCTCCACATCCTCTCCAGCACCTGTTGTTTCCTGACTTTTCAATGATCTCCATTCTAACTGGTGTGAGATGGTATCTCATTGTGGTTTTGATTTGCATTTCTCTGATGGCCAGTGATGATGAGCATTTTTTCATGTGTCTGTTGGCTGCATAAATGTCTTCTTTTGAGAAGTGTCTGTTCATATCCTTCGCCCACTTTTTGATGGGGTTGTTTGTTTTTCTTATAAGTTTGTTTGAGTTCTTTGTAGACTCTGGATGTTAGGCCTTTGTCAAATGAATAGATTGCAAAAATTTTCTCCCATTCTGTAGGTTGCCTGTTCACTCTGATGGTAGTTTCTTTTGCTGTGCAGAAGATCTTTAGTTTAATTAGATCCCATTAACCCAAATGTCCATCAATGATAGGCTGGAATAAGAAAATGTGGCATATATACACTATGGAATACTATGCAGCCATAAAAAAGGATGAGTTCATGTCCTTTGTAGGGACATGGACCAAACTGGAAACCATCATTCTCAGCAAACTATCACAAGGACAAAAAAACCAAACACCGCATGTTCTCACTCATCGGTGGGAATTGAACAATGAGAACACTTGGACACAGGAAGGGGAACATCACACGCCAGGGCCTGTCGTGGGGTGGGGGGAGGGGGGAGGGGATAGCATTAGGAGACATACCTAATGTAAATGACGAGTTAATGGGTGCAGCACACCAACATGGCACATGTATACATAAGTAACAAACCTGCATGTTGTGCACATGTATCCTAGAACTTAAAGTATAATAAAAATAAAAATAGTTTCAGGCCTTACGTTTATGTTTTTAATCCATCCTGAGTTAACTTTTGTATATAATGAGAGGCATGGGTCCAGTTTCATTCTTCTGCATATGGCTATCTAATTTTCTCTGTACCATTTATTGAATAGAGTGTCATTTCCTCAGTGTATATTTTTGTGACTTTGTCAGAGTTGGTTGTAGGTATGTGGCTTTATTTCTGGATTCTCTGTTGTGTTCCATTGATCTATGTGTCTATTTTTATACCAGTACCATGCTGTTTTGGTTACTATAGCCTTGAAAGTAATGGCAAAAACCGCAGCTACTTTTGCACCACCCTAATAATATAATCTGAAGTCAGATAATGTGATGCTTTCAGTTTTGTTTTTTGGCTTAAGATTACTTTGGTTATGTGCACTCTTTATTTTGATTCCATATGAATTTTAGGATTGTCTTTTCTAATTCTGTGAAAAATGATATTGGTAATTTGATAGGGAGTGCATTGAATTTGTAAATTGTTTTGGGCAGTACAGTCATTTTAACAGTATTGATTCTTCCAATCCATGAGCATGAGAAGTTTTACCATTTTTTTGTGTGTCATCTATGATTTTGTAGTTCTCCTTATAGAGATCTTTCATCTCCCTGGTTAAATATGTTCCAGGCATTTTATTTTATTTTTTTAGCTATTGTAAATGAGATTGTCTTCTTGATTTGGTTCCCGGCTACATCATTATTGGTGTAGAAAATGCAACTGCTTTCTGCATGTTAATTTTGTATCCTGAAACTTTACTGAATTCACTTATGAAATCTAAGAGTTTCTTGGTGGAGTCTTTAAGGTTTTCTAGATATCATATTGTGAGCAAACAGGGATAATATGACTTCCTCCTTTACAATTTGAATGCCTTTTTTTCTTTATCTTGTTTGATTGCTCCAGCAAGGACTTTCAGTACTATGTTGAATGAGAGTGGTGAAAGTGAGCATCCTTGTCTCGTCCAGTTCTTAGAGGAAACGCTTTCAACTTTTACCTATTCCATATGATGTTTGTTGTGGGTTTGTTGTATGTGGCCTTTATTATGTTGAGTTACGTTCCTTCAATGCCTGGTTTGTTGAGGATTTTAATCATGAAGCCATGTTATATTTTATAAAGTCCTTTTTCTGCATCTATTGAGATGATCATGTGATTTTTGTCCTTAATTCTATTTATGTGATGTATCACATTTATTGATTTGTGTATGTTGAAACATCTTTGGATCCCTGGGGTAAGTCCTACCTAATCATAGTGCATTATCTTTCTGATGTGCTGTTGGATTTGATTCACTAGTGTTTTGTTGGGAAGTTTTGCATCTATGCTCATTAGAGATATTGGTCTGTAGTTTTCTTTATTTGTTGTGTCCTTGTCTTGTTTCCGTATCAGAGTAGTACTGGCTTTGCAGAATGAGTTAGGAAGAATTCCTTCCTTCTTGATTTTATGGAATAATTTCAGGAATACTGGTGTTGGTTCTTCTTTGTATGTTGGTAGCATTTGGCTATGAATCTATCTGATCCTGGTTTTTTTTTTTTTCCCCCTGGGAGATTTTTTTGTTACTAATTAAATCTCACTACTCATTATTGATCTATTTAGGAGTTCTATTTCTTCCTGGTTCAATCTCAGGAGGTTGTGTGTTTCCAAGAGTTTATAAATTTCCTTTACATTTTCTAGTTTGTGAGTGTATAGTTGCATATAATATTCTCTGATATCTTTTATATTTCTGTAGTATCAATTGTAATGTCTTCTTTTTCACTTACAATTGTGTTTATTTGCATCTTCTCTCTTTTTCTCTTGGTCAGTCTAGCTAGTGTTTTATCAATTTTCTTTATCTCTTCAAAGAACTGAGTGTCTTCAAAGAACCAACTTTTCATGTTGTGGATTCTTTCCATTGTTTTTTCTGTCTCTTTTTCACTTAGTTTTGCTCTGATTTTTGTTATTTCTTTTCTTCTGCTAACTTTGGGTTTGGTTTGTTCTTGTTTCTCTGGTTCCTTGAAGTGCAACATTAAGTTGTTAATTTGTGGTTTTTCTACTTTATTTTCATGCAGGCTTTTAATGCTATAAACTTCCCTCTTAACACTTCTTTTGCTGTATCCCTCAGGTTTGATGTGTTGTATTTTTGTTTTCATTGGTTTCCAACAATTTTTAATTTCCATCTGAATTTCTTCATTGACCCTGTGATCGTTCAGGAGGATGCCTATTAATCTCCATGTATTTATATAGTTTCCAAAGTTTCTCTTGGTATTGGTTTCCAGCTTTCTTCCACTGTGGTCTGAGAAGGTACTTGATATGATTTTGATATTTAAAAAATTGTCAAGATTTGTTTTGAGGCCTATGGTGGAGAATGTTTCATGTACTGTTGAAAAGAATGTGTATTCTGTAGTTGTTTGGTAGAATGTTCTGTAAATGTCTGTCTAAAGTCCAATTCAAGTCCCATTGAAGTTTCTTTGTCAAGTTTCTCTCTCAATGATCTTTCTAGTGCTGTGAGTGGGGTATTAAAGTCCTCTGCTATTATTGTATTCTGGTCTTTCTCTTTCTTTAGGTCTAGTAATATTAGTTTTGTGAATTTGTGTTCTCTAATATTGGATGCATATATATTTAGGATTGTTATATCCTCTCACTGAATTGATCCCTTTATCATAATATAATTACCTTTTCTTTCTTTTTTCACTGTTTTTCATTTAAAGTCTGTTCTATATTATATAAATATAGCTACTATTATTTACTTTCAATTTCTGTTTGCATGAAATATATTTTACCACCCCTTTACTTTCAGTCTATCTGTGTCTTTACAGTATACACCACAACTTCTTTATCCATTCCTCCATTGATGAATACTTAGATTGTTTCCACATCTCGGCTATTGCACATCTATGCTGCAGTGAACATGTGTGTGCAGATATCTTTACAAGGTGGTGGTTTCATCTCCTTTGAGTATTTACCCAGAAGAGGGATTCCTGGGTCATATGGTAGTTATATTTTAAATTTCTTTAGTAACTTCCATACTGTTTTCCACAATGGTTGCACCCATCTACATTTCCATTAATGGTATACAAGGGTTCCCTCTCTACATCCTCACCAACACTTGTTATATCTTTTCCTTTTCACAATAGCTATTCTAATAGGTGTGTGGTATTATCTCAGTATGCTTTTAATTTGCATTTCTCTGATGATTAGTGATGCTGAGCACTTTTTCATTGGCCATTTTTATATGACTTTCTTGGAGAAATGTTTATTGAGGTTATTTTCCCATTTAAAAATTGAGCTATTTGATGTTTTGCTGTTGAGTAGTGTGAGTTCCTTACATATTTGGAATATTAACCCCTTGTCTAGTACAGGGTTCACAAATATTTTCTCTCACTATGTTGGCTACTTTCTTATTTTGTTGTTTGTTTCATTTGCTCTACAGAAGCTTTTTAATTTGATGTAGTTCCACTTTTTTTTTTATTTTGTTGCCTGAGCTTTTGGTGTGATATTAAAAAAAAATTGCCAAAGCCGGTATCAAGGAGTTTTCTTCTCCATGTTTTCTTCTAGTAGGTTTATAATTCCAAGTCTTAGGTTTAGGTCTTTAATCAATTATAAGTTGATTTTTGTAAATAGTGTAAGATAAGGACCCAGTTTTTTTTTTTTCTGCATATGGATAGTCAACTTTCTCACCATCATTTATTGAAGAGACTATCGTTTCACCATTCTGTTTTCTTGGTGGCCTTGTCAAGATATACACTACTAATATATGTGTGGGTTTATTTCTGGGCTATTTATTCTGATCCATTGGTCTATATATTTGCTTTTATGCCACTACCAAACTGTTTTGATTACTGTAGCTTTGTAATATAATTTGAAATCTGGAAGTGTGATGCCTCTAATTTGTTTTTCTTTCTCAAGTCTGTTTTGACTACTCAGGGTTTTTGTAGTTCCATATAAATTTAAGATATGTTTTTCTATTTCTGTGAAAAATGTCATTGCAATATTTCTAGGAATTGCATTGAATTTCTATATTGCTGTGGGTAGTGTGGACATTTTAATGATACTAATTCTTCCAATTTATGAACATGAAATGTCATCACATTTATTTGCATATTGTTCAGTTTCTTTCAACAATGATTTATAATTTTCAGTGTACAGATCTTTCACTCCCTTGGTTAAATATTTTTCCTAGGTATTTATTCTTTTTGATGCTATTATGAATGGTATTTTTCTTTATTTCTTTTTTGAATAGATTGGTGTAAAGAAATAAAACTGATTTTTATATGTTAATATATGTTAATTTTATATACTGCAACTTTACTAAATTCATTTATTAATTTTATCAGTTATTTGTGGAGTCTTAAGGGTTTTTTACATGTAGGATTTTGTCATCTACAAACAGGAATAATTTTACTTTTGCTTATTTGGATGCATTTTATTCCTTTTCTTGTCTGATTCTCTTGCTAGTACTTTTAATACTGTGTTAAACAGAAGTGGTGAGAACAGACATCTTTGCCTTATACCAGATCTTAAAGGAAATGCTTTCAGATTTTTGCCATTGATTATGATATTGTACACGTTTGATGGATGAATTCTGTGGTATGTCAATTATAAATCAATACATTCTACTTAAATAAATATGAAAGCAATTTGGCCAGGTGTGGTGGCTCACGCTTGTAATCCCAGCACTTTGGGAGACTGAGGTGGGTGGATCACTTGAGGTCAGGAGTTCGAGACCAGCCTGGCCAGCATGGCAAACTCCTTTCTCTACTAAAAATACAAAAATTAGCTGGGCGTGATGGCACATGCCTGTAGTCCCAGCTACTCGGGAGGCTGAGGCAGGAGAATCGCTTGAACCCAGGAGGTGGAGGTTGCAGCTGAGCCGAGATCACGCCACTGCACTCCAGCTTGGGTGACAGAGCAAGACTCTGTCTCAAAAAAAAAAAGCAATCTAACCCACAAAACTAGAGATGAGTAGGAGTGAAAAAAGAATATGTTCAGTTTATTCTGGAAGATTTATGAAAGGTGAGTTTGATGCTACAGCTTCCTGTGTGTAAAACCTTTAGAAGTCTCTAGTTCTTCCCATCTTCCTCCCTGGCTTGCCTGACCTCGCGCCTGCCTTCTTCTGCAGCATAATTTCCTCCACTCCAGACTCCTGCTCTTCCCTCCGGCTGTAGCGAGCATCTCTGTGCCTCTCCAAGGCCGTTCACCTCCTGTGAGCATCTCTGTGCTTCTCCAAGGTGTTTCACCTTCTGTGCCCAGATACTTCCCCATGTGCACTTTTCTTTGCTTAAAATACTTCCTTTCCCCATCTCTTTTCCCACACCCTTCCCCATCTTGAATAAATCCTACCCATCTTCAGACCTGTGCTTCTTTTGGCCTTCCCATCACCACCTTCCTCACACTTCCCCACAGGCTGTACCACTTTTCTTGTCCTCCAGTGGACCCAGTCAGCCTTGAGGAAGGGCCCTGCGACTCTGTCAAGCCCACTACGCAGGGCACGGTGGTGCACACCCAGTGCCCGGATCACGCTGTGGTGCGCAGGACTATCCACTATGACAGCAGCCCATTGTTTTGGTGGTGGTCGTTCATGTGTTCTTGCGGTCTCTTTTGAACTTAAAGGGGGGGGTTCTTATTTCTAGCAAAACATGTCTGGTTATTCGTCCCCTTTAATACAAACTTAAATAGGCTTTCATTTCTTTCTTCTACAGTATAAGACATGTCATTCTTTCATGACTTGGTTCCCATTTGTTATGAAAATTTTCCTCTCAAGTGTTTTCCTCAAGTGAGAGGTTGAAAATTTGGAAGTCTGGAGTCTGGTCCTCAGTTCTAATCTGGTAAGATTAGCAGTGATATTTAAACTCTGTCTGCGTTTGTGCACCTCGAGATGAGTTCTTTCCTCTTTTCATGCTGCAGCTAACAGGGGATGTCAACCATTTCACTATCTCCCAGTGACGGGATTTTAACAAACAGGAATGAATATTAATTTAGTTATCTGGTAATGACGGTATTACGGTTATTGTGTTTAAAGCATACACATTAATGAAAATTAGCCCACATTTTCACTGGATTGCAAAGAATATGGCTGTGTAAAGCATGGCTCAATATTTTGTAGGTGAGTTTACCATTTAACTATATTTCAAATGGATTTCTGGGCAATTCACAGAACATCCCAGGTCCCTGGGTTTGCATCTCTGGAGGTTGTGAGTCGCTTATCCGTAGTATAGGGTGACAGAACCAGAAAGGGCTGGGGTGTGCTTTGTGGAGGAGTTTCTGACAGCCTGTATTTACCCATTGGATGTATATGCACATCTTCCTAAGCATTCATTTAGCTGACAGTCTGGGAAATGTCAGCATTCTAATTAACTCCAGCTAGAGAAGGTTGTGCTGCAATCTGAAATCCCTTTGATTGATATGGCTGCAATTAGAGCTCAGCTCCCTCTCAGCACACTGAAGTGGAGAGAGAGTGAGGAACAGGCATCACAGGGCTCTCTGCAGAGCAGAGCTCCATTCTGTATCCATAGCTGGGAGGTAATGTGTGAAGGGAGATGCCTGATTGCCTCATCCAACCTTCCTCACGCTCCCAAATTGAGGAATTTATTACTTTTGTTAGAATAAAAAAGAAATGTACATTACCCTTTGCTTGTGTAGCTATTGCTTTATTAAGGGGATTTGGGGAACTTTGAAGGTCATTATGTTAAATCGAATAGATGTTTTCCCTCATTTTTATGAAGTATATTGACAGGAGGGCCCTTATTTATATTTATCTTAAAACAAACTTATAAGTGCCATGTGTAAATTTGCATGATCAAAATGACAGGAATAAGGATACAAGTTAGATTTTTAGGTAATTTGTATAGATGCTCATAGACCAAATAGAAAGTCTTTTTTTGAGAATCAAATTTAGCAGATCAAAATTCTTTGATTACCTACTCTGTGCCAGGAACTATGGTAATGTCGAGAGCTACAAAGAAAAACACCACACTGCCTTTGACCTAAGGAGGCATGGAAAGGCACGGGTAAAGAAACCCAACGTGTACGGGCACTGGCACTAGTGGAGAGCTAGGTGAGACATCAGCCAGTGGAGGGGAAGGAGTGGTCATCCTGTTGGGAAAACCAGGAGATTCCAAGAGGAGGGACCATTGAATTGGTCTCTGATGCTTGAGAATAATTTCAATAAGGGAAGAACTGGGGCAAGGGGCTTCCAGGCTGAACACAGGCTTGGCCGTGAAGAACCTTCGTGGTGAGTTTGGACCACAGCTGTGTGGCCAGTGTCCGGGAAGGTGGGAGTTGAGAAAGGATTCAGTGTTGGGGCTGGGGGTGACGGCGGCTGCAAAGATAGAATGACCAGATTGCACAGGGCTGGGCGCACATGGCTTTGCCACTTTGTTTTCTGATGCTGGTAGTAGGAAATTATTGCAGGATTTTGATAGAGAAGTTCATGAACTGATCTATGTTTTAGGCAGGCAACCTCATCCCTGTTGTAGATCCAGGAGAAATTGGAGGAAGGAGAACCAGTGAAGACATCATCGTGATTGAACTGATGGGAAATTATTAGTCTGGATTAGACTATTATTCTTTTTTTCCCCACTCAGGCTGTCCCAATTGCTGCTTTTGGTGGAACTGATTGGCTAGGCTGGGATAGAGGAGTCAAACGGTGTACTCAGACAATCTAGTCGTAATACGGAGACTGGCCCCTCCTTCAGCTCCCAAACCCTATTAAAGATAAGGAAACTTATATTCCTAGTCCTTAGAAAGCAGAGTTCCAATTAACCAAAGAAAGGGGACACAGACAAGGAAAACATTGAGCCCATGTTCCAGTTCTGAAAGTCAGCAAAATGCTCCACATTTACCGAAGAACTGGGATCCTCCTCCTGTGGCTCCTCCAAGGTCAGTACTGGGGTTCCCAGGTGAGGGGCAGCCTCAAAGCACACTCTTTTCTAATCTGCTGAAACACATAGGTGAAAGTTGTGCTGTTTTGAAGTTGTGAAGGTTAAATTTATGTGTCAGTGTTACTGGGCTGCAGAGTGCCCAGACAGTTGGTTAAACCTTATCCTGGGTGCTTCTACATGAAGTCAGCATTTGGGTCAGTGGGCTGCCTCCCTAGTGAGTGGGCCTCATCCATTCCACTGAAGGCCTGAACAGAACAAAAGACTAAGGAAGAAAGAACTCCCTCTCTCTGCCTAACTGTCTCCAGGCCGGAATACTGGCCGTCTCCTGTCTTAGGACCCAGATTGAACTGGAACATACACCATTGGCTCTCCTGGTCTCTAGCCTGCTGACTGCAGATCTTGGTCTTCTCGGCTTCCATAATCATGTATAAATTCCTCATAGTACATCTCGCTTCCCCCCCTTCACGCACACACACATAGACATGCATACACATATGCCTCTTAGTGTGTGTGTGTATATGTATATGTATATATGAATATGTATATTTATCTCCTATTGGTTGCTTTTTCTGGAGAACCCAGACTAACATAGAAGTTACATTTCTATTTAAAAATTTTAATACTTTACCGTTTTTATATAAATAATACATACGTTAAGTCCAACAGAGCTTAAAGGTAAACAAACAAAAAAGCATACATATTAGAAAAAGAATCAAGCAACCTAGAAGAGAACAGAAATGATATCCACAAATCTTGCTTAGTATCCTAAATATCCTAACATAGTATTCTAAGGCTACAGAAACTATGAAACATTCAATGAGATTGGAATTATTATATTTCTAATCCCATGTTTTAATTTTAGATGTCTTCAACTTCTGGCTATGAAAGACGAGAGGATTAATTTTCTTACTGCCAAATTCCCTCTCTTCCCCTCTGCTTTTGTATTTGTAATGCCAGTGTATAAGCATTGTTAAGGTTTCTAACATTTGCAGAATTTCCACATTTGTTTAATATTATATTAATAGATGTGATAAGACCAACATTACAAATTAATAGTATCTTATGAGCTTTTTAAGGATGGTGCGGATAGCAATTTCATCTTAATTTTCAGAGCAATTGATTTTTTTGTATTTTACTTTTAATTCCAAAGGAGTTTACTTCCCATGATAAAATTTCAGGGGAAAGATATGCCTATGAACTAATAAGCTTAATTTTATGTTTGATTTATGAATATATTATATATACATATATTTGTTATTTCCCCTGAAATCCTGTCCTAAGTTCCATATGATTTCTTAGATAATTGAGTCAGACTGCTAATTTTTGCATTCTATCTTATCATTTCTTCAAGTGTAGGTTTCCCATAGTAAGTACATCCACAAAAATATTTGGAGGCTCTAAAATTATTTGGAGAGAAATAACTTAAAAGAATGTTAACTTTGGCCATAATAGACTAGCAATGAAGCTTATTTTTTGCTGGAAATCATCAAAGGCCATGAATGAAATTTTACTTGTTAATTTGTAAAAAAATACCTAATTTAGGCTAACATACTTTTTAAGGACATAAGATTTAAGCATATTATTTCTAAATCTAAAGCATATAACAACCTAGAAGTATAGCTGTTATCTTACTGGTTAGGGAAGGGCCCAGCTGTGAGTGATAGCCAGTGACAGTGGTGTAATGAAGTGAGGTGGCTTTTCTCATGGAGCAGCAGGTCAAAGGTGAGTAATATGGGGTAGTGCAGCTGCTGTGCAATGCCTTCCTGGATTTTGGGTTTCCTGTCTTGATGGTTCTTTATCCTCATGCTTGTCACCTCATGGTCTCAACATGGCTGCTGCAACCTCAGCCATCTTGTCTGCATTCCAGGAAGAAATTGGAGGGCAGGGCCTAGGGACCAAGGGGCCTTCCAGCAGATGCTTCTTCCTCTTAGAAAAGCAAAAGCCCCAGTCAGTCAGCTTCTTGTCTTGTTGCTCTGTCCAGAGTGGTGCCTTGAAGGCTTCTTCCCAGCTTCTTATTCCTAGCTGGAAAGGTGGCTTCGAATTTCTTTCTTTTCTATGATGTTTCTAAAGTCTCCATTGTGTTTGCTGGGATAAGATAGTTGACCTAATTTTGGGGACTTCTAAATAAAGTTTTCTCTAGACAAAGAGGTAATAACTGAGAAGGATTCTCTTAAAAAAAAGAATAGCAATTTAGTGAATTACAGAACATAGCTGGAAAAATAATAATGTCCAAACATGAAGTAGTCTGTGATCTTTACCTGTAGTTTTAATGTCGAGGACTTGTGGTTCTGCTATCTCCAGGAGACTTTTTTGTCTATATCTTCACTTCTCAGTGCCATTTCCCCTGCTGTAACTTTGGTGAAGCTGCTTATGTCAGAAGACATGTGGGGAAAAGGAATGCATGGATTGGTTTGTTTTTTGTAATTGGCTGTTAACAGCCTGAGGTGACAAGGGGAGGGATGAAGCTCTGCAGAGCCATGTGCATGCCCATGAGCCCGGCACATGTGCTGCACTGGTTTCTCTGATGGTCTCAATTCTCCACTCCAGCCCGTGCACATGCTTTTGTTAATGTTACTCGCATCTTTTTCTATCAAAAGATGGAAACTATTTCTCCACCCCTGGAATTCTGGGCTGGCCTTAAGACTTGCTTCGATCAATAGCAATGATGAAAATGACAGTATTCCCATTCTGGATTTTGGTCTCAGGAAGCCTTTCATGCCTCTGCCTTGACCATGAGAACAAGTCCAGGCCAGCATGCTGGAGGAAGAGAGACCACACGGAGCAGAGCCCAGGCCATCCTTGGCCAGTCAACACCATCTAACCCCAAATGTGTGATGTGTGAGGGACCCTGGCCAGGACCAGCAGAACCACTCAACTGACCCACAGACTGAGGAACAGTAATGATGGTTGTTGTTTCGAGGCACTGTGTTTTGGGATGGTTTGTTAGGCAATGTTCTTTTGGCAATAGTTAACTAATACTGCATGTTTTGAGGTATTTTATATTCATTTTTACATTTAATCTTAATAACAGGCCATCATGTTACTGATACTATATCTGTCTTAGAGACAAGCAATCTGAGTTTCACAGAGATGAAATAATTCCCCAAATCACAGAGCTAGAAAGTGGTACATCTTTTCATTGACACAAGATTTGTCTTATTTCAAAACCCATTCCCTCTGCCCAGCCTCTCTGAATCTGAGGAGCACTTGTGAACAGGGGCCTTAGTTCCACATGAAGAGCAGAGTGAAGAGGTGCAGGCAAGGGTTCAGCGTGGTCACAGTACTCTAGTGCTGCGTAGAAACCAACTTCATAATCTCAGTAATGGTCTATCAATCAAAACCACAACGCAATACCACCTTACTGTTGCAAGAATGGCCATAATTAAAAAAAATTAAAAAATAATAAATATTGGCTGGGGTATGGCGAACAGGGAATACTTCTACACTGCTGGTGGGAATGTAAACTACTACAACCACTATGGAAAACAGTGTGGAGGTTCCTTACAGAACTAAAAGTAGAACTACCATTTGATCCTGCAATCCCACTACTGGGTATCTACCCAGGGGAAAATAAGTCATTATACGAAAAAGATACTTCCACACACGTTTATAGCAGCACAATTCACAATTGCAAAAATATGGAACCAGCCCAAATACCTGTCAATCAATGAGTGGATAAGAAAATGTTATATGTACACACACACACACACACACACACACACACACACCACTGAATACTATTCAGCCATAAAAAAGAATGAAATAATGGCATTTGCAGCAACCTGGATGGAATTGGATACCATTATTCTAAGTGAAGTAACTCAGGAATGGAAAACCAAACATCATATATTCTCACTCATAAGTGTGGGAGCTAAGCTATGAGGATGCAAAGGCATAAGAGTGACACAATGGACTGTGGGGACTTGGAGGAAAGGGTGGGAGCAGGTTGAGGGATAAAAGACTGCATATTGGGTGCAGTGTACACTGCTCGGGTGATAGGCGCACCAAAATCTCACAAATCACCACTAAAGAAGTTACTCATGTAACCAAACACCACCTGTTCCCCAAAAACCTATGGAAATAAAAATACAATACAGTTTAAAAAACCCAAAACCAAAATTAATGTATTGTACACAAAAATTTAAGAGAGAAAACCTCATGTTAAGTGTTCTTACCACAATAAAAGAAAATAAAAGAAAAACAAAACAAAAAAGAAAAGAACTTCAGGTTCCTCTGTGGCTGGGCAGACATTTTCTTCCTCTACTGTCTCTCCAATTTCCCCATGTGTTGTACCTCTTGGGTTATTTTATGCTAGAAGGAGTTGACAGTGAGATGCAAGAGTCTTCTGATTTTTTTTTAAATTGACAAATAATTGTATATATTTATGGGGCAAAATGTGATTTCTTGATATATGTATAAATTGTGGAATAATTAAATCAAGCTAGCTAACTTATCCTCACCTTACTTATCATTTTTTTTAGTGGTGAGAACATTTAAAATCTAATCTTTTAGCAATTTTGAAATTTATACTACATTATTTTTAACTGTAGTCACCATGCTGTGCAATAGATCACTAAAACTTATTCCTCCTGTCTAACTAAAACATTGTTTTGACCCCTAACTTCTCACTTCCATATCTTCCCACCTCCCTGCTACCCCATCCTGTGGTAACCATCTGCTCTCTGCTTTCAAGAGTTAAGCTTTCTTAGATTCCAGATGTAAGTGAAAGCATGAAGTCTTTGTCCTTCTGTGCCTGGCGTATTTCACTTATAGCAATGTCCTCCAAATTTACCCATATTGCCACAAATGTCGGGATTTTCTTCTTTTCTTTTTTAAGACGGAAGAGTATGACATTGTATATCTATACCACATTTTCTTTATTCATTTATTCATTGGTGGACACCTGGGTTGATTCCATATCTTGGATATTGTGGATAATGCTGTAGGCAACATGAGAGAGTGCAGGTATCTCTTTGATATAGTGATTTCAATTCCTTTCGATATAAAACAAGTAGTGAGATTGCCAAATCATATGGTAGCTTTATTTTTATTTATTTTTGTTGTTGTTGTTGATACGGAGTCTCACTCTGTTGGTCTCACTCTGTTTCCCAGGCTAGAGTGCAGTGGTGCGATCTCGGTTCACTGCAACCTCTGCCTCCCTGGTTCAAGTGATTTTCCTGCCTCAGCCTCCCAAGTAGCTGGGATTACAGGCACGTACTACCACGCCTGGCTAATTTTTGTATTTTTAGTAGAGATGGGGTCTCACCATGTTGGCCAAGCTGGTCTCAAATTCCTAACCTCAAGTGATCCACCTGCCTTGGCCTCTCAAAGTGTAGGGATTACAGGCATAAGCCACTGCACCCATCTATTTTTAATTTTTTGAGGGACTTACCAAACTGTTTTTCATAATGTCTGTACTTATTTATATTTTCATCAACAAAGTACAAGGTTCTCTTTTCTCCACATCTTCATCTATACTTGTTACCTTTTTAAAAAATAAGGTCTTGCTCTTTTGCCCAGGCTGGAGTGCAGTGACACAATCATAGCTCACTGCAGCCTCAAACTCCTGGGCTCATGTGATCCTCCCACCTCAGCCTTCTTAGTAGCTGGGGCTACAGGCATGTGCCACTGCCCCTGGTTAAGTAGTTTTACAGACGCCAGGGGTGGGGCAGGGGCCCATTGGGTTGCTCATGCTGGTCTTGGACTCCTGAGCTACTTATTGTGTTAGACTGAGGATCTTTAATATCCCATCCTGTTTCCAGGCTTCTGAACCTCAACGTGTCCTGAATTGAACTCACTCAAACCCACTTGTCTTTCTGTGTTTCCCTCCTAAAGGATGACACCACCATCCATGTGGCTATCTAGGCCATCCTGAACTTCAAAATCATCTTTCATCTGGGATCTTCTTCTCAAATTCCAAAATTCAGTCACAGGCCTCATTCATTCCAGAACCCTGATAACTCCTGAGTCCATTCATTTCTCTTTAAACTCACCAACGTTACTTGAATTAAAGACTGAACTATGTATTTTGAGGGTTCTAGATACTGCCTTCCCACCAGCACGTGTTTCCAGTCTTCCCACTTCCCAGGCCACCCATCAGCCTGTTGCCAAAGTGATCTTTCTCACATAAGCATTTGAGCAAAACTTTCTAGACATCCAATCACAGAATTCTCCAGACAAAGTTGTAAACTTAGCAACTGACATAGGCATTTAATGGGGCTTCACAATATAGGATGGGTACATGAGTAAATGAATGAAGTAACTGTTTTTCTAAATTTACTTTATATACATAAAAATATTATCTACCTTTGAACGTTGAATCAATCATTGGCTCAACACTTTGATGGCATAGAGGGGGAGATCAGAAAATATTTTTAATTTCTTATTTAGAAAGTTAAAAAAATATGCCCTGGGTTGTATGGTTATGTAACTCAACCCTTGAAATGTAAAAATTTTGTCTGTATGCACAATTAATTTTAAAAGTAAAGGAATATATATTCATAGCCTAATCTATGTTTTTATCACGTGCATGGCCTCATAAAAAAAAATATATATATCTCAGAGTGTCTTTTTTTTTCTTTTTAAAATTTGGAAATTAGTAACGTGCTGTTTGGAATCTTTGTATAATGAAATTCATTGTCATATGAACCATGCATGCTTAATTTCTCTTAGTTTCTCTATTTTGGGATAATTAATGTACTGAGTTTTTCAAAAGACAGGTGAAACATGTATTTTCCTCAAAGCCTGGATACTCTTGGGTTGTGGAGGAATTTTCAGGGACTGCCCTGCCATAGAGGGTCTGTTTGTCTTATTCTTCTTAGGCCAAATTGTATGTGAAATGGAGAGACAAATGTTTTATTGCTAATTTCAGTATGCACTCATTGGTGAGCACATTTTCTCCTAATGGCCACCCTCAGTGCTGCAAAATGTCACTGAGATTGTGCAGTGAAAGCCTTAGAATTAACCACTCATATTAATTATAGGTTCTACTGATGAATTCATTTAACTTTGACCTGGGAAGAAAAGTCATAAATTCACATCCATGAACAGGAGGAGAAGAAGGGGAACTGCTATAGAGACTGTGAGTTATTTATTTATTTATTTTTCTCAGCACTTTTTAGCTCTGCAAACACAATCTTGCCAGGATTATTTTCAGGTTATTTGTCTAGAGTCCAGAGGAAAGTGACTTTGTTTATTTTGTGGATTTACATGCCATTTCTACAGAATAATCTCTTTTTAAAAATGGATAAAATAGATTATGTTAAATCAGAAAGGAAATATTGGTTTTAGTTCCTTGTGTAATCCAGGTAGATTAAGCAAAGCATTGTTGGAAAGGGATTGGACTATATTTGGAAAGGAAAACAATACAAATCATGATAGTTGGTATCATGAGAATGTCACAAAGAGCAAAATATGAAGGAATGCAACACCTACTCTGCAGTGATGAGAAAGCAAAGAGAAGAGATCCGCAGGCATTCTATCTACAAAGGGCAGAAAGGCCACTACAGTTAGAAGCAGAAGATTTAGGTCCTGGTTGAGAATTTGCCAATTACTAGTTAGGTGACCCTGGACAAGTGAATTAACCTTTTGGAGTCTTGGTTTCTCAGCTGTGAAATGGGGATAATGACTCACAGGGTTGTTGTGAGAATCAAATGAGATAATGGATGTGAAATGGTTTTGGAAACTGAAAGCATTGTAGAAACGTAAGGGAATATTACTGTTTTGGTTATTGTATTTTTAAGAACAACTCCACATCTGTAATGTCAACACATACTCCCCCTTCACAGGCACAGTGATGACCCCTGCATGCATTTTTCAGTCAACAAGAGCATCTCGTGACTTCTGGTGAGTCTCATAGAATCTAGGCATGTGGAAAAGTTTCTCCCAATGTCAGAAGTGATGAAGACTGCACAGATGATTCTCCATAAAAATAATTGTTCTGCATTTTCTTTTCTTTAAATTATGTATTTGAAATTTTATTATATTTTATATTTTAAACTTTTATATAGCTGAGAATCTAGGCTCACATAATTTTAGAGATGCTAGGGAACTGGATAGATCAATTCCGCTTCTTCTACTAAAGCCAGGGAACCTGGGACCCAGAGAGGCTAAGTGAATTGTCCGAGGACACACAGCAAATAAGACAGCTTGATTCCTCTGAAGGTTCTTTTAAAGTCTGTTAGACAAAATTTCTTTTTTTCTTCTTTTTTCAACATTTATTTTAGATACAGGGGTACAAGTGCAGATTTGTTACATGAAAATATTGCGTGATGTTGAGGTTCGGAATATGGATCCCATCACCATGGTAGTGAGCATCATACCTGATAGGAAGTTTCTTACCTCCCACCCCGGTTGTCCACAGTATCTATTGTTCCCTTGTTTATGTCCATGTGTGCTCAATGCTTAGCTCCCACGTGAGAACATGCGGTATTTGATTTTCTGTTCCTGTGTTAATTTGCTTAGGATTATGACCTCCAGCTCCATCCATGTCCCTGCAAAGAACACGACTTCATTCTCTTTTATGGCTGCATATTATTCCATGGTGGTTTTCTTTATCAAGTCTACCATTGATGGGCACCTGAGTTGATTCCATGTCTTTGCTATTGTGAATAGTCCAGTGATGAATGTATGAGTTCATGTGTCTTTTTGGTAGAATAATTTATTTTCTTTCAGGTATATACCCAGTAATGGGATTGCTGTTCAGGTATATACCCAGTAATGGGATTGCTGGGCCAAATGGTAGCTCTGTTTTCAGTTCTTTGGGGAATCCCCAAACCGCTTTCCACAGTGGCTAGGCTAATTTACATTCCCACCAAGAGTGTATAAGCATTCCCTTTTCTCTGGAGGCCTACCAGCATCTATTGCTTTTTGACTTTTTAGTAATAGCCATTTAGATTGGTGTGAGATAATATCTCATCATGGTTTTGATTGATTTGCAGTTCTCTGATAGTTATGTTGAGCATTTCTTCATATGTTTGTTGGCTGCTTGTATATGTTCTTTTGCAAAGTATCTGTTCATGTCCTTGGCTCATGTTTTAATGAGGTTATTTGTTTTTGGCTTGTTGACTTAAGTTCCCTGTAGATTCTGGATATTAGGCCTTTGTCATATACATAATTTGTGAATATCTTCTCCTGTTCTGTAGGTTGTCTGTCTGCTCTGTTGATAGTTTCTTTTGCTGTGCGGAAACTCTTTAATTAGGTCCCTCTTGTCTATTTTTGTTTTTGTTGCAATTGCATTTTGGGACTTAGCCAAAAATTATGTGGCAAGGCCAATGTCGAGAAGAGTATTTCTTAGATTGCCTTCCAGGATTTTTATTGGTTTAGATTTACATTTATATCTTTAATCTATTTTGAGTTAATTTTTGTATGTGGTAAAGGGTAGGGGTCCAGATTCAGCCTTCTGCATATGGCTAGCCAGCTATCCCAGCATCATTTAGTGAATAGGGAGTCCTTTCTCCATTGTTTGTTTTTGTTGGCCTTGTCAAAGATCAGATGGTTGTAGGTGTGTGGCTTTATTTCTGAGTTTTCTATTCTTTTCCATTGGTCTATGTGTCTGGTTTTGTACAAGTACCATGCTGTTTTAGTTACTGTGGCTTTATAATATAGTTTGAAATTGGGTAGTGTAATGTCACCAGCTTTATTCTTTTTGTTTAGGATTGCTTTGGCTATTTGAGCTCTGTTTTGGTTCCACATGAATTGTAGAATAGTTTTTTTCTAGTTCTGTGAAGAATGACATTGGTAGTTTGATAAAAATAGCATTGAATCTATAAATTGCTTTGGGCAGTGTGGCCATTTTTATGATATTGGCATGGACATGGAATGTTTTTCCATTTATTTGTTGTTGTCTCTGAGTTCTTACAGCAGAGACAAAGTTTCCTGATTGTAGGAAATAAAAAACAACTCTGTATAACTTAAACAAAGAGGAAGTTATTAGAATGATACAAGTGACCCAAAAAGCTAACAGGAAACTTGTGGAAACAACTGACCTCAAGAAAGGCTGGAGGCTTCATGGCTAGACCAATGGGGATGCTAACACCTACCTAAACAAATCCCAAATATGCCTTCTCTCCAGGTTAAAAGTACCAGGAAGAGGTATCCAATTCAGGAGCCTCAGTCAGCTTGAAGCCTGGCTGCTGGGGTCAGGAAAGGTGGATCTTCTCATCAGTTTTAGATGTAGGGAGCGCAGATATGTATATTAATGTCTAATCCTATTTTATACAATTATTATACAATTCTATGATTGCATATGTTTTATGCAATTGTATAACATACATATGTCAATTAGACATTAGTATATTACATGTGGGACTATTACCCAAAAAGAGAGAGGATTGGATGTTGAACAGCAAAAAACAAGAGAAGAACACTCCATGCCCATCAAAGTCAGCCTTTTTAGAGGTGCAGAAACCCTTCTCCCTCTTGCCTAATGTGTTTTAACTATCCTTCATGGAACCACTGACGCCCCAGGCCTCATCAGTTACCGCACTAACTCTAAGGGCATGATCTAGGGATGTCTATTTTTCTAGTTAAGATTTAATCCACTTATAATATCTTCAATTTAGGACAAAATTATAAGGTTAACCAAAACCAGTGCATCTTATACAAAATAAAATGAGAAAGGGGATGACTATAAGACAATGATCCAGTTATTCGGGATGAAGCTGCAGCCTTCAAAGTCTTTGGGTTCCTTATTCTATGTATTCTACTCACTCCAAGACATTGCTGGGACTTCAACTTAAAAAAAAAAAATAAGGACCATAATTAAGTTCATGTTTCAATCAACTGCTGATGAAATTATTAAAATCACTCTGCTCCTTGGGACAGTTCACTGAATCAAGAGTCTCTGCCTCTTGTACCCAGAACAATAAATCCAGCCTGACATGGAAGTGTGTGCTTTTCTTCTCCACTTGGACCCCCTATGCAAGTCCATGAGTATGGTCAAGTTTTTGCCAATGTAGGCTGATAAGTTTTTACAAATATATATACTTTTTTTTTTGAGATGGAGTCTCGCTCTTGTACCCAGCCTGGAGTATAATGGCGTGATCTCAGCTCACTGCAACCTCCACTTCCTGGGTTCAAGCAATTCTCCTGCCTCAGCCTCCCGAGTAGATGGGATTACAGGTGCCAGCCATCATGCCTGACTAATTTTTGTATTTTTAGTACAGACAGGGTTTCATCATGTTGGCCAGGCTGGTCTTGCACTCCTGACCTCAGGTGATCTGCCCACCTCGGCCTCCCAAAGTGCTGGGATTACAGGCATGAGCCACCACGCCTGGCCTACAATTATATTTTAATTTTAAAACCTCTACTCCTTGGTTTGAACTTGTCTTGACTCCCCAGTGGTCTTAATGGAAATGGACTTGGGCTATAGATCTGAAGTTAGGGAGCAGTATGTGTAGTGCAGTGGTGCAGTGGGAGTCGTCTCCTGCTGCTCCGTCAAGATCTTAACTGAGATACTTCATATTCACTCTTTTTTGTGCGGTACTTAGTGCTAAGCAGTTGGAAATACTTGAAATCACAGAGAGAGTCCGAATGTTACTTATTTTGGAGGCAGCACGCAAAACCCAAAAGATGAAGGCTGCCTGCGGGGCGGGAGTGGGATCACATTTCATGCCTTACCAGCAATTTTCCCTGGTCAAAACAAAGTGATAAGTTGTCCTTGATGACAGCTCTCCCGGTGGTACTCGGTAAAACGCTGTGCTAATTTGCAAGGAAGTTGGAAGCAGCACTCCACACGTGGTCTTTTCTCGCTGCTCCTTGCAACAGCTTACCACACTGAACCGCGCTATTTAAAGGCCTGTTCCTCCCACTAGACTTTGAGCTCCCAGGATCACCAGAGCATGGGCTTGATCTGGTCTCTTCATTGCCACACAGTAGGGCTTGGCGAAAGTTTGTCACATTAAACAATCAGCTGGAAAATTTGTTAATGAAGTTTGGTGCCCACAGCATTATCTAAGTTAGAGGTGCAGTCTACAAAATCAACAAGTTCTCCCCAGAAAAGGGCAGGTGTGTGTTTTTGACAAACATTCGTAACGGATCACATTTAAGCTTTGGGCGTTTGGGTCCAACTTTATGTCAAATGGCAAGAGGAGGTCATGGGCTTGGCTTTATTTTATTGCATCTGAATCTTTTCTGGTCTGGGATTATGAGAGAAAGAAAAATTATTGAGTGAAACAGCGAAGTGAATTATTTGAAAATGAGACCCTTGCTTAGAATGCTCTGAAGTGGCACTGGCAGGAATGTGATGCATCCAGTAATTACAGGAGGGACAACATTGATCCAGGGTGACCCTCCCTGACAGCTCGAAGCAACCAGAGGACAGCTTGAACCAAATCGGTGGCCCCCATAATCCCACGGAGTCACAACCAGTGACGGAGCCTCAAAACTCTAATTCACACAAGACACGCAAAACCAGCCACTCATTCTGCAAGAGTTATTTTTTGTCACACTTTCACACATGGGAAACTCATCTTTCGTGAGGACAACAGTGACGAAAGAGAGGTGCCCTGCAAGGGGCCGCGAGGCCTTCTCACCGCTGCATCGTTCCTTTGTCCCGCAGAAGCGCTGATTCTCCCCCTGCCGCCTGCGGGAAAGCTGCCAGCACACAGGTGTTAGAGAGCTGGCTAATCACCACTGTGTTCTAGTTGCATTTGTACATTTTTGGAATTCCAGCTTTCGGATGATTTTCCTCTCCACTGAATAAAACAGTAATGGCCTCCGCCTGACGTTGATGAATGAACACACTTTTCTGCCCTTCCCTTCACTGTCAAGGCATCTGAAATTCATGAGGGCATAAATAACATGCACAAAGCCCTCAGCAGATTCCATCCGAGGCCAGCCTCTGTTCACAGTCCTTGGAAGACTCCAGGAGACACTGGAAACCAGGCCTCGGAGCCTGGGAA
Source organism: Homo sapiens (assembly GCF_000001405.40). Lineage (NCBI taxonomy): Eukaryota > Metazoa > Chordata > Mammalia > Primates > Hominidae > Homo > Homo sapiens. The sequence continues at coordinate 2,960,756 of NC_000002.12, read as the reverse complement.
TCTCTGCCCTACTGTGCGAATGATTTGTGGTGCTTTCTCGGGACTGTGTCACGCTATTTCTGAATCTCTTTGCCATTATGCGTCTAGCCATCCACACTCAGCAAGCAGTGGGACTGCTGTGTGATGCTCGCTTGGGGAACAGGGCCATATGTTTCCAGAAATACCACTCCAGACTTGCTAGCTCTGGACTTGGGGAGATCAGATGGTTCATAAGTGGATTTGGCGTTGGCAGGTTTTTCACATTTATTTTCTTCTCTGAGATTTCAAATGAAGATGTTAAAGGTTGGTGTCTGCAAATCCAAATTACTTTGGACTTTTTAATTTTAATTATTAGGGAGGGAGTTTTAAATTTTACTTTCCAAATAATTGATATAACTTAAACTTTTATTATAAATAAAGTTAAATGTGCACATAAGTAGAGAGATTAAATATTAAACAATTAATAATCAATAAATAGACCATACGCCAAACTCAACCTCAGCAATTACCTATATTGCGATGGTCACTTTTTGTCCGTCAGTTGGAAGGGAAATGCTGTGGTCTAATGTTTGTGTTCCTCCAAATTCCTATGTTGGAATCTTAACCCCCAAGGTAATGGCATTAGGAGGTGGGGCCTTTGGAAGGGGATGAGGTCATGAGGGAAGAGCCCTCAAGATGTGAAAGGGAACTGGCTTGCTGCCTTGCTTCTCTGACCATTTGAGAACACAGTGAGAATGCACCATTTATTAGGTTAGTGCAAAAGTCATTGTAGTTTTTGCAGTTACTTTTGCACCAACCTAATATATACCAGGACGTGGCCCTCAGAAATACTAAATTTTGTTATGCCTGGAACTTGGACTTCCAACCTCCAGAACTGTGAGGAATCCATTTCTGTGGTTTATAAGCCACCCAGTCTATGGGAGTTTGTTTTGTAGCCTGAATGGATGAAGACAGGGAGTATTTTTGAAAGAGGCATTTATTTTTTTCCCTAGTGAAAGTCAAGTTTTCTTCCTCCAAAATATTTACATGGTGAAGTTTTAAAAATAAAATTTGCATTCAGTGAAGTGCATAAACCTTAGCTATACAGCCCAGTTAATTTTTTTTACAAAGTGACCATACCCATACACCAGAGCCAAGACTGGGATGTAAGACATTACCAGCACCCAGAAGCCCCCTCACACTTCCGCTAGTCACCACTCCCAACCCCTAAAGGTGCTCATGATCCTCATTTCCATCACTGTAGATTAGTTTGCCTGCTTTTAAGTTGCATGAATGAGTTTACGTAGGACGTGTTCTTATACATCTGCCTTCTTTCACTCAAGATTGTGTCTGTGAGATTCTTCGGCGTTATCATGTGTAGCAGGGGCTCATTCTTGTTATTGCTATGAAGAATTATTATTTCAAACCACTGCAATTTATTTATCTATTCTACATTTGATGAACTTTTTTCTTGTTGTTTGGATGTTAAAAATTACGCTTCTGTGAAAATCTGTTCCATATCTTTTAAGGCACTGATGTACATGTTTGTTAGATATATATCCAGGAGAGGAACTGACATGCGTGTTGGGTATATGTGCATAGCCTTTCAGTTTTCCAAAATGTTTTCCAAAGAGTTTTCCAAAGTGGATGCACCAATTTACTTTTCTACCAGCAGTGTATGAAAGTGTTGGTTACTACACATTCTTAACAATACTTGACTTTGTCTTTCATTTTCACTTTAGCCATTCTGGTAGATGTGCAATAGTATAGAATTGTAATTCAAATTTGCATATTTATGATAGCTAATAATACTGGGCAGCTTTCCATATCTTATTGAACATTTTGTGAAGAGCCTGTTCAGGACTTTTGCCCATGATTTATTGGACTTTCTGTCCTTTTGTATTAATTTGTATGAGTTCTTTATGTATTATGGATGCAGGTCCTTTTCGTGATATTTGTACTATGAAGATTTTTCTCAGTATAGCTTGCTTCCTAACATTGTCCTAGGACTGACAGACTTGTTAATTTTCATGAGGTATAATTAATCAATACTTTGACTTAAGTTTAATGTCCTTTCTACATGAAAGATAAAGTATTCTATATTCTAGATGCTGTATTGTTTTACTTTTCACATTTAGGTCTACAATCAATATGGAAATGCCAGTTTCCACATGGTATGAGATAGGGATCAAGATTCATTATTTTCCTATGTGAATATATAATAGATTGATCATAATTTAAGAAAATTATTATTTTCCCATCATATCATAGTGTCACTTTTGTGGTAAATCAGGTGAGTACATATGTGTGAATCTGTTTACAGATTCCTATTTTGTTCCTTTGGTCAATTTGTGTATCCTTGCACTAATATTACATTAGATTAATTATTGTATCTCTGTAATAGACTTGAAATCAGGAATTGTAAAGTCTCCAACTCTGTCCCTCTCCTTGTCTTTGCTATTCTTTGACATTTGCACTTCTACAAAGAATAAATTTGTTAATTTGCACACACAAACACACACACATCACTGTGTTGGAATTCCGATCAAGATTGCATTGAATCTATATATTGATTGGGGGGAGTAATACATTTAAAACATTAAGTCTTTAATTCATAAACTTAATAGGTTATTTCTATTTAAGTTGGTCTAATTATTTTAGATAATGTTTACATGAGATAAAATTCACAGTTTTAACCATTAACCACTTTAAGGCATAAAATCCATTTTTAAGTATATTTACAATGTTGCACAACCATCACTCCTATCTAATTCCAGAAGATTTTCATCACCTGTATGCATTAAGCAATCACTGCTCATTCCCTCCTCCCTGAGCCCTTGGCAACCACTGATCTCCTTTCTGTCTATAATAATTTGCCTCTTCTGGACATTTTATATTAATGGAATCCTACAGTTTTTGGTCTTTTGTGTCTGACTTCTTTCACTTTGCATAATGTTTTCAATATTCATCCATATTGTAGCTTATATCAGTACTTCATTTTTTATGGCTGAATATTATTCCATTGTGTGTATTCCACCACAATTTGTTTATCTATTCATAAACGGGTGGACATTTGGGTTGTGATATAGTTTGGCTCTGTGTCCCCACCCAAATCTCATGTTGAATTGAATTCCCAATGCTGAAGGAGGGACCTGGTAGGAGGTGACTGAATTGCGAAGGTGGAATTCTCCATGCTGTTCTCATGATAGTGAGGGAGTTCTCACAACATCTGATGGTTTAACAGTATGTGGCACATCCCCCTCACTCTTTCTCTCTTTCTTGCCACCATTAGAAGAAGGTACTTGCTTCCCCTTCTCCTTCTGCCATGACTGTAAGTTTCCTGAGACCTCCCAATCGTGCTTCCTGTTACACCTGCAGAACTGTGAGTCAATTAAACCTCTTTTTTCATTAAGAAGTACGAGTCTCAGGTAGTTCTTTATAGCAGTGTGAGAATAGACTAATACAGGTTGCTTTCATTTTTTGGCTATCGTGCTATGCTGCTATAATTGGTGTACAAGTTTTTGTATGAACATATGGTTCCATTATTCTTGGGTGTATAACCTGAAATGCAATTACTGAGTCATATGCTAACTCTATGTTTAACTTTTTGAGGACTGGAAAACTGTCTTCCACAGTGGCTACACCATTGCACACTCCTACTAGCAAAGTATGAGCTCTCCAAAGACTTCATACATTGAATCTACACATTCTCTTCAACAGTTGTTATTATTTTTTTATTATAGCCATCCTAGTGAGCATAATATGGTAGGTCATTGTGGTTTCAATATATATTTTTCTATTGACCAAGGATATTGAGTATCTTTTCATGTGCTTATTGGACATTTGTATATCCTCTTTAGAGAAATGCCTATTCAAATCCTTTGCCTATTTTTCATTTGGGTTGTTTGTTTTTCTTTATTTTGTTGGTTTACACAAGTCCTTTATTCTTAACACTAGACAATTGTCAGATTTATGACATTCAAACATGCAAATATGTTCTCACAGTCTGTGGGTTACCTTTCTACTTTCTCAACAATGTCCTGTGACACACAAAAGTTTTACATTTTGGTGACATACAATTTATCAATTTTTTTCTCTTGTTCTATTTGCTTTTAATGTTATATTTAAGAAACTGTTGCCTAGTTGAAGGGCATGAAGATTTACATCTATGTAATATACAATTATTTATTTCTCATATTGATATTGTGTATCTGCTTTTTTTTCACTATCGGTCTTGCTAGGGAATTATTAATCTTATTTGCCTTTAAAAATTAACTTTGGGCTCTTTTTCTATTCTATTCATTATGCTTTCTATCCTTATTTTTATTATTTTTTTCTACTTTTATGGGTATCATATGCAGTTTTTTAAAGATAGCTTCTTACAATGGATTTCTAATTAATTGATTTTCAATATTACTTCTATTGTAATGTATGCATTTATAAATTTTCCTCTAAGCACTGTGTCAGCTATACATCAAGTTTTGAAACATTGTATTTTCCTTGCCATCCAGTTAGCGTATGTTCTCAATTTCTTTGTAATTTCTTCTCTTCTCATGATTTACTTAGTCATGTATTGTTTAATTTCTAAATATTTGGAAATTTTCTAGTTATTTTCTAGTTATCATTATTGATTTCTTGCTTGATCTCACTGTGGTTATAGAACACATTAAATCATTTAAAATGTGTTTAGAGTTGCTTTTTCGTCCATAATATAAACAATTTTTAAAATATTCTATGTGAATTTGAAAAGTTGAGTCTATTTTGATAACTGTGTTTTTCACACATTTGTAATTTGTTTAATTTTTATTGAGAGAATTGTTTTACAATCTTTCTATGATTGTGAATTTCTCTATTTTTTAAGTCAATTTTTAGTTTTTGCTTTATGTGTTTTGAAATTGTGTTATTGGGTGCATAAAAAGTTAGGATTTAAACTTTCTGTTAAGTTTTCCTTTTATATTTCAAAATTTCCCTTTTTATCTCTAAAATACTTATTGCTTTAAAGTTCACTTTACCTAAGTTGAGTTATACTAGATGTTTTTTGGTTAGTGTTTTCAATGTATACAATTTTTGATTCTTTTATTTCAAATTTTCTCTATTCTTATGTTTAAATATATTTAATGTAAGCAACATATATTTCAATTTTAAAATACAGATTACAAAACTTTTGTCTTTTATTTGTATTATTTACATTTTCATGTAATGTCATCTGTTATAGTCTGGTATTTAAATCTAGTATTTTACTAGTTCTTCCCATTTGTACCATCTGTTCTTTGTTCTGTTTTTCTCCTTTCTAGCTTTGTTTTTGATCAATTGTAACTATTTTTAGTTTTACAGTTAACCTTTGCACCTAATTAGTTATACATGCTTTTACTGTTCGTTTAGTGGTTACAGTAGAGATTGTAAGACTGTAACATGCATCCTTGATTTATTTGAGTGTCAGTTAAAAATGTTTCTTCTATTATTTCCTGGGTAATTCAAAAACACTGTGATACTTGGACTCCTGTTTTTTGTGCAATTGTTGTTATATTTCAATCTTATATTGTTATATTTTGGGTAATTATTGTTATATTTCAATCTTAAATCTCATAAGATTTTAAAATCATAATGATACTGTGTAATCAACTAGAGTTAACCACATATTTACCCTTTCTGATGATTTTCATTTCTTCTTGTGTTTCTGAGCTTCTTTATGGATTCATTTCACTTTCTGTTGAAAAACTACTTTTTGTTTCTTTATATATATCTTTGGTATTGTTCTACTCGTGATGAATTCTCAATTCTTTCTGTCTAAAAACATGTTCATTTCACTTTAATGTTTAAGAGCTATTTTTGCTATGTCTTGAATTCTAATTTGGAAATATTTTCTTTCAGCATCTAAAACTGCCATTTAATTGTCTCTGGCTTCTGTTTAAGCTGCAAATGTAGTTGTCAGTCTCATTGTTGCTCTTTTGAAGGAAATGTTCCTCTTTTGTTTTAACTAGTTTTACTAATGTTTTCTTTTTCCTTGTTTTTCAGCAGTTTTACTATAATGTGAATTGACTTTTTGCAGGTGGAATTTTAAAATAATCCCCCAATGACCCTCACCCCTTTGTAATCATCTCTTCTTCAGTGTTGGTGGGACCTACGTATAGGATAAGACAGTGCTCCTGAGATCATGCTATGTTGTGTATAAAGGGATTCCGCAGATGTAGTCGGGGCCCCAGGTTAGTCAGCATTGAGTTAATCAATGGTTAGATTATCCCACTTGGGTCTTTTAAAGACATCAGATGATGTCTTTAAAAGCAGAGAGGTTTCCCAGAAGCCATGCTGTGAACTACTTATAGGTTCAAGTGGCCCGTAGCAACTTAGAGTGATCTTTCAACAGTCGCTGGAAAAAAAATGGGACCTCAGTCACAAAACCATGTGGGATTCAATTCTGTCTGCAATTCTGAAAGAACTGAAATGAGGTCCCCATGCTACAGATGAGAACCACAGCCCTGGAAGACGCCTGGATTGCAGCCTTGTGAAAACCGAGCAAAAGACCCAACTGAGCCCTGCCTGGCTTTCAGTTCTACAGAGCTGTGAGATGATACGTGCATGAAGTTTTATGCCTCTAAGTTTGTGGCAATAGAAAACCAGTACTTGCATTGCATTTTCAAAATTGTGTTTGCTGCTTTTAAACCTTGCAGAGAGGTAATATACCTTTTAAAATTTGTGGATCATGTCTCGTTTTTTTTTTTTTTGGAAAATGTCTAGCCAGCATGTCTTCAAATATTGGTTCCACTCTGATTTTTTTCTCTTTTACCTTTCTTGGTTTCCAAGAACCTGCATGTTAGACATTTACAGAGTATCTCATGTATTTTACATTTCATGTATTTTGTTCCAAAATCATAGATTTTTGCGTCTCAATCGAAAGCTTGAAGCATGCATGAGATTCTGCCACCACCCGAGTGGGACATACTCTCTAATTTTTGTCTCTTCAGCTCCATGAAATTTTGAAACATCTACATAGCTTTTGAGCATCTTAGTAGGCCCTTTCTGTTTTGTATCTTGGCTGATTGCTCCATGCATGCTCCGTTTAAAAGCTGGTCCAATGCTTCAGGAGGAAATTGCGTGCAGACATTTGGTTTGTTTTCTTGTGTTTCCCTTATTTCTGGGGTCTTTTTTCTTTTGGATCTGGCTGTTTGATGGCACTGAACTTCAGTTTTATCTTCCCAACTCAGTAAGGCTTCTGTTAGATCTAGGCCATAGTTTTCTCTTTAGACTTCATGCCTCAAAGTAAAAATTGGGAAATGACTATGGAGGAAAAATTTGTACAGAAAGTACAAATCAACTCATTTTCCTCCCCCTCTGGAGTCTTGACTTTTCTAGTACCTTCCTTGATTTCCGATCTTCCAATGCTTTAAAATTGTTCAGTTTTTAGTGTTGTTCTCCATAGGAGGGTTCTTCTAATATCAGCTACCACACCAGATCTCAGCTAGTAGCAGTCAAAACAGTGTAGTAGGCATACTCTAAGTGAATTTTCATTTATCAAAGAAGCAACACCTAATACTCTTTAAATACTGCTTGAGAATTAACAAATGAGAAACATGCTGAAAGAAAAGTGCTCGTCATTAACATGAAGCATGTTCATGATTCATGGCCAAAACATGTTCATGGTTCAACAGGCCTCTAAATAGATAGAAAATACAAATACTTTGAAATAACTAAAAATGCAGATGAAAGTCACCATCATTAAAAATCATGAAGAAAGGGGAGCTTCAGTTCAGAAGCTGGGACACAATGCGATATTACCTGACCTCAGGTAATCAATACCGTGTGTAACCTGCCTGCATTTTACAGAATTTTGAGGCACAGATGTGCCTTTGGGAAAGTTCTCGGTTATACCTCTCAGTTCTGTCACTCATGCCTCGGGGCCAAGCCTTACTTTAGCAAGGAGAATTTCATAGAAGAGGTGCAGTTAAAACACATGGGTTGTGGGAGTCATATGGAATGGGCTTAGAATATTAGTTTACCTAACACATTCTGTATTGAACAAATCGCTCACGTTCTTAGTTTCAGTTTTTCCATTTGTGAAGTGAAGGTTGATGTGACAATTAGCATGGAATCCCTGTCAATTGCCTGGTCCATGGTAAGATGTGTGTGTGTGTGTGTGTGTGTGTGTGTCTGTCTGTCTGTCTGTCTGTCTGTCTCTCTCTCCCTTTAAGCATTGCCTTTTCATGTTCAGGGGCTTGTTATAGATTGACACCATTCTATTACTTCCTTCTTACATGTATCTGGCTTCAGTAACTTCTTTTTCAGTCTGTGATATGTGTGTGTGTGTGTGTGTGTGTGTGTGTGTGTGTGTGTGCATGTGCGTGTTGGGGGAAGGGTTGGACTAGGAAGGGATGGATAGTGGGAATTTATGCTGTGGGAAGCTACTCCATCACAGTTCTGATGAGTCCAGCAGCCTATTCTCTGAGTGATCCAGGCAGCATTCATTAGCCCCACCAGCCAAGAGGGTCAGCGTGGCTCTGGAAGCAAAGGAGGAGAAGGCGGCAATTTCTAGCAGAGCAGAAGTGGTGGCAGAAGGATCACCTGTCTGTGGAGACCCTGAAATGATGCAATTACAGGACCAGCATAGGGTGAGATTTCAGGGACACCCAGGCCAGGCCTTTGGAGGCCCCCTTGTGATGGGGTGATTATGAGGTACACATACGTGCAGACGTTCTGGGGCTGGGCCACGCCAGACATCGATGTGGAGAGACAAAGGAAATGGGATGTTACATTCCAGAGCACGCCAGGGAGAATCATTCAGCTCAGATGTCTGTGGAATCAGAGGAGGGTGGGGGGACCAGTGCAGGGGGTACCGGAGCTGGGAGAGAAACAGACTGATAGGAAGCATGAGGGGGTGTCACAGTAAAGATGGCTAACGCTAGGGTGAACTGTCCTGGGTGAGTCCAGACAGCAAACTCCGAAACTTCCAAATCTTCAGATTTTCCTCAAGTTAAGTGATGACTGTTGTTCTTGAACAGGAATATGTGTTTTTAAGTTTTAAAAATTATTATAAGGGGCTGTGGGCTTGGCTGTTACAGGAAGGCAGAGTGTGACCCGTCAGCTCATCACCCGCCTCCTGCCTTGGCCTTATGGGGTCAGAGACGTGGTGGGGAAGCCTACTGTGTTTGGGATTCCAGAATAACCAATGGGTGGATGGCTTGGGACAAATGTCAAGCTGGAGAAAGCTGCCCCCCACAAATTCCTCCCTCACCCCTTTATTTCCTAGGAGCCCGCAGAATGCGTGGCTGGAGGGTGTTCAGAAGGAGTTGTATTTAGACTCCACAAAAGCACGTGACAAAGCCTCATGACATTTTACTTGAAAAAATTAGTTCAGATTTGATGTGAGCACATCCATATGGATTTCACACTGGTAGAGGGACTCCAAGCAAAATGAAGCAGTGGACAAGGACAGTTTTCCAGGGTGGGTGACTCCTGGCAGTACGTGCTGAAGACGGCACTCTCTTCTGCCATGGAGCTTCTGGTCTGTGTGCCAGGCCTGAGTGTCCTCAGTGCACACTGACCTGAGGATAACGCGGAAGGCCAGAGTGGACCCACCTGGAGGACCAGTCTTCACCATCACCACTGTGTCCCAGGAGGATGGGGGAGGGTCCAGTTGCTCTCTGCCGTGCCCCTTCCTCCAGCACAGTCATTAATTTCCTTTCTCTCTGCGTCAACAGTAACAGAATCAGAGAACCTGAATGGGAGGGGGATCACCCCGAGGTCACATCTCTGTTTTAATCAGCAAGGAATTTATGGAGAGAGGTGCTGTCATTTGCACCTGCAGCTATGGGGCACAAAGTCCCTGTAGCCATGAGATGGCTGAGACCACAGTAGGCACCTGCTCTCTACCTGCACAAGCCTGGACATTGATTCCTATCCTGTATTCCCCCGGGGATCTGGATCTTTATTGAGCACCTTTAGATGCTGACAGGGCTTCATATGTACAGGGGTGATCAGGCATCTTCGACGATGATCACAGAGATCAGTGAATCTTGTCTCTCCTGCTGGAAGAGCGGGGCAGCCGTGTGGGAAACTGTGCTAGTGTGGGAGTCAGGCCGACTCAGATGCAAGTACGGCTGCTTTATTGGCTTTGGCAGCTTTCTTAACCATTCAGGGCTTCCGTTTCCTCTTCGGTGTGCCAAGAAAATAATGCATACTTGGTAGGAATGTGATGCAGGTTAAAATACTGCCTTACATCTCCAAGTGGCCTAGACCGAAGGTGGTACCTGGCACATGACCAGAGCAGGTGCTCAGTAAGTGTTTGTTGAACTGAACTTCACTGGTAAAAGCATCCAAAGTGCACCTGGACCCTGATGACACAGTAGTAACGCTGGCTTTAGAGGCCAAGAACTGCAAGAATCATAACTAAGTTGTGCTTTTTACCTTTGAGATCTTTAAGGTGTGCATGGTTCTAGGGGAAAAATCAACCAGCAGTGGCTTGGAACACAAATACACACTGAAAAGTCATCACACTGGGTGGCTGTGAGGAGCCCGGTCCTCTTTACCATGGCTTAGGAAGGTGGGTGGGATAGACACTTTCTTTATTTTGTGTGTGTGTGTGTGTGTGTGTGTGTTTAAAGGTGTTTATTGCCAGAACTGCTAATGTCACTGGCATTCTGTGTCAGGCAGAAGGGACAGTCAGACCATGGCCTTCGTGGTGCAAGGTGGACCTCACGGCTGAGCTGATATTCCATGGCTGGTGTATCAATTGAAAGTGAGTTTACAAGCTCCAGGGATCCAATTTTGCCCGGATTATGTTCATGCTTTGCTTCATAATAGAAAACTGCCTTTGTCAGTTAAATAGAGGGTGGAAATTGTTTACGTCTGGCTTTCATGCCACTCTTTCCTCTAGATAGGGAGATGGTTTCAGAGAACACGCATGGCGTGCATCTCAAATACTTCAGAACACAGAGAAAAATAGCCCCGTTCCGTGCAGAGGACAAGCAATCACAGCTCCATCTGTTAAGCTTCTGTATCTAGCAGGAACTTTAGATTTATTATCTCATTGAACTAATTTTTTCAGACCACACTGGAGTTGGGCGTTGCATCCAATTTACAGAGGAAGGCGTTGAGGAAGCCGTGGAGATGGGATTTTCACCCAGGTCTCCTGTCTCTAGAGCCTGCATGCTTCCCGCTGGGGTTTTGCCTTTTGTGGGATTGAAGTTTGCTTCTTCCGTGTTTCTCAGTTTTCAGCCTCACCCTGCTTTAATGTGGGGCTGAGGTCAGTGCTGGTCTTTGAGCAGTGTGAAGCTCCAATCATTCCTTGTTTCTTGTTTTTCTTTGAGATTAGGTTGTTTTTGGCCAATTACACAGTACTCACTGCAGACCGCAGAGTACAATTCGAACACCACGCTGAAGTATCCTCAGAGGCCGGCACCACATCTTCCATTTCCCACGTATTATTCACGCACCACACAGGGGCCTCAGCTGCCCAGTCCACTTAGTGAGAATAGTTCTTCGGCCTAAAAGAAAGAGAAGAAGCAGCAAAAGAAGAGGGCAAGTGGGAACTGCTTTCATTCCCCACTGGGGTGATAAATAAAGGCTTATCCTCCTGATTTAGTTTAAAGAGATACAAAATTTAGGCTTACAAAGAGAATAGTTGGTGATAGAGATTTTCTCAAACACACAGGTTGGTCTTACAATCAGCAGATTTTTTTATTTCGAAATAAATGATGCATTAATGAATTATTTGTACTAGTATCTCTTGAATCCACCCGTTTTCTCCACCGCCACGGCCGTCCTCTCCATCTGGGCTATTGCTGTCCCTGTTGAGGAGTGCCTAGCCTCTCACCCGACCTCTCAGGTCCAGATGTCCTGTGGGGATAGGGTGTACTTTAGCAGAGACCTACCTGACCGTGCTCCGGTCATGCAGCCTTCCCTGGGTTCCATCCCTGTAGAGCGAATCTCACTCCTGGCCTAATCTCCAGTGCTCTGGGCTGTGCCCACCTCTCCAGCTCCCCTCTCCTCTCTGGGACCCACACCTGTGCCCCAACCACGTGGCGTGATTTATGGGTTTTCAGAGTCCTGTGCTCCCCGTACCCCAAGGCATCACACCTGGCTTCCTTGGCGCAGCCCTCTGTCTCCACTCCCTAGGGCTCCTCCACCCTCCCTGGGGTACCCTCCTCAAGAAGGAAGGCCCCACTCTTCCAGATACTCCCTGCTCCCCTTGCCTAGCCTGCAGGGTTGGGGGTCGCTCCTGTTGGCTTCTGCAGCATCTTGTTTTTACCTTGAATTCCTCCCACTATATTGTAAGCACTCATTTTGCTGGACTGCATCTGGGGCAAGAATTGTCTTCTCATCAACGCTAGCACCTACCAGGCTACCGGGTAAATAGGTTTGCAGGAACTGTTTGTTGAATCAATAATCACTATTGATGGATGGCTTTTTTTTTTTTGCCATTCTTCATCCAGCATTTATTGGGCAACCACCACATGTCAGGCACCAGGTTACCTGATGCAGCCGGCTCAGGAAGCAGCAGTGACAAGAACGAGACACTGGCAGCTCTGGGCAGAAGGTAGGGAAGCCCCCAGCCCTGGGGTCTCTGTCTTAGGTGTGTTTCAGGCGTGGGGTACCTGGAGCTGGCCAAGGAGCTATTCCTTAAACTCTTAGCCTTGTAAGGGCCTTGAGATGATCTGATCTGTATTTTTAATAATTGTTTTAGCAGTGGAACTGGTTCTTAAAATATTATCATGCATGAAACTTAATAAAAGAGCTAAAACTCTAGACTATTCTGGTTGAAATTGGGTAAGGGTCTGGGACTCTCACACACTGCATATCTCTCATCCCACTTGCCCGAAAATGGTTTGAAAAAATACAGATCTAGTCTAACAACAGTCTCTAAGAGGGGAAATGACTTGTGTAAAACGACACAGCTAGGGGCAGGGAAGGCACTAGGACTTGAACCTGGTCACGTTTAATCCAAAGTTCATCTTTTCAATCCTGTATTCCACACTGATTCCTCCTTGTAACTATCTATCTATCATCTGTCTGTCTGTCTATCCATCTATCTATCTATCTCTATCTCTATGTATCTGTCTATATCTATCAATCCTCTATTATCCATCATTTATCTACCTATCAATTATCTATCAATCATCTATTATCCACTATCTGCCAATCATCTATCAATGAATTATCTATCAACCATCTACCTACTATTTATAATCTATCAATCATCAGTCAACCAATTAATCATCTATCAGTTACCTATCATTTATTATTGATCATCTATCACCATCCATTCATCATCTATCATCTATCAATTATCTATCTACCATCTATCACCTATCAACCAATCATATATCATTCTTCTTCATTATCATCATCAGCAGCAGCCATCTATTTGGCTTTGATTCTGTGCCACAAAGATAAGCAATTTGCAAACAGGTGTCCTGTATTCATCCATTGGCCATAATTTTCTATGAACCCTGACCTGGTCTTTGTGGGACTGACCCCTCTAGGAACCATGCTGCCGACATGCAGTGACCAGCAGTCTGAATGTCCCAAACCTGTTCAGGAGGTAAATGCTACTTCTGCTTACCCTTTTCTCATCTGACCTTAGCCTTTGCTGCATCTGAGCCAGGGACTCTTGATGTCTCACTTTCCTTTCCAGTCCTTCCCAGGCACATGCTCCCCGGGCTCCTTCCTCTTCCCTGGACATGGTGTCATAACTGACTTCAGGTTTCCCTTGCATCAGCCTCAGTTTCTGGGAACAAAGCCCAGTACTGACCCTTCGTGGATGGCAGCCTTGCCCCATGTGCCTTGAGACCCTGGGGATGGGTGCTTTCCCATGCACTTGTTGGCTTCTCCTTCAGTAAGACTCTATGATGTTGGGCCGTGGGCTGCTGTGGAGACTAAGCTTCCATCCACTTTGCAGTGCCTTGAGTGCTGGATCTGTGGTGTGGGAGATAGTGAAGGGAAAGGGCTCTGCTCTGCACCATCCTTCTGGTTGCTCCAGAATCAGCCCACAGAAGCTCCATCAGTATCACCACATGGCTCCCATAGTCACCCCAGGCAACTTTGTGCAACTGCAAAGGGCGGAGAAAGTGCGGAGGGCTCTGTGGACGTGAATTCCCGATGAGTGCTAGAGGTGGAGTGCATCATTCTCATCCGCCATTCTTGGCCAGAACTTTGACACATGGCTCCCCTTGAAGACAAGGGGGCTTGAAAATATGGTTGCTGGATGGGCTGCTGTTTTTCAGTAGCAACTTTACATTATGAAAGGGAGCATGGATCATTGTTAGACAGCCAACAATCTCTGTAAACCATGGCACTCATCTGATGTCCAGTGTTTTGTCAACTGCCCTTTTATATATTTTGTGCATTCATTGGTTATTTCAGGCAGGAGAGTAAATCCAGTTCCTATTTGCCCACCTTGGCTAAAGTGGAATTCTCTTACTGGTTTATTCTTCATGCCTCTTTAAAAATTTTATTTTAATGTTTTCCTTAGAGTTTACTATATCTATCTGTCTGTCTGTCTATCTATCTATCTAATCTATCTCTATACCTTTAATTAATCATGGTCTACCCTCCAATTAAATAATACCACTCTACTTGTAGTGTAAGATATTTCAACAGTATACTCCTGATTTCTTCTTCCTGTATTTTATGTTACTGCCTTATATTTTATTTTTATATATGTTATAAACTGACAATGCATGGATACTAGGTTTGCTTTGGACAGTCAGTTATCCTTTAGAGCAATTAAAATGAAAAAAATCCTTTATAAATTTACTTTCACTTTTGCCATTTTCAGTTGTCGGCAGATCTAAGTTTGCCATTTTCAGATTAAGTTTGCTTGAAGAACTCCCTTTAATATTTCTTACAGATAAAATCTTGTGGCAATTAATTCTCTCAGTTTTTGTCTCAGAAAAAGCCCTTTATTTTTCTGTCCTTTTGATAGATGTTTTTACTTGGTATAGAATTCCAGGTTGACAGTTTTTTCTTTGTGCTCTCAGCACTTTAAAGATTGTAATCTATTGTCTTTTGCTTTGCATAGTTTTTGAACAGAAGTCTATTGTAATTTTTGTTTGTTTGTTTGTTTTTGTATGCTATGTGTCTTTTTTCTCTGGCTTCCTTCAAAAGTTTTCTTTACCTGTAGCTTTCAGCAGTTTGAACATGTGCGTGCTTTTTTTTTTTTTTTTTTGTCTATTTGTTTTGTTGATATTTATCCCACTGGGATTTCTTTGAGCTCAATAGTTGTGTATTTTTGGTATGTTTCACTAATTTTGGGAAAACCTTGGCCATTACTTATTGAAATATTTTTCCTTCAACACTGCCCCCCTTTTTTCCATCTGGGATTCCAGTTATATCTATACTAGATCATTTTCTATCGCCCCATAACTCTCGCATGCTGTTTCCTATTTTGTCACTGTTTTATCTTTGTCTTTCAATCTGGCTGATTGCTATTGACATTCAAGTCACTGGTTCTTTACTGAGATGCCTCAAGACTACTGATGAGCCCATCAGAAACATTCTCTATTTCTGTTCCTGCTTATTGCAGCCTCCCTTCCACTATTTCTAGTATTTATAGTTGACTCTTACATTTTTTAATTTTTTTTGAGACAAGATCTCATTCTGTTGCCCAGACTGCAGTGCAGTGGCATGATCATGGCTCACTGCAGCCTTGACTTCCCAAGGCTCAAGTGATCCTCCCACTTCAGCCTCCTGAGTAACTGGACTTACAGGTGTGTAACACCATGCCTAATTTTTGTATTTTTTGTAGAGATGGGTTCTCACTCTATTGCCAGGCTGGTCCCGAACCCCTGGGGTCAAGCAATCAGCCCAACTCGGCCTCCCAAAGTGTTGGGATTACAGGTGTGGGCCACCACACCTGGCCTGATTCTATCTTAGAGTTTTCATCTCTCTACTGAATTTCCCCATTTCTTTTTGCATATTGCCCACTTTTTACATTAGCACTTTTAACATATTTTTCATAGTTATTTTAAATTGCCATATGATAGTTTCAACGCCAGGGTCATATTTGTATCTGGTTCTATTGTGTACTTTGTCTCTTGATTGCATGTGTATATTTGCCTTGCTTCTTTGCATAGCTCACAGGTTTTGAACACTTTTCACAGAACAGTAGAGTTTGAGGAAATAGAATTTATATCTGAAAACGAACATACAATTTCCTTCCCCATGCCTTTAGTGTGGGGAGTTGAGTTAATTGAGTCAGTAGTGGCTCTTGCTTTGGATTTTGTTGTTGATAGGTTCACCCCCAGGGTGTCTCACTCAGCCTTCTAGGGGTCCCTTTTGTTTAGGGTGGATTTACTGGGAGATTTTTGTCAATGACTGTGCCACCTTCAGCTTTAGATCTTCCCTGTGCATCTGCACCTCAGAAAGGCACCCCTTTGTCCTCATTCTTCCCCAGCAGTCAACTGCATTTCCTTGTTACCGGGTGCCTCCAGCCTGGTGCTGGGGTGAGGGTGATGGCATTCCTTCCCATGCTGGGTTAGCTTCAGTCTCTGGTAGGCCCTGTGTCCCTGCATCTCGGGGCTGGGGTCTTCAACCTGATCCTACCTTTCTCCAGCAGTACAGGTGTCTCACACTCTGGCCTAAGGTATTCTGGCTCCTCTTTCAGGCGTAGTGGGTCTTCTCTTTGCATTCTGGAGTAGAAAGCTTTAGGTCTTTTTTTCCAGGGGCACTTCCTCTCTTTACCACAATGGCTGCCATTTATCCTCCTCTGTTACTTGGTGAGCCTGAAAAAAAAGAACCTATGAATTTGTGTGAATTCCTTTTTTCTTTTCTTTGCTTCCAGTGGTTCCATACTCTTGCACTAGCTCACATTTGTTGTTTAGTAACTTGTTCAGACTTTCAGCTGAATTCTTCTTGCTAGCTTCTATGCTGCCCACCAAAAGCAAGTGTTTGAGTTTCATCGCTCCCCTACAGCTGTTTCCTTAGGATCTGGGTTCGCTGGTTTCACTCTGACTTCAGCTCTCTATTGGATTCAAGTAAAGATATTATTCTATGGATTATATGTCTTTTTTTGTATTGTAGTAAAGGTGGGCATGATGTTATCTAGCTTTCTATATTTTAAGTGGAAGCCAGAATCTGCATTTTTTTTTTTTTTTTTGAGATGGAGTCTCGCTCTGTTGCCCAGGCTGGAGTGCAATGGAGCAGTCTCAGCTCACTGCAACCTTTGCCTCCTGGATTCAAGCAATTCTCCTTTCTCAGCCTCCCAAGTATCTGGGATTACAGGCATGTGCCAACAAGCCTGGCTAATTTTTGTATTGTTAGTAGAGATAAGGTTTCACCACGTTGGCCTGTCTGGTCTCGAACTCCTGACCTCCGGTGATCCGTCCTCCTTGACCTCCCAAAGTGCTGGGATTACGGGCATGAGCCACCGCGTCCAGCCTGCCTTTATATTTTTAATTATTAGTAGCTCTTTTAGTTCTCTCAATATTTTCTTTCTGAGCATCCTGTTCTTGCAATATGGGTGCAGTATCTTCTCTCATAGGTGACTATTAATGATAATGTCTCCTTCTTAAGTTTCTTTTTTCCATTATAGTCTCTGCTTCCTACAGGTTGCTTTTGCTCCCGTTGGATTGTTCTGGTCACTGGCTTCCTCGTTAGGAGCACTTCTCTGAGGTCTAGAATTCCTTGACCATCAGCTCATGATTAAGAGTGACAGGTCAGCAATCAGTTTGGCAGTTCTGAAAGCTTGAGCAGAGTTGGTCAACCGTGGGCTTCCCTGCAGAGCCTCTGCAGCTTCTTGGTTCTTTCCTTTTTGGTGACTCAGAGTCCCAAGAGGAGGTCCTTCCAGTCTCCCATATGGAGATATATGTCTGGCTGCCTGCTGGAGGCTGAGTATCTGGTTCCAGAGTATTTCATTTCAGTTTTAAAAGGACTTTACGAATGTCTTTCTGGAATACTATTCCTCTTTCTTTGTTTATTACTCCTTTCCCAAATCTAGGAAAAGTTGTGCCTATTTAGAGTGCCTAAATAGACTTGAACATTTAATTAAACTCTGCAGGGTGGCCTTGTTCCTACTTTCCTATCAACTTCCTAGGAGTGTAAGCATTGGACTTTCAAGCCCAGAGCAAAGGACTTTCATGTGCTTCTCCCTTTCAGCCCTGAGACTGGGTGCAGGCTCACAGATCCTCCATGTTTATGAAGAGAAAAAAGTTATGAAGAGGCTGATTAGCCAAAGCCTCAGCCCTGGGCTCCTGGTGAGTGCTGGACAGAACCTTGCTTTGCTTCTGCATCTATGTTTGTGCCACGTCGCTCAGGATCTTAGACTTTCTTCCGGAGACCAGGAGCTCATCTGCACCCACAACGAGTGATGGCAAATGGTCAGAGGAAAAAGGGAGCCAGAACTAGGAAGACTTAGGAGGTGGCCCCACAGCAGGGAGGAGGGCACATTTCTCCTCCTCATCAACAACTGCAAGCCCCTGGGGCTTGGCATCTTGCCAAGCTGTTGCACATCATTTTGTGAATCCTCCCAATGGCCTGCGAGCCAGGAACAATGAATTTTATGAACCCCTCCCCCCTACTTAAAAGTTGGGTACATTGAGACTCAAGAGGAAAGGACTTTCCTAAGGAAGAGTACTTCCATGTGCACAGCAGACAGCTGATGTCTCAGAGGCTTGACGCTGCAGCCGTTGGTGGGCGCTAGCCTGAATTAATGAAGTGGGGCTTCACCAACACCTGGGTATGTGCGGAAACTTGGGATGGGCTCGTGTACACTTAACGAAGAGAAATCCTTGCACCTGGTTTAAGAAGTGGAGAAGCTGAGGTAATGGGTGCATGGCTGGCTGGCCTGGAAGTACAGGGCTCTCAGGTACCTGTGGGCGGTCCCCACCCTTGGCCGTAAACAGGTGGCTTATGGCCTCTGCAGTGCTGTCTGTGCAACTGAGTTCTTCATCATGAAGGTTACAGATGAGCTTGTTCTCCACTCCGCATTAACATAAATTCTGAATTAGTAATGCTGAAATAAATTCTCATTGTGAAATACGTGAGAGGGAGGTGGCTGGGCAGGCAGTTGGGAAAGCAGGGCGACTTTGGACAGGAGCACCCCTTGGCTTCATTCCCTCTGTGACCCCCAGCCTCCTGCCAGCCAGGTTCTAGCTGAGGTTTGCCTGCTTTTCCTAGTGTGGCCCGTAAGTATCTCCAGGCACACACAGCAGACTTTCCTTGTTGCCCGTGATTGGCTTCTTCATTTGAGTTTCTTTAAAAAGCAAACCTGGGTAGGAGCCCCTTAGCATTCCAGCGGGCTGCCTGGGCTGATGTGCTAGAGGATGCGGGGCCGCTCATGCGCCCAGAGCTTGAGAAATCACCAGACAGGGCCAGGCTCCTGGTGTCGGCTGTCAGCAGCGCCGGCAGGATAATAAATCAACCTGTCTCATGTCAGGGGTCAGCTCGTTTGATGTTTAAAGCATTTGGGCCAATCTAATCAGGCCGAGCATAGCCCATCCGAGCATGAGCCGCTGCCGCCATGACGAGGCTGAGCTTGCTCTGAGCTGATGTTCCCTGACCTGACAGCTTTGGGGCCTTGGGACCAGGCAGGTGCAAAGTACAGAGTCTGGAGTTGAGGGACAGGAGCCTCCTGCTAGCGTGTGTTAGCCGGGAGAAAACCTTGTATTTGGCAATGGCGGGGGCCAGTTACCAGCTGTTTAGCGTGAGGGAGACTTGGCTTTCATTTGGTTCATTTGGTAACCCTCTTAGTGCACTGAGGAGCAGGGCCGGCTCTGCAATTTGCGGGGCCCCGTGCACAATGAAATTGTGGGGCCCCTTGTTCAAAAAGTGAGAGTGAAGTACCTTTGACGGCGGTGAAAGGTAAGCTTTTTCCTTTCTTCCACGGTCTTGCTCTTCACAAGGCAGGTTTTTATTGGATAATTACTGCAGTTCTAAATAAAAAAACAAAAATTTGAATAATCAGCATAAATTTTACCTTTCGTCTTCATACTGTGCAAAGTTAGTTTTAAATGTAAATATGAGGATTTAACTTGCACAAAGAATCATATAGTGACACAATTTGTATTTCATGGCTTGTCTCCCGTGGCTGCCATGGAGAGATCAATCCGCAGTGAGCCAGGGAGGTTGAAGGAGGGAGGGTCTCCCAGGCACAGAGCCAGTGAGGAGCGCTGTCCAGGCACCGGCATCCTTGTGAACCCTGACAAGTGCCCAAGGCCCTCTCGAGCCCTGTGTCCTGGCAGGGGACAGGCTCTGGGGACCTCTCAACCCCTGTGTCCTGGCAGGGACAGGCTCTGGGGACCTCTCAACCCCTGTGTCCTGGCAGGGGACAGGCTCTGGGGACCTCTCAACCCCTATGTCCTGGTAGGGGACAGGCTCTGGGGACCCCTTAACCCCTGTGTCCTGGCAGGGGCAGGCTCTGGGGACCTCTCGACCCCTGTGTTCTGGCAGGGGACAGGCTCAGGGGAATTTGAGCCAAACATTTCCCCTCCACAGCCCACAGCCCCAACCAGAGCATACAGGTGGCCCTGGGATCTTTACACCTTGGTGGGGAAACAGGCTCAGGACGTGGGTCAGGAGTGACAGTAGGCGTCACCCCACCCAACGCCGCCCGCCCAGGCTGGGATGTGGGCCCTCCATGCTAAGGCCCCCGGGCAGAGGTTCCCCAAAGCTTGGATGACAGCAGGTGGTAGAGCAGGGCAGGGCAGCCAGGTGGGGATGGCTGGGGCTTTGGAGCTGGTGGTCCAGACCTCACCCCAGGGAGGCGTGTGGTGGGATCTCGGGTGGCCGAGCCTCCATTGTCTTGTTGATTTCTCTCGCGGAACACAAGTGCAGAGACAACCTCAATAAACATTTGCGACAATGACAGCAGAACTGTCGGCCTTCTGAGCGGGCGGTGGGGCCTGCGTAGGTTGTCCCCATGCAGCCAGCCCTGCGGAGGTGGCGCCTGACGTCCAAGGTCAAAAGCAAGTTATCGTTTGTCATGGGTTCTCAAGCAAGTTGGAGAGAAACAGCTGAGAGTATCCAACACTCAATTGAAAGGCAGCAAGACATTCAGAGCTTGGGAGTAGGGGCCCTCAAGGAGGTGCTGTGTTAATTTTTTTTTCTTTTTCTTTGTGGTGATTAGGAGGGGAAAGAATATTATCAGCATTTAGAGACTATTTAAAAAATATGCACCCCAGGAAGGAGGAGGAAGAGCCCCAAGTGTGGGTGTGTGAGGAGAGACGGAAGGAAATGGTTCCAGGAGCCGGTCTGCTGGCTCCAGGACTGAGTGGGAGAAGGTGTGGAGCTGAACGCTGAGCTGTCTCAGAGCCGTGAGAAAGCAGGGGACTGGGACACCTGCCTCTGGCTCCCCTGGAATTCCTCCATCAGCCTATCCATATGACACGCACATGCCATTAACTTCTTTGTGCCTCAGTTTCCTTTTTTGGGATATCAAGAAAATGTGGATTTAAGACAGTGAGAAAAACAATGCCATCACTGCCCTAACACCATGTGGCTGCCTCTGTCTTGGGGGCAGGGGGTGCGTCCTCCTAGCAGTCGGGGCAGGGGAGGAGTCTGCAGATGGCAGCTTCCTGCCTGCAGAACCTGGAGCGGGAGAGGCCTGCATCTCAATGTGGGCGATGTGGAAGAAGCGACCTGGGAGACATGGTTGTGGTGTTTCGGTTGGAGAAAGGCATGGTCTAGAAGAAAGGAGTGCAGTAAAGGGGTCTATATTTGAGTCTCCCGGATCTAGAAAGATGATGCGTGAAGGGAAGAGATGAGAGTAATGGGGTTTCCTGTGGAAGGAGCTAGGCAGCCTCCACAGCTCCCAGGGGTGGGACACAGGGGACGGGGAGGGCCTATGGTGAGCAGCATGGACCACCTGCCCCAGAACCTTCTTATCCTCCTTTCTCCACTGCAAAGGCCTGAATGCCTTGTTGCTCTTTTCAAGCGGCCTTGGCCCTGGAGGCCAATTCTGCACAGTTAGATGAAGGGAGAAAATCCCTGTGACCAAGGGGACGATTTTTCCTGAATAAAAATGCAAAGCCTGAAAAGCAGAGTGCGTTGGCACAGTCAGCCTGGTCTCTGGCCTGATGCCTGTAGGAGCCCTGGCCGTGGGGGACCGCACTGCGGAGACTGCCCTGGAGCAGCCAGCAGGGGAGGGCCGTCTGGTCTATCGGGGCGCCCTGGCAGTCCTCCAGGCCTGAAGGGCCTTCCCTGGACTTCTTGTCTGATGGGGAAAGCCACTGCTTCCTCATTTAAGCAGCAAGCCATCAGGTTTCCCGTTGCTGGTGACTGGGCTTGCTTGCGGCAGGCGGCGGTGGAATCCCCAGCTCTTCCCGCAGCACCAGCCATCCAGGGTGCTAAAAGGGCCGAGTGAGGGGCTGTGATTTGCATGTGGATGAATCAGAGGAGGCCACAGGCGGTGGGTGGTGGAGGTAGGGCCTTCTGCAAAGGCAAGACGTGGAGCTGAGAGGACTTCAAGAAGTCCATGGTTACTGAGAGGGGCCTGGGGCAGGAGGGCAGATGCTAAATTCCCACCTACATCAGATGGAGTCGGGACGTTTAGAATACAGCAAGGAAGGTGGTCCTGGGAGGTGGGGAGGGACTAGAGACCATCGGACTGACAGGGTCTCATGGAGATGGGAAAGTGAGTGAGGATACATCCCAGGAGGTAACTCACCAGGGATGAGACGGTTTGTGACGTGAACATGCGAGAGAAAGAGAAATGAATTCAGTCATGGGCATCAGACACAAAAGGGGCTGGGCACGGTGGCTCACACCTGTAATCCCAGCACTTTGGGAGGCCGAGGTGGGTGGATCACCTGAGGTCAGGAGTTCAAGACCAGCCCAGCTAACATGATAAAACACCGTCTTTACTAAAAATATAAAAATTAGCTGGGTGTAGTGGTACATGCCTGTAGTCCCAGCTACTCAGGAGGCTGAGGCACAAGAATCACTTGAACCCGGGAGGCGGAGGTTACGGTGAGCCAAGGTCATGCTACTGCACTCCAGCCTGGGTGACAGAGTGAGATTCTGTTTCAAAAAAAGGGAGGTGGCTCCAGGTGGTGGCACCTGCCCTGGAGCTTGTGAGGGCCAGGTTGGGTGCCATCATCCTGCATAGCTGTGTTGGGTCCAGGTGTTCAGATGCCTGTTCTTGCCACACTCTCCTGGCCATAGCTTTTTGTTTTGTTTTATTTTGTCATAAAAATGTTTCCAAGGTGCTGGTACTTCCATGAGACCTTGGCCCAGTCCTGATGTATCAGAGATTATTCCTCCTGGTGTGTAAATCCCAAAGCCCACGACTGCACAGGCTGTGGGGAAACACTGTCCATCTGCAGGAGGAGTGATGAATGTGCACCCCTGAACCCGTCATCACCTTGAGCATGTACCCCTGAACCCGTCATCACCTTGAGCGTGCACCCCCTGAACCCGTCATCACCTTGAGTGTACACCCCCTGAACCCATCATCATCTTCAGTGTGTACCCCTGAACCCATCATCACCTTGAGCGTGCACCCCCTGAACCCGTCATCCCCTTGAGCGTGCACCCCCTGAACCCATCATCACCTTGAGCATGTACCTCTGAACCCGTCATCACCTTGAGCGTGCACCCACTGAACCTGTCATCACCTTGAGTGTGCACCCCCTGAACCCGTCATCACCTTGAGTGTGCACCCCCTGAACCCATCATCACTTTCAGTGTGCACCCCTGAACCCATCATCACCTTGAGCATGTACCTCTGAACCCGTCATCACCTGGAGCGTGTACCCCCTGAACCCGTCATCACCTTGAGTGTGCACCCCCTGAACCCGTCATCACCTTGAGTGTGTACCCCTGAACCCATCATCACCTTGAGCATGTACCTCTGAACCCGTCATCACCTGGAGCGTGTACCCCCTGAACCCGTCCTCACCTTGAGTGTGTACCCCTGAACCTGTCATCACCTGGAGCGTGTACCCCCTGAACCTGTCTTCACCTTGAGCGTGTACCCCCTGAACCCATCGTCACCTTGAGCGTGTACCCCCTGAACCCATCATCACCTTGAGCATGTACCTCTGAACCCGTCATCACCTGGAGCGTGTACCCCCTGAACCCACCATCACCTTGAGCGTGCACCCCCTGAACCCGTCTTCACCTTGAGTGTGCACCCCCTGAACCCATCATCACCTTGAGCATGTACCTCTGAACCCGTCATCACCTGGAGCGTGTACCCCCTGAACCCGTCATCACCTTGAGTGTGTACCCCTGAATCCGTCGTCACCTTGAGTGTGCACCCCCTGAACCCGTCACCTTGAGCGTGTACCCCTGAACCCGTCATCACCTTGAGTGTGCACCCCCTGAACCCGTCGTCACCTTGAGTGTATATCCCCTGAACCCGTCGTCACCTTACAGTTTTGGGGACAAGGGAGGAAAGGAATGTGAGAGGCAGGAACCTTTGGGGAACCAGCTCAGCACGGGAGCAGGTTCGAGGCTTTGAAGCCTGGAGTCTTAGGAAGCCAGGCCTGCCTAACTGACCTGCCCGAGTCTGAGTCCTACAGTGATCCCCATGCAGATTCGTTTCCTCAGGGCATGTTCAGAAATGCCCATGAAGGAAAGACTAGTGTCTGTCTGCATGGCCCCATCACAGCCCGGAACCTCGGGGCCTGTGCTAGGTTAGCATGAAAGAAGCGTTTTCCCTTTCCCAGTCCCCAGGTGGGAGTTCCGCGACATTAGCACCTTGTCCTGGTGTGAGTAGCGGTTTACATCTGCTGTGACTTGAGAATCAGCTTCCTGTCCAGGAACTTACTCCTCTCTCTCCTTCACGAGATGCACATTTGGTTCTACTCCTCTGGGAGCAAGTCGAGTGGCAGCAGGAGCAGCTCAGAAAACCTCTCGTGCGGCCAGAGAAGGACCAGTCCTGCGGACGGTGCCCGTCAGGGAGGAGCAGAGCCTTCGCCTCCTCACGCTAGCCCAGGCCTCCCGGAAGCCCTGCCTCTCCCTTGCCCGGAGTTTGGGAGCAGCTAAACTGGTGCAGATGTTTAGTGAGGTCGGATGGGACGGGGCCAGGAAACGGTTTTATTTTTGACCGTCATGGTCTTCAAGCACGACAGTGTCATGAGGAAGAGGAGATGTAATTTATTGAGCGAACTTTTCTGAAAGACCATCTAAGCCAGTTGTGTGGGAGACAACCGTGAGGGGCACACCTTCGTCACTGTGTCGGTGACAGGTGGCCTAACCTCGGCGGTGGTGTCCCCTGGATCAGCAGGCCCTGTTGGCCACACCTTCTGCGGAGTCCTGTGTGCAGAGGCCTTGGATGGGGCCAGGCCTCCACTGCCTCTTTGTGGTACCCTTGAGGCCACCTCATGTCTCAGGGCCTCGGTTTTCTTACTCCTAAACCGACCTGCTTGGGTAAGAATTTCTCAGTTACCTTTGGCTCCTTTGGCTCACAGTTCTCAGTTTAACAGGGCAGGGAACCTATCAGTGAATGGGTGTGAGTTAAATGCTAGAAGTCCAATTGACTCTTAGGCAACACAGATTTGAATTGGGCAGGTCCATTTGTATGTGGATTTTTTTCCTCTCCTGCTACCCCAGAGACAGCAAGACCAACCCCTCCTCTGCCTCCTCCTCAGCCTACTGAATGGGGATGAAGAGCTTTATGATGATCCACTTCCACTTAATGAATAGTAAATATATTTTCTCTTTCTTATGATTGTCTTAAAAATATTTTCTTTTTAGCTTTATCGTAAGAATAGTATTTAATACATAGTATATATATTTGTATAGCATGCAACATATGTGTTAATTGACTGTTTCTGTTATTTGCAAGGCTTCTGGTGAACAGTAGGCTATGAGTAAAGGTTTGGGGAAGTCAAAAGTTATACATGGATTTTCTTTCCACTCTACACGGGGTCGGTGCCCCTGTGTCTTGCATTGTTTAAGGGTCACTGTAGTATTAAATAGTCTCAAGTCTTTCTGAAGAATGGAAGTACTTCAGAAAGTACTTGGAAAGGACATTTCAAAGTGGAGTTATGAGTCAGGTGGCTGCAGTGCTGGGGTCATGAAATCCTTTTCAAGACTGGTGACAAACGATGAGCATTGTGTTGTCTTTGTGTGCGCACAGTGGGACAGCTTAGAGAAGCTCAAAGGATGGTGCACCCCTCATTCCGCAGCCGCATGCTGGGCACCTACTATGTGCAGGGAGCTGCAGGCAAAACTGAGGTAATTTCACATGTGTGTCATGAGAATGAAGAGTCGTTCCACAGTGCGGGGTCTACAAATCTACCCATGACTTCAGGAATGAAGCTTAGAGAAGGGCACTGCCATTACATCCGCATGGCTGAAACTGGGCAGCAATCGCCTGGCACCGCACAGGAGGAGAGCCAGCACCAGGCTGCCTGATGTGCCACCTCCCTCCCCGCAGAGTGCCGCTGAGAGAGGCCTGAGCAGGAGCAGGGCAGCCACAGCGATGGATGATTCCATCAGGTCCAGTGGCCCAGGAGCTTCTCTCATGCAGATGGCAGGTCCTTGGCTCTCCATCCAGTCCCAGACAGATGCGGGGATAGTGGCAGGGACTTACGGGGTCTCAAGACAGTCACAAAAGGGAAGAAAGGGGAGGAAGGGGAGGGGGTGAGGAAGGCTCTGACGGAGACCAGGGGATGAGACAAAGCAGCTTCTAAAAGGAGAGAGGTCAGAAAGCTAAGTGAGACTGTGCCTTTTGGGTGTTGTGGGAGGGGTAGCCTCAAGTTTCTAGAAACTGATTGTCCAGGGAGCCAGTCATCAAAGTGGATGTTTGACTGCTGGAAATATTTCAAAGGCAGAATCCAGGCCAAAAGGAGGAGGCCAGGAGTGGAGATCGCTGGCTTTCCCACCGTGGGGTCTCAGCGAGGAGCAAGTGGGAAGGCGTGAATGTTGCGAGAGAGACCCTCAATGAGCAGAGGTGCTGATTCGAAATTCACTCGTTGGTGTCTGCCGAATCCCACGCAGGAGGCTGCAGAAGCCTGTGCCAGCCCAGGAACTTGTGGTTCACAATGTGATCAATAGTACAAAACAATGCTCCAGGCCTGTTTAGCTCATTAGCCTTGAACAGAGAAAAACAGGTGGCTGAATATGAGGCGTGTGTGATAGACACTGGTGCCCCAGCCAGGGAGGGTAGGTCTCAGGACAGAGGCCTGCACAGCCTGCTTCGGGCCAGCATTGCCGACGGTGGGCGGACTCACCCTAGGCTTCATCAATCACGACCCCGTGGAACGTGGTCAGACAGGCGTGAAGTGAGATCCCCTTGTCCCTGAGGGGAGCAGCTCAGCATCTGGGTGAGAGGCCATCGCAGTGCAGACAGGCTGCAGAGGAGGCAGACACCAGCGGCTCTGTGGGGATGGTGGCCCCGGCAGGCAGGTGTTCACGGCTCAGGCCTCGGGGGTGCTGGCTGGGCCGGATTTATGCAAGGGCCTGGGCAGCATCATTTCTGGAACTTTTGTTTTTTCTAATCTGGATGGTGGTTTAGTTTCAGGCTCTGTTATATAAGGTTGTTTTTTCTTTCTTTCTTTCTTTTTTTTTTTTTTTTAAATTGATGATTTGCTTTCTTTAACACACTTATTTCCAGGGGCAAAAATTCAAAAAAAAGTTTTAAGTTGAAGAACATATTGAAACCTATAATAGAAATATATTTAATAATATATATTAAGAACAATGAAATCATAAAACATAGTTTTAATCCTTTTATGCAGGAAGAGGCCTCGGGAGTTGAGCCAGCCCTGGAATTTGCTGGTGAGCGACACGGCGGCCACAGTGCAGGGCAAGGGGCGTGGGTCAGAGGCAGGGGTCTGGGCTCAGGTCCCATCAGGACGCTGTCCACAGTACGATGGTGCACGTGTGGTCTGGCACAGCCACAACACTGACCTCTTACTGTTGTTGTGGAAATTAGTTGAATACACACACACATAGGCACACACGTACATGCACACATATACATGTGTGCACACGTGCATGTATGCACACACACACATGCACACACGCACACACACAAGCTCCTGGCATATGTGGACATGTGAAGCTCAGGGTGAAGCTGTGGTTCCGCCTCGCCTTTAGTACTTTGATGAGGCTGCCTCTGACAGGAGTTTGCACAGAGCTGTCCATAACGGGAGGGTGGCTTGGGAGCACGTTGAATGGTGGGGGTCTCAGAAGAGACATCCTCTCGAGGCCTGGGGACTCTGGCTGGGTTGGTTTCTGCCAATGGGGGTGATGCTGGGGCGGATCCGTCTCTAGCAAACGGAGTCCCCACAGGATGGCCTGATTCATAAGAATCATCTGTGGCTTTGCCAAGATAAAAAAGCCCTGGTGTGCAGTTGCGTGTTTCCTCCCTGGTGTTCTCTACGGTGCTAACCACTTTCCTCCCATTGGCATGTTGACTCGTTCCACCAATTTTCTGGGTGTTGTGGAAAACGCGGGGGATTTCTGGATAAACGTGGTGCAATTCGTAGCTTTGGGACTTGGGCCTTGCTGTGCGAAGCAGCTCTGTGGGCGGGAATTTCGACATCCGTGTGCAGGCGGGAAATCAAACTCAGGGAGTTGAGGCCTCTCTCCAGGCAGCCAGGGTGGAACTTCCGGGGCTTGAAGGATTGGTGCTTCTGTTCTGCGACCACATTCGGTCACTCTTTCTTTTGGATGATCAGATGTGTAATTGCCTGAGTTTTGTGCCCCTGGAATGATAGCAGTGAAGGTAAAACTCTAGTTCCGGCCTTCACCTGCTGCAGAATTTTGTGAGACTGGCACCATGGACACTCTCAGTTCTGACTTCAAAGGTCTCTGTAAACAGCTGCATAGAAACTTGGAAGTCATCGTCCTCCTACAGCAGGATTTTCCTGCCCAAACAGCCATTCATGCCCCTCTTTCTCATTTCTTCTCCCCTTCCACCTCTAACCCACCCACCCATGCTGAGTAGCAGGAACAGAACAGGACCTCCTGGGTGGTCCGTGAGACACACAGTGAAATGCTGCTGGTTACTGTTCCCACAGCGATGCCGTGGGCAGGAGTGCCACCGACCAGGAAATTAGGCCTTCTAAGTTCTGGGGTGAGGAGGGGCGTGCCACTCCTGTCACTGCTGGGCAAACAAAAATGCTTCATTCGGGGAGCCCCCTGGTTATCCTAGGAAGGCACCAGAGATCAGGGAGATGCTGGATGCAGTATGACTTTCAATAAAAATAAAAATAGCCAAAATCGTATTTATGACTTCATTGGTATAAAGAGAAACATTCATATGATACATTAAAATACTTTCTCCAACCTAATAATCTTTTTTAGTCTTCTGAGTTAACAAATACCGTGACCCTAAGCCCTGGACCTCCTGTGCTGGATGATGAGTCAGCCCTGGCTGGTCTGGATCCTGGGGAAACAGTCTGAATAAATCGAAATGGACAAGTGGCTTTTAATAACTTACCCGTTTCCCATAATAAAAATAACAGTGTCCATAACAAAAGAGTAATGTTGATGTATCAAGGAATAAATTACCTTGTCTGCCAATAGGACTTACGGTGCTTTGCCATGATGTTTTTCCCAAGTTTAAAATAGAAATGGTTGGTGGTGAGTTGTATGATGCCATCTGACATTCATCAACACTGAATGGCTTCTCTATTTTCCTGACCCCAACATGTATCCCAGTGAGAGAAACAGACTGCCCTGATTATCCACTGAATTCCAAAAAGTGATCATCCGAGGCTCACCTGGTGTTTTCAGTGAGAAGTTTCTTTGGAAGAAGGCTTGTGTGTGGTTTCTCACTCTGTGTGTGCCGCAGAGGTCTGGATCCAAGTGCCAGGAAGCCTAGGTCATTTGTCATGGGCTAGTGACCTTTGGCAAGCCCTTCACCCCCTGGCCCTGGTATCTTAGGAATCTGTAAAATGTACTATGTTCATGGCTCTGATACTGCAGTGGGTCTTGTCAGAAGTAAAAGTGACCATGTGAGATAACACACAAGCATCTGCTTTGTAAAGAATAGAGCATGTCTGATGCTATCATGAGATGATAATTTAGTAGCCACTTAGTAGGTAACTTGTCTGGACCTTTGAATACCAGGCTGGTTCACAGAAATATAGGAATGAAAGTCCATTGGAATAGTTCTGCACACAACTAAATGGTAGGCAAGCTAACAGTGTAATCGAAAGGGAAAGTGTGTTCCCTCCTGGGCCTGCACTTCATGGCTTTACCCTGAGTTCAGGTGGGGAGCATTAGAAGCAAATCTACATCCCCTATACTGAGAAAAACAACAACCCCATGGCGAGAGAGGGAAGGTGCTCAGCAAACTTCAGTTTGCTGACAGTCTGGTGTTTGTACTGGACCAGCTACTCTGGCTCACATCAGAAACCCATGACTTCCCTCAGCACAATGAGAAGACCCAAGGAGATTTGTCACTTAGTGCAATGTCAGAGCTTGACTGATGGGACACACTTAGACTTTAATGCCTATGGCACCTTTTGCAGTTGTGGGTGTGAGGGAGGATGGAAGGAGAGAAGAATTCTTTGAGGGATTGGGTTTAATGATGTAAGAAAGCATTTTAATGATGAGAAGGCTGCTTTCAGAACTCAAAGAACTATCTGAGCCCATTGAAAACTCCAGCCCACTCTGGCAACAGCCTTTCTGTCACACCTAAGGGGTGGAAAAAGGAAAAAAAAGGCTAAGAAGCACTTGTGAAGGTCACAGTCCAGGAACATGGACTCACTAAAAGACTGAGACCTCATCTTAGGGTCACGGAAGGCTTCTCCTCCTGAGACCTTATGATGATATCAACTAGGCTTCTGTGTAATAACAGGAGATTACATTGAAAAGAACGGTGTGCCTCAGATCTTATCTAAGAAGGAGACTCTAGGGAAACCTACAGACAACCACAAAGGCAAAAACAAGGACACTAGAGAAAAATTTAGCCTCTGAAATTGCAGCTATATTAGAGTCATCACAGCCCAACTCCTTGACAAACAAACATAAAACTTCACACTGAAGGTAAGAAACTATTTATGTCAGGTTTATTTATCTGATGCATCATGTCCACTTTCAAGAAAAAAATACAAGGCATGCTAAAAGGCAAAAATCACAGTTTCAAGAGAAAAACCAGCCACCAGAACCAGACTCAGATATGGTAGAGATTTGGGAATTATCAGACTTGGAATTTAAAACATCTATGATAAATATTTGAACGACTCTAATGGATAAAGTAGACAGCATGCAAGAACAGTTGGGTAATGTAAGCAGAGATGGAAGCTCTAAGAAAGGAGCAAAAGGGATTACTAGAAATCAAATACTTTGTAACAGAAATGAAGAATGTCTTCATGGGCTCATCAGTAGACTATACAGTGGAGGAAAGAATCAGTGACTTTGAAGATATGTCACTAGAACCTTCCTAAAATGAAAAGCAAAAAGAAAAAAACATGAAAAACATAAAAAAAATCAAATAATTATGGGACAATTACAAAAGGTGTGTGGTTTAGTCCATCATCATGCTGCTATAAGGATATACCCAGGATTGGGCAATTTATAAAGGAAAGCAAGTTTAATTGACTCACAGTTCCTCAGGGCTGGGGAGGCCTCAGAAAACTTACAATCATGGTGAAAGGAGAAGCAAACATGTCCTTGTTCACATGGTGGCAGCAAGGAGAAGTGCAGAGTGAATTGGGGCAAAGCCCCTTATAAAACCATCAGATCTCGTGAGAACTCAATCACTATCATGAGAACAGCAGCATGGGGGTAACTGCCCCCGTGATTCTACTACTTCCCATTGGGTTTCTCCCATGACATGTGGAGATTATGGGAACTACAATTCAAGATGAGATTTGAGTGGGGACGCAGCCAAATCATATCAATGTTACATGTGCAAACTGGGGATATCAGCAGGGGAAAAAGAGAAACAGGAGAAATATTTGAAGTAATATTGGCTAAGAATTTTCCAGAATTAATGGTAGACATCAAACCACCAATCTAGGAAGCCTACAGAGAAGCCAGGGTAAACACTATATCAGACTTCTCTTTAGAAACATAGTTTCTAAATGCAAGCAAGAAGAGTGTGGATAACATATTTAAAGAGCTGAAAGAAAAACATACCAACCTCAGTTCTGTGTGCAGTGAAATTATCCTTCAAAAGTGAAGTAGAAATAGCTTCTTAGACAAACAGAAATTGAGGGAATTTGTCTCCAGTTGACCTACTTTGTAAGAAATGTTAAAAGAAGTTCTTCAGAGAGGAGGAAAATGATATAGGCTAGAAACTCAGATATAATAAGAAAGGAGGAGTCTTAAAGAGGAAATAAATGCAGGTAAAAATAAACCATTTGTTTTGTAAAAATTCTTAATTGACTTAACTGATAACAGTTTTGTCAAAATAATAATATCAATAATATATTGATTATAACTTATAGACAGTGAATTGAGTATCAGCAAAATAATAATTGAAGAGGGGAAGAATCAGGAGTGCTCTGTTGTAAGGCACCTACACTACTCATCAGGTAGCATAGAGTTATTTGAAAGCAGGGTTATATTAGTTGTAAATGTACACTGTAAACTTTAGGGCAATCTCTGAAAAAAATTTAAAAAGAAGTATAATTAATAGAAAAGTGAAATCATAAAACACTCAAAACAGAGAAGATGAAAAAACAACAAAGAACAGTGTAACAAAATAACAAACTGTTTCAAATACAGTAGATACTAATCAAATTTTATCAATAACCACCTTAAATGTGAATGGTTTAAATATACCAATTAAAAGACAGATACTGACTGAACTATACATTCAATACAAGACATTTACTTTAAATATAACAAAGATAGATTAAAAGTAAAGACACGGAGAAAGATATATCATGCCAACACTAATCAAAAGAAAGCTGGAG
Source organism: Homo sapiens (assembly GCF_000001405.40). Taxonomy (NCBI): domain Eukaryota; kingdom Metazoa; phylum Chordata; class Mammalia; order Primates; family Hominidae; genus Homo; species Homo sapiens. Next base: position 2,928,042 of record NC_000002.12, on the reverse strand, counting down.
TAACTACTTTAATTCCAACCAAAGTAGACCACAGAGCAAGAAACACTATCAGAGCTGAAGAGAGGCATTGTATAATGATAAAGAGGCAATTCTCCAAGAAGACATAACAATCTTTAGTGTGTATGCACCTAAAGACAGAGCATCAAAATACACGAGGGAAAAACTTATAGAACTGCAAGGAGAAATAAATAAATCCATTATCATAGTTGGAGACTTCAACACCCTTCTATTAGAAATGGACAGATCCAACAGGCAGAAAATCAGAAAGGAGATAGTTGAACTGAAACAGCTCCATCAATTGATATTGATAGAATGAAATTGATATTTATAGAATATTTCATCCAACAACAGCAGAGTATAAGTTCTTTTCAGGTTCACATGGAAGGTTCACCAAGATAGACCACATTCTGGGCCATAAGACATATCTTCACAAATTAAAAAAAAAATAGAAATTATATAAAGTGTGCTTTCAGACTTCAGTGAAATTAAACAAAACCAAATCAATAACAGCTAGATAGCTAGAACATCCCCAAATATTTGGAAATTTAAAAATGCACTTCTAAATAGCATATGAGGCAAAGAAGTCACAAAAGAAATTTAAAATATTTTGAACTAGATGAAAGTGAGAATACAATTTATCAAAATGAGTGGAATGCAGTGAAAACAGTGTGCAGAGGAAAATTTATACCATTGAACGTGCATATTAAAAAAAATAAAGATCTAAACTCAATAATCTAAGCTTTCACCTTATGAAATTAGAAAAAAGCAAACTAAAGTAAGCAGATGAAACAGGCATAATAAAAATTAGAGCAGAAATACATACGTCCTCACAAATACCATTGCGACTTCAAGTGAAACAACATATGATGAAAACATTTTTTTCCTCGTCAACTTTGTAACAAAATGATGTTGAATGAAATGGTATCAGTCCAGGATGCGAGGTACGTGACTTTGCTGAAAGTTGCAGTTTCTGAGAACTAACCAATGACATAAAATGAGAACTTCCTATAAAAGGAACTGAAAACAGGAGAATAATAGACAAAATCAACCAAACCAAATGCTAGTTCTTTGAAAAGCTAATGCAATTGGTGAAGCTATAGTCAGGCTAACTTAGAGAGAGAGAGAGAGAGAGGATACAAATTACTAATATCAGAAATGAAGGCGAAGCCATCACTGCTGATCCCATGGACATTATAAGGGTAACAGAAGACTATTACAAGCAACTTTATGCCACAAACTTGATAACCTAGATGAATGGATCAGCTACTTAAATGGCACAATCTGCCAAACTCACACCAGAAGAAATAGGCAATCTGAATAGGTCTACTAAATAAATTGAATCAATAATTAATAACCTTTCAAAACAGAAAGTACTAGTCCCAGATGGGTTCACTTGTGAGTTCTACCAAATATTTGAGTAAGAAATCCCAATTCTTTACAATATTGAAGCAGAGAGAGGACTTCATAACCCATTATATGAGTCAAGCGTTACTCTAGTATCTAAACCAGACACAGTCATTACAAAAAAGGAAAGCTAACTCATATCTCTCATGAACATAGATGCAAAAAATCCCCAACAAAATATCAGCATATTTAGTCTAACAATGTATACAAAATTATATATCATGACCAAGTGGGATTTGTTTCAGGTATGCAAGGCTGATTCAACATTCAAAAATTAATGAATGTAATACATCACATCAACAGGCTAAAGAGGAAAAATCATATGATCATATCAACAGATGTAAAAACATCATTTGACCAAACTAGGAATAGAAGATGCACTCATTTTCTAGGGCTGCTCTAACAGTGCCACAGACTGTGTGGCTTGAACCACAGAAATTAATTTTCCTACAATTCTGAAGTTCAGAAGTCTGAGATGAAGATGTTGATAGGGCTGATATTTTCTGAGGCCTCGCTCCCTGGCTTGATGGCAGATGACTGGGCCATCTTCTTCCTGTGTCTTCACACGGGCTTCCCTCTGTACATGTCTGTGTCCAAATTTATTCTCCTTATATTGGATTAGGGCCCACCATAGTGACCTCACTTTAACTTAATTACCTTTTAAAAGAGCCTATCACCAAATATAGTCACATTCTAAAGTACTGGATATTAGGACTTCAACATATGAATCTTAAGAGATGACATAATTCAGTCCATAACAGAAGGAAACTTCCTCGACCTAAAAGAACAAAAGAACATCTATAAAAACCAACCGACAAAATCAACTACAACTGCTCTGATGAAAGAGATCAAAGAATAGCTAAATAAATAAAATGGATATTAATGTACAAAACGACTAAACGTTGTTAAAATGTCAGTTTCCCCAGCATGGTCCATGGATTCGATGCAATCCCAATCACTTTGTTGAAATCAACAAATTGGTTTTAAATTTTATTTATTTCTTTAGAGATAAGGTCTTGCTCTGTTGCCCAGGCTGGAGTGCAGTGGCATGATTGTAGCTCATTGTAACCTTGAACTCCTGGGCCCAAGCAATCCTCCTGCCTCAGCCTCTCCAGTAGGTGGGACTACAGGCACATGCTACCATGCCCAGATAATTATTATCTTTTTTTTGTAGAGATAGGATCTTGCTATGCTGCCCAGGCTAGTCTGGAACTCCTGGCCTCAAGCAATCTCCCTACCTTGGCTGCCCAGAGTGCTGGGAATTATAGGCATAAGCCACCGTAAAAACCTTCCATACAGATTTTAAAAACTTGCCCTGGTTTTAAAATTTGTATGGAAAGGCAAAAGATCCAGAATAGCCAATACAATATTAAAGAAGTATAAAGGTAGAAGACTGACACTACCTGACTTTAAACTTACTATGAAGCGAAGCAATTCAGAGCATGCGGTGTTGCAAATGAATGGACAAATATATCAATGGAACAGAACAGACAGCCCAGAAAGAGACCCACACACATATAGAGTCAACAAAGCAGAAAAGGCAATTCAATGGTGAAATTACAGTTTTGTCAACAAATGGTGCTGGAAAAATGGACATCTTCATGCAAGAAAACAAACAAAAACAAATAAATGAATCTAGACAGAGAACTTGTAGCCCTCACAACAATTAAGTCATGAGGGATCACAGACCTACATGTAAAATGCAAAACTAAAATAATTTCTAGAAAATAAAATAGAAGAAAATTTAGGTGAAATTAGGTTTGATGATGAGTTTTAGATATAATACCTAAAGCATCATCCATTAAAGAAAAACTGATGTTAGACTTTGTGAAAATTAAAACTTCTGCTCCATGAAAGACATTGTTAAGAGAATGAAAAGACGAGCCACAGACCAGGAGACAATATTTGCAAAAGTCATATTTCTAATGTCTTTTTGGACTTACATTCAAAATATACAAAAAACCCCCCTCAGCAATAAGAAAACAAACAACCTAATTAAAAATTTGGCAAAAAATCTGAACACGCACCTGATCAAAGATTTACAGATGGCAAATATGCATATGAAAGATAATAAACATCATATGCCATTAGGGAATTGTAAATTTTAAAACAATATGACACCATTATACACCTATTAGAATGGCTAAAATCCAAAACGCTGACAGCACCAAGTGCTGACAAGGGTATGGAGCAGCGGAGACTCTCCTTCTTTGCTGGTGGGAGTGCAAAATGGTGCAGCCACTTTGGAAGACAGCTTGGCAGTTTCTTACCAAACCAAACATTCTCTTACTAGATGGTTGCTATTTACCAAATGCATTGAAAACTTACAGCCGCACAAAATCCTGTACACAGGCATTCAGAGCAGCTTTACTTATACTTACCAAAAATTAAAAGCAAAAATTGAGAGAAGACATGTCCTTTGATAGGTGAATTGATAAACAAACTGTAGCCCCTCAATACAATGTAATATGACTAAGCAATGAAAAGAAGTGAGCCAGCCGCCATGAAAAGACAAGGAGGTGCGTCTGACAACATCACTAAGTAAAGGCAGCCAGCGTGAAAGGGCTAGATGCTGTAGGATTCCAATGGTACAGCATTCCTGAAAAGGCACGACTGTGGAGATAGTGAAAAGCTCAGGGGTTCAGTGTGTAGGGGTAGTGTGTGGAAGGCGATTCTTAGGGCAGCAGAACTATTCTGTATGATTCTGTAATGGTGGATACATGACGTTGTGTATTTGTCAAAATCCATAGACTGTAGACAACGAGGAGTGAGCCCTAACTCAAGCTCTGGCTGTGGTTAGTATCATGTATCAATACTGGCTTATCAATTGTAAGGAACTTACCCCACTAATGGTAGATGCCAACAGTATGGGGGTGGGCGGTGGCGTGGGGAGAGAGTGCATAAGGAAACTATCAGTACTTTCAGCTAAATTCTTCTATTAACCAAAAACTGCTCTAAACAAATACAGTTTATTAACTTAAATGAAAACCTCTCTAGTTCTGCAACCCCAGAATAAAACTCTACGTATTTAGGTATGTTTTCTTCAAGTATTTTTCTAGGTGAATTTTGTTTTCTTTTTTTGGAGACAGAGTCTTGTCCTGTCGCCCAGGCTGGAGTGCAGTGATGCGATCTTGGCTCATTGCAACCTTTGCCTCCCAGGTTCAAGCGATTTCTCCTGTCTTAGTCTCCTGAGCAGTTGGGACTACAGGCACCCACCACTATGCCTGGCTAATTTTTGTATTTTTAGTAGAGACAGGGTTTCGCCATATTGGCCAGGCTGGTCTCAAACTCCTGACCTTGTGATCCGCCCACCTCGGCCTCCCAAAGTGCTGAGATTATATGTGTGAGCCACCGTGCCCGGTTGTAGATGATTTTTTTTAATGATTCAGTTGGACTTGGTATTGGATATGTTGACTCATAATCTAACATATTGCTTTCCAATAAATCTTATAATAAATGTTAAGTATTCTGCCATGTCACTAAATATTCTATTAAGACATGGTTATTAATGGCTACCTAATATTCTATTATATGAATGATTTTTATGGATTGAAGTTTAGAATGCTTTTATCATTAACATTCTTCTATATAAGTCCTTCTGTAGGTTTTCAATGATTTCCTTTAATAAGTTTTTATTATTTTATTATTAAAGTGGAATGACTAGATCAAAAAGGATCAACATTTTTAAGGCTTTTGATGCATGATGCATGGTGCAGTTTCACCTTTTTTTTTTTTTTTTTCTTTTTTTTGAGACTTAGTCTTGCTCTGTCGCCCAGGCTGCAATGCAGTGGTGTGATCTTGGCTCACTGCAAGCTCTGCCTCCTGGGTTCACGCCATTCTCCTGCCTCAGCCTCCAGAGTAGCTGGGACTACAGGTGCCTGCCACCACACCCGGCTAACTTTTTGTAGTTTTAGTAGAGACGGGGTTTCACCGTGTTGGCCAGGATGGTCTCGATCTCCTGACCTAGTGATCTGCCCACCTCGGCCTCCCAAAGTGCTGGGATTACAGGCGTGAGCCACCGCACCCGGCCTCATCTTCATTTTTACCAACTTACATCTTCTCCAGGTTGTGAAATTTTAAAGAGTAGAATGGGTAGAAGTGCTGGTTAAAATTCTTCAACAAAAACTCATTTCAGTCCAGCCAACGGTAGGTGAGCAGCTGCTATTTGCTGAGAATGCTGCTAAGTGCAGAGGACCTGAAAATGAGCAGGAGAAGGTCTGTGACCTTGCCTTGCCCAGCGCAGTGGGAGACCCATGTAGAATGGTGTGCCCTGCATCCCATGGGGCATGGGGAGGGCCAGCGAGGGAACTTGGCAGAGAGGAAGCTTCAGCTGGGCTTTGGAGGAAGGGCTTACGCTGGGAGGGTGTTCCAGGTGGTGGGAACAATGTGGGCAAAGGCGCGGTGTCAAATGCTGCACTGTGTGTGGCTCTGGAGGGTCAGCATGAGGCTGGAAGTGGCCTGTGGCCTGTGGGGCTGGGGACAGGGATTGGCTTTATATAGTGTATAAAAAAGTTTTAGGGTTTTGGGGGATTCATAAAATGTTTTAGTGGATAAATGACATGACCAAAGCTGTGAGGCTTTTTTTTAACCTTTTGTTTAGAAAATTTCAAACACATACAAAAGAATGGTAAATTGAACCCCCAAGCTCCTACAGCCGGCTTCAACAATCACTAACACATGGCTGACCCCACTATGTTTAGCCCCTTCCTACTTCCCTCCCCACCGGTCATTCTGCAGCAAACCCATCCTTGCCTGTTTTAGAACAACTCTCGGTCAGGTAAGGATACTGGCATAAAAAAGAAAAACAAAACCACACTACCATGGTCACACCTGACATGAGTAACAATAATTTCTCATCATTATCAGATATCTAGCTCAAGTTGGAAACTTAACCTGTGTCACAATTGGTTTGTTTGGATCAGGTACCAAAGAGGTGCAAACATCTGCTTCGATTCTTCTCCAGTTTGATCCGGACCTTCCTTCTCTGTCCCAGGGTCTCCCCATCTGGTAGGAGACTCAGCTCCCAGGTCTCTTGGTGGTGCTGGGTTGTCGTTGGAGCTGACGAGGCCAGGCACCCACCACCGGACGCCCTCACATGCCTGGCGCAGCACTTGGGCCAGTGTGGGCCGCTGTCCTTTGTGAGTCCTCATGTGGCCTCTGCTTTCCTGGCCACCACCTCCCAACACCAGGGGAAGGGCCGGCCTATGGCTCAGCATGCTTGGTCATCGTGTTGGGGTCTGTGGGGGTACCTTGTCACTACTTTTGTTGAAGATGCCGTCTGAGGGTTTCCAGTTTTGCTATGCAAGTTGCTCTGTTTTAATGAGAACTTACAGGAGTTTCAAAAATGGCACAATGACGAACACCTTGCCTCTGCCATTCAGATGTATGTTTCAGAGGAACTGTGAGCAATGTGTTGCGGGGACGTGAGAGACGCTGCTGGGAGCACTGTGGGGTGAGGTGGTGTGGCTGGTGCAACAGCATCCATGAGGGGATGCTGAGGCTACAGCTTGGGGTGGGAAGGCATGAACCCTAAAATACACAGGATGTAAACTCTCCAGACTTGGCGGTTACTTCAGTGCTTGATTTTGTCATTTGCTTGATGACATCTTCATTCAACAGATACTCACTGATCACCTTGCATCACCACATAGGAGTCAGACATTGGGAATAAAAGAGAAAATAAGATAGATTTTGTTCATTTTTATTTGTTGAATACAAATATGTGCTTTCCTGTGTTACAATCATGGTTGCTAATAGTACATTATAAGCTGGAGGACATTCTTAATATTTTTAAGAAACAGAGTTAAACACGATTACAGCGTCCTTCTCTGGAATCCCTTTTCTCCTTGGCTCACCTGACACGTATTAATGCTTTTCTTTTCCAGTCTGACCCTGTCATTGTTTGTTCATGATCACCTCCATTACAGGGAGCTCATTTTGCTTAAGTCCTTTAAAATGATTAATTGATGATGACCCTTGTATTAATATACCATATTTCTTGATTCTGAGATGCATATTTTTCACCTGTGAGTGTTTCTGAAAGCTGAATGCAGCTTGTAATTGATGGGTGCTTTTAACATAGTCTCTTTTTTTTCTGAAAAGCTGTTAATAAATAGATGGTGCATCTTATAATTTATGGCATCTGAGAGTCAAGGAAATAGGGTGCTCCTCTGTCATGTTGTGGAGTGGGCTGGCTTAGCCCTGACCGGCATACTGAATTCCATCTCTAAAATGTTGGTGAAGAACACTTGCGGCAAGAATCCTCACCAAAGCGCCAGCCAGCTCCTTCATTTTGTTGCTTTATTTACTGATTTTGGATTGCTTTCTGGGTTCTATTAAAAAATGATTTTTGCCTCATGATGCACTCCCGGTGCCAGATGAACATGCAGGGCGTGGCTGCCCCTGGCTCCTGTTGAGAGCAGGTTGGCTGCACCAGCCCATATTCAATCACCAATCGGCAAGCCCCATCTTACCTTACAAGTCTGGTGGATTTTGCATGTGCGTTTTTAGCATCAAGTTTACTACTGGAGGACTGTAGGAAAGATATCTATCTAGCTAACAACTTAAAAGCAAACCTCTAAAAATATGACATTTTTCCCTGAAAAAGGAACACTCTACTTGTAGATAAAAGAAAGATAATTGATTAAGCTTGTTATTTACAAAAGAAAAAAGTGCAATGAATTTTAAAGGGGGAAAGAGAGGTTTTTATATTTTTTTCCCTCTAAAGTGGATGGCTCTTTTTTCCTTAATGGAGATGGAAGCCATTATGAGAGACCCTAACAGGCTCCGGGTTTTAGTACAGGAGTGCTCATTCAGTCTCCCAGATCCTGTCGCCGATAAGCCCTGCTCTTACTGGGTGGGTGCAGGGCTGGCAGATGCTGCTCTCAGCCATGTGCTGCTTGCCTGCAGGGCCGGGTGTGTCCAGGCCACTCTGGGGCGTTTAATTCAGGGACTGAGGTTTTTGAAAAATAGATGCTTAGGGATCCAGCCTGGAAACGGCAGGATGGCAGCAGGAAGAATGATGACATCATTTCTCTCTACTTGTTCCCCTTTCCCCTTGGATTATGGTGGCCGGCTTACATGCATTTATTGTATTTCTGGAGTACTTGGAAACAAGATTTATTGTACTTTAAAGGGAAAATAATGAAATGCAAAATCCAACACATCAAAAGACAGTATGTTGCGGGATGCAGGGATGGATGTTGGGGGATGCAGGGATGGATGTTGGGGGATGCAGGGGTGGATGTCAGGGCTTCAGGGCTCCTCTGAAACCTCTTCTACCTGAGGATGCGTCTGTGAGGCCTGCACCTGCACCGACTGCCCACCCAGGTGCACATAGAGGGGCCTCAGCCAGCCCAGCAGCGGGCCTGAGTCTCTCACCGTGGGATGGTTCAGGGTGACAAATCTGCCCACAGTAGCACCCAATCCACCTTCCTCTCATCTTCTGCACTGAATTTCTTTGAATTATTGCCATTGTCTCTGCCCCACTCCCCATCTACTGACACAGCCGTCAGATTAATTGCCTTAATGGCTCTGTTTATGTGATCTTTTTGCTCAGAGATCTTCAATGGCTCTGTATTGCCCATTGAGTTAAGCAAAATCTTCCTCCTTGGGCATTACAGACCCTCCCAAGTGGGGCCCCATGGAAACCTGAGGCTACATCTCCCACAACTCCCCATGTTGACTCATCTTGGTATCCCTAACACCTATCCTGTGCCTGGTAGCAAATTGATGTTTATCGAAAGAGAAGGAGAACATGTCGAAACTATTTAATGATTAACACGCCCTCTGCATTATAGACGGAGAGCAATTTTTGTTTGTTCATGCATTGTCTTCCTTGGTATGTTGCGTTATCAGCTCTCCTTAAAATCCTGCTGATGACATCTCTTTCATTTGGATATTGCTGGCTTGTGGCTTCTGACTTGACACAGAATAAGAGCTCAATGAAAACACGTGGCTCTAACCACTGAACCTGCCCATGCTTTCCCGCTGGAGCTTATTCCTTTCACATCTGTGGCTTTGCTCATGTTGTTCTCAATCCCCTCTTGACTGTCTGAGCTCTGAAATCTCAGCCCTCCTTCAGGGTGCCTTTTACATATGCTTCTTTATAACTGTATATGCTGTGGGTAGTAAAGCAGGAACCTTCTTTCCTTGGCCTTTCTCTAGGTCTTCATTGGCACCTACTCACCTTCATCAAACATGGCGCCATCCTAGCATCACAAGAAGGCACCAGCCCTAGAGGCCGTGGACATCATTTCCAAACAAAGCCAGACTGAATGGTGGACAGCATCCACCTGCTCACCTTAATTTATCAGTGAGAAAATTGGGGTCCTGAGATAGGACGTGAATTGTCCAAAGTTCCGTAACTCAGGTCTCTGAACTCCCACTCTTGGGCTTACCGTTAGAAGAAAGGTGAGTTTGTGTGCAGTGGTGGTGGTTTCTGATACTGACCAGTAAGAGATGACGTCTTTCAAAATATTATCCTTATTCCTGTAACACGGAGTAAAATAAATACTCAATTGTACAAACATAAAACCTAGGTCTCAGAATATCAAGGAACAATTCTACCTAACAATTACTTAACAGTGTAATCTTGATAGATTTATCTTAATAGTATAGCTAATAATCAAATATTTTAAGATATGCCTTCTCTTTATGAAACAGGATAAAGCATTGCCTTTTATTTATAAATCAGGTAGGTCATTAAGGTGAAGAAATCTATGAGTATGTGTGTAAATGTCAGGAAGCATATTCCAAAATTCATGAAAAATTACGTGTACCTGCCCTGCACACCTAGTTAACTATATATACTCTGATCACAACCAAACACCTAGTTTACTGGATCAGCCACGCGTTGGGGGAGTCTCACACAGGGATGCTTCGGGTGTTCCCTGGACTGGTGTGTGTGACATTATAGCTTCCAGGTGAACTATGAGAGCATATAATATTAGATGAAAAGAAAATAAAAGCCTTTAACACTGTTGACCAGACTTGGGGCAAGAACACAAGATCAACTCAGTAGAAAAGGCTTTGAAACTGGGCATGGTGGCTCACACCTATAATCCCAGCACTTTGGGAGCCTGAGGCAGAATGATGGCTTGAGCCTAGGAGTTCGAGACCAGCCTGTACAACATGGCAAGACCCCATCTCCACAAAAAATACAAAAATTAGCTGGGTGTGGTGGTGTTCACCTGTAGTCCCAGCTACTCAGGAGGCTGAGGTGGGAGAATCACTTGAGCCCTGGAAGGTCGAGGCTGCAGTGAGCTGTGATCACACCACTGTACTCTAGCCTGGATGAAAGAGCAAGACCCTGTCTCAAAAAATAAAAGAGAAAAGAAAAAGGCTTTGAAGCTAGAACTTCCCGAATGTAGACCTGAGACAAAGCCCAAGGTGGGGCTTAGGTAAGCGTGATCACAAGTCCTCAGGAAGGCCAACTTTGAGACCCAGGTCAGAACATGACATAAACATTTACACTTAGTTGAATACAGGAATGTGAGTGAACTAGAGTTCCTGTTTACAAAAATAAATGAACAGTGTTGCTGTGTTTTTTATTTTTGTTTTCTCCCATCAGCTTCTCCATTGGATAAGCAAAAAAACAAGTCATTGAAATAAAAATGACCTTGACTTCACTTGTTTCAGGGACAAAAAAGACAGGGCACCTGAAGTTTTGGATGTTTGAAAAATGTGCTAAAGAAGGCTTAATCCCTGGAAGCCGTGAGAAGATCTGTTTTCCAGGTGTTGCCCCAGGGGATAATGACACTCCTCACTGGCCCACTCTGGCTGGGCCAGCACCCATCCTTTCTCCATGACCTTGCATGCGTCCTTCCAACAGAACAGGGTCTATTGAGAGGTAGACCTCTTGAGTCCGGGGTCTGCGTCTACTGTGTCATTATTCAGGGCTGATGCATGCCAGGTGAACAATAAATACAGATGCTTCTCTCATTAACGCTTCTCTATCATTTAATATCTTCCTTACATCTATTCTGAATCTCAAATTCCCTTGTCTAGTTGCCTTGGCAAGTCATCAGATAAAATATGTAAATGCTTGTTATTAACACCTCATCAGATATATGATTTGCAAATATTTTCTCCCAGTCCACAGGCTACCTTTTCATTATGCTGTGCAAAACCTTTTAATCTGATGTTGTCTCATTTTTTTATTTTTGCTTTGGTTGCCTGAGCTTTTGGTGTAATATCCAAAAAATTTATATCGAGGACTTTTTCCCCTATGTTTTCTTTTAGGAATTTTACAGTTTCACTTCTTAAATTCAGGACTTTAATCCATTTTGAAGTTAATTCTATATGGTATAGGCTAATAATCCAGTTTTAGTCTTTTACATGTGGATATTTAGTTTTCCTAACATAATTTATTGAAGAGACTATCTTTCTCCATTCTGTATTTTGGTGGTCTTGCTTAAAATTGGCTGACCATATGTTTTTGGGTTTATTTCTGGGATCTCTGTTCTATTCCGTTGGTCTGTGTGTCTATTTTTATGCCAGTACCATACAGTTTTGATTACTATAGCTTTGCAATATAACTTGAAATCACAAGAAACTCACATAACTCAATATAAAAACAAACAAACAAATATAACCCAATTTTAACAAATGAAAAAAGGACCTAAATATACATTTTTCCAAAGAAGACATATAAATAAATGGCCAGTAGATATATGAAAATGTGTTTAACATCACTAATGATCAGGGAAATGCAAGTCAAAATCACAATGACATATCACTTCATACCTGTTAGATGGCTATTACCAAAAAGTCCAAAGATAACAGTGTGGATGAGGATGTAGAGAAAAGGGAACACTTGTGCACTGTTGCTGGGAATGTAAATTGGTAGAGCTCTTATGGGAACTAGTATGGGGGTTCTTTAAAAAATTAAAAATAGAATTACTGTGTGATCCAGCCATCTGTTTGTTGGATGTATAACTACAGGAAATGCTTTAAGCACCTCATAGAGATATTTGCACTCTCATGTTCATTTAATCATTATTTGCAATAGCCACTATATGAAAACTATCCAAATGTCCATCAAAGGATGAACAGTTACAGCAATTGTAGTATTTCTGCCATTTGCTACAACATGGATGAAACTGGAAGACACTATGCTAAGTAAAATAAGCTTGACACAGAAAGGCTAATACTGCATGATCTCACTTATATGCCAAACTGAAAAAATATAAGTGGAATGCATAGAAGCAGAGGGTAGAATGGTAGTTGCCAGGAGCAGGGAGGGGTGGAAATGGGGAGAGTAGGTGAAAGGTGTGAATTTACAGTTATGCAGCATAAGTAAGTCTAGAGAGTTGTTGCACTGCATGAGGACTATGGCCAATAAGATTGAATAGTACTCTAAAAACTTGCTGAGAAAGTAGATTTTAGGTGCTCTCACCAGACACATACACAGAAAGTAACTATGGAAGGTGATGGATACATAAATTTGTTTGACTGTAGTAATCATTTTACTAAATGTGTGTATATCAAAACATCATGTATACCTTAAACATGTGCAATAAAAATGTATTTAAAAACACTTATTGAGCACCCTTTGTGTGTATAGCACTGAGCTGGGTCCTAGAAAACAACAATATACAGTTTAAGACACATTCCGTGTCCTCAAGAAGCTAAAATTTCATAGGGGAGATAAAATTAGACATATCTAAAGCTAATATAAATTGGGATGCTGCTCAACACATGATTTAATACCAAATTAATGACTCAGCTCTGATTACACGGCTCCTCTCTTATTACATGTTGTTTAATTGCTCATTTGCTTGTATCCTGCTCTATCTGCTGTACTGTAGGCTCTGAGAGACAGAAACTATGTCTGTTTTTAAATTCTGACTTCCAGCAGCTACTCCCAGTTCCAGACACTTGGGGAAGTGGGAATTAGGAAGCATTTATTGAATGAAGGAAGGAAGCAATTAGTTCAGGGTAGGGTGCTTGCAAAAGAGCACCAAAAAAAATAGATGAGGGGGAGTTGAAGCTGGCTCTTGAAAGCAGTGAAACTGTGGACGAATATATGGCCTGCCCATGTCAGTTAACTGGCAGTGAATGGGGTGCCATCTGTCTTCATGAGATGGAAAGAAGACTGGTCGGTCAACCGCAGACTGGACCTGAGTGTAAACCAGTGAGGACAAGAAGCTGCCCCCAGGCAGGGAGCCGTAGCAGCCTCAGCCTCCTTGAGAAAGCTCAGCGCCACATCCTAACCACTAGAGTGCCAGGGATGCTAGGAGGCTCATGTTTGAGATGTGCACTGGTGACTGGCATGCGTTGCCGAGAAAGTGCAGAGGACAGAATAAACATTTCCTCAATTAATTAATAGTGTGAAAGTTGAATGAAAATTAACCTAAAGGGTAATGTGTGTTTATCGCCTAGTTGGTGGGAATCTTGCCCGCCATCAATAATTGCATGTTGGAGTTTTGTGGTGTTGCATGGGGAGTGAATTCGGAAGCTAGAAACTGCTCCCAGGCCCTGCCATGAGCCCAGAAATGCTTCCCATCATTTTGTCTGCGACGCTTCTCTTTCATGACACTGTGCCTCTCCTGCAACTGGAATCAGTGCTTGGCGTTTTATTTACTCCTGATGCATGCCTTTTATTTTGCCTTAAAGATTCTCCAATTACTCTTCAAAACCCACCTCTTAGTGACCCTGCTCCCATGCCTCCAGGCCTTGATTTCCCCTTGGTTTCTTGTCCTTACCCCGGTGCAGTGCTCAGCCCCATTGCAGGCTCCTGCTGAGCTGTGGGGCTCACCAGCGCCCACACCTGTGCCCGTGCAGGGCTGCTTTTTCAGACGGGCCCCCTGCACCCCACCTGCACTTTTGTTGCCTGGCTGGCCCAGGTACCAATCTCCACAACCCCTCCCTGACCGCTGCCAGCTCCTGCCTCCCTTTGCCTGGGCCGGGGGCAGTCCTTCTCTCGCCAGGTCCCCACAGCACTCAGAACGTCTGCTTTATAGCATGGCGGGTAGGTGGTTGTTTCTTCTCAGCTATGTCATCATGGCCAATGACCGAGCTCTATGTTGATATCCTAGTTGAGGGAAAAAATTCAATGATCAAATACATGCATTGGCTTTCTGTTTATCACTCTCTTTATAAATTTAAGCATGTATTTTTAAGTCCTATACCTCATTTATAATTTCCATCGTCTTAATTAATAACTTTCTAGTACAAAAGAGTAGAACACATGGCATTCCAATGCATTACAAAGGATTTGTATACTTTAATTTGCTGAGGACAATAGCAAAGAAAAATCACTTGATTTTATAAATACATAATTAAAATATAATTTTATGTTTCTTCTCTTTAAGAATATCAATTTAAATTTGGTTATAATAAAATTACTAAGCCTGAATCATTTGTGGATATGTGAAGTATAATGACAGGTAAAAATGTTAGTTAGGATATTGTATTTCAGAATTTGCTTATTTGCAAATGTTTCTTCTGTCTCGGTCAACACTAGAGAAAGATATTTATTCTGTGACAGCAGACGTGTAGAGGTGCAGGCAAATACAAAAAACAGGAGGATGTCATGGGTTTGAGGCCTGAGCCGTGTGGCCGGCAGTCCTGCTGTGAGTACAGGCTCCACCTGCCAGTGCTCTAGACTTAGGACTTAGGGGAGCCGCATAACTGGCTGCACCTTGGCTCCATGTCTGCACAATGGAGGCAGGAATGACAGCAGCCACGGAGCTTTCTTCCCACAACATGGGGCTTCTAGACACTAGGGCAGCATCAGGGAGGGGTCCCTCCTGGTGAGAGGAGCATGGACACGAACTCCAACAGCATGAAGGGCTGTGGCCACCGCCTGGGGGACAAGCACTGTGCAAACCTCCATATGGGGCACCTCGCGTCCGTCATTATCTAACCACAGCACAGTGCGATGTTCTGGTCTGTAAAAATGGAAATGCAATGTATTTTTAGAAGTTTTCCCATTTTAGAGTCATCCAGTAATGGGATGGTGAAATGTTTTTTGTTTCGTTTTATTTTTGTTTTTGTTTTGTTTTGTTTTGAGACAGTCTTGCTCTGTCACCCAGGCTGGAGTGTAGTGGTGCGATCTTGGCTCACTGCAACCCCCACCTCCCTGGTGAAATGCATTTTAATCATATTTACATCCACAACATTGATTTTTTTTAAGTGCAGCGGAATGGTGCATGCCCTATGATGCCAGCAAGACAAGGCCTGACCCTCTGACTCTAGGAATGCATAACAGCCTGCCTTGTGGACTCAGAAAGCTCATCACTGGGGCTAATTTGAAAGAAAAGAGCAGAAGAGCTGATGTTTCAACTGTCCAGAGGAACATACAAAAATTGAGACCTCTGTGAAGAATTGGAATTTTTGACCTGAAGAAAAATAACTTTCCACTCCCATGCTGCCTGCCTCATACTAGACACGCTCCCCTGAAACGTGTCTGCTGGTCATTGTGCAGCCCGTTATACACAAGCCGATTGCAAGAACGGATGAGAATTAAACTTCTTCGTAGAGAGTCAATACATCCGACACTCTTGCACTGCACTGCGTCTCGCCAGGTGAAGGGTGAGGATGAATTTGTTCTGTGCAGTTTTCTTCATTGAACACTGAGGGCTCCTAGCACCGGCGGGGTGAGGAATGTGCTCCTTCCTCCTGGGGAGGCCAGTAGCTCCATACAGGAGCGGCTGTAGCTGAGGGGCAAAAAGCCTCCAGGCCGTCCCCAGGAAGGGCAGCTTTTGAACTCTCTGGCCTTGGAAATCCCTTGAGTTTCATGACCTTCAAGCTGAGCACGAGGCCAGGGACATCTGGGGATTTGCGCTTCACCCGCAAATGCCACGGTTTAATTTTTCATGATCACTCCTAAAAGGGGAGTTTGAAGATTTAATGAGGACATTTGGTTGGAGAAAGGCCCTGGAAACACCAGGCTTTTCCTTGGTGGTTTTTTGTTTTGTTTTAGACAGAGTCTCGCTCTGTCACCCAGGCTGGAGTGCAGTGGCGTGATCTCAGCTCACTGCAACATCCACCTCCCAGGTTCAAGTGATTCTCCTGCCTCAGCCTCCTGAGTAGCTGGGACTACAGGCACTTGCCACCACGTGCAGCTAATTTTTGTATTTTTAGTAGAGACGGGGTTTCACCATGTTGGCCATGATGGTCTCAATCTCTTGACCTCATGATCCGCCCGCCTTGGTCTCCCAAAGTGCTGTGATTACTTGATGTTTTATTTAAAAGTGCTACTTGGTGCAGACAGGGCTACTGAGATCTTTGTCTTGGTACTGAGCATGGTTCCTCTCAGGACATTCAGGGTAAGGATAGTTAGGCGCAGCCCTGCTACACGGGCATGGCTGGTTTGGATGAAGGCCTACCATTCTGCTTCATAGAAACAGATGATTTGCTCTTGATAATGATAAGTACAGAGGCCTTAACGCGTTAGGCAGTGTCTGAGGTTTACACTAATTACATCATCAGCACTGCCATTGTAGGCCCACATCTCGAATCAAATGCTGGAGGCAGCACGGCTTAGCAAAGCGATCCTGGACTTTGACTTCCCCCAGACAAGGTGGTGAGAGTTTCTCAGCTCAGTCACTTTATAGCTGTGCAATCTTATATGACTTATTTAATTCTCAGAGACTTGTTTTTCTCATCTGTAAAACTGGAATATTTATCCTGTTAGATTATAAATGACTGACGTACTGCTATGGTTTGGATATGATTTGTCCCTACCAAACTGCATGTTGAGGCTTGGTCCGAAATGGGGTGGGGTTGGGAGCTGATGCCTTCAGGAGGTGACTAGATGGTTAAGATGGATGCATCTCTTTTTCCCAAGTCTGGGTTAGCTCCTACGGGAGTGGATTAGTTTCCACGAGATCAGGTAGTTATAAAGCAAGACTGGCTGTCCTGGTTGGTTCCTTTTTGCACACATCTTCCCCTTCCTCTACTGTAACATGGAACAGGTGCTTCTTGGACTTCCCATCCTCCAAAACTGTGAGCCAAATACACTTATTTATAAATTACCCGGTCTCAGGTGTTCTGTTAGAGCAACACCAAATGGACTAAGACGCACAGCTGCACATAGGAAGGAGTCAATGAATGACAGCTATTAGCACCGTCTGATTAGAACCTGCAACGCTTCCATCTGCTCAGGACCACTTATTCAGCACTTAGATGGTTCCAGGCATGGGCTGGGTGCTCAGGGCAAAAAACAGCTGAGACAGCATTTTTAAACTCAACGTGCTTTCTCATATCAACCTGAAACCTTCATAGATATGAAGATTCAGGGCCACGAATTTTCAGCTTTTGCACCCTTTTAAACTTATACAAGATGGTGGTGTCCTTTATGCATAGTGAGTTCTTTTTCTTCCATTTAGTTCCTCAGGAGGCGGTGATTAAAGCTCAGCAGACAGGTATTTTTCATGATATTCTGATTCCCGCACAGGGATCGCATGGCATGAATGCTTCTTGCCCTGGTCGGTGCTGCCCTAGAATCCTTGTCTGAAGTGTGGTGCTCTGTGGTTGTTTTTCTGCCTCCCCCAGAGTTGAGGCTCCAGGCAACTGTAATGCAGAGATGAGACCAGCACGTTGGCTGCCAATCTGCCCACGACATATCTGCATGGATCCTCTCTGTCCACCCCAAGGCTGCCGCCGTGGTTCTGAGACTCAGCATGTCACCCCGTAAATCCTGTAAAAGTCCTGATGGCAGCCTCCTCCAAGCCATCCTGATTGCGCTATGGGGATGAATCTTATCACAGGCTCGGTCATTTATCACTCCTGCCCAAACTTTCAGTGGACAGCGGTGGTGCTGCCCCCACTGGGCTGGCCTCATTCCTCTCTCAAGGGCACTGTGCTCTCTGCTCCCTCTAACCACACACAGATGGACCTCATGTACACCTTGTCTATGTCTCCTCAGCCTTGGCTCAGTGTGGCCCCACTTCCTCCAGCACCCCCTGAGCTCTGCCCCAAATGATGGCTTCAAAATCAGCCGTCCTTCAAGACCACATCCCGGAGGCTCTCCTCCATAAGGAGCCATTGAACCCTGCTCTGCACTCTGCACACCCAACACTATGGCCAGCCCCGCAGAGGCACCTCCTTCTTAGGGCCTGAGCGTCTCGAGAGGGAGGAACCTCCTCACCATCCCGCCTTTCCCTCCTCCTGCCCCTGTCTTGAAGTCTTTGGAGCACTGTGTCTCTCCCAAACAGAAGTGCTCAAGGAACGTGTGTTGAATTGTGTAGAAACAGACAGAGGGGTACAAGTCACACTTCATGTCTGCGGTCAGCTGTAGTAGACTGTTTCTGCCGGTGCCTGCTCTACCCCCGCCCTGCTGTGATTGCCTGTGCTGGGCTTTGGAAGGAGCTCCACCTGGAGCCCCGTGAGCCTTTTCATGAAGTGCAGGAGGACGCCACAGGCTGTGGTTTCCTCATGATGTTCTGCTACCCAGGGGCCGCCATACCTGTCATTCTTCGCTGTATCTGAGGGGCTGTAATTAGAGTCATAGCCAAAGAGCACTTGCCCTGCACAGCTCCTGGGAGAGGAGGACGGCGTTTCTGTCTGCAGAATTTTGACCGGTTTTGGGCATGGGGCAAACAATCTTTGCAATGGGTTTATGCATGCAAAAGAGTGGCCCTTTGGAAGTTTCTGGCACATACATATGTTCATTTCACTCTCCGCAACCTCAGTGATGCCGGGGAAGGGGTGACTTAGATGGAAAGAAGGACACAGATGATTCCTTAGCCTCATAAGTGTTTACTTCACTTTTATTATTATTATTATTACTTGAGATGGAGTCTCTCTCTGTTGCCTAGGCTGGAGTGCAGTGGCACGATCTTGGCTCACTGCAACCTCCACCTCCCGGGTTCAAGCAATTCTCCTGTCTCAGCCTCCCGAGTAGCTGGGATTACAGGCACCCACCACCATGGCTGGCAAATTTTTGTATTTTTAGCAGAGATGGGGTTTCACCATATTGCCCAGGCTAGTCTCAAACTCCTGACCTCAGGTGATCCGTGCCTCTTGGCCTCCCAAAGTGCTGGGATTGCAGGCGTGAGCCACTATGCCCAGGCTACTTCACTTTTAATTCTCAGTCTGTCCCCACCCTCAAATCTGTGGAGCTAATTATACAGGAACCAAGCTTAAATTAAGCCTCGTATATGGACTTGACTCAAGTTTTGGAAAGAAATGAAAGAAAAGAAAAAGATGCCCTGGACACAGATGTTCCCATCCGTGTTGCAGATGGAAATAGGTCGCAGGAAAAATAAGGCAATGGGTGGAACTTTGAGAAACATGGGCCAGAGTCGGCCGCCTGGAAGTCAGCTCCTGTCTCCTGACACATTGCGGGTGTTTTGCAAACAGCACTTAAGGCTGGGGGTCTGGAATTCTCCATGCTTCCTTCATATCTGTGGTCAACCAGGGAGATTTGAAACAGATATTGAAATCTGTTTTCTCCAGGAACACCCCCACCACAACCCCAAACCAACCTCCATATGAGGAAGGCAGAATACTGGGTGGAGGGAGCCAGGGGCACAGAGAGGCTGGTCCTGACAGCCTGGCATGTGTGAGCACAGGGATGCCTGGTTTCACAGAAGGAGCTCTGAAGCTCCCACACTGGGGCCTGGGATGCACTCCCAGCTCCTACAACCACCAAGGAGGGGCAGGTTAGCCACCTCGTTTCACTGACCCTTGGAGTGGACCCCTAGGGAGGTGGAGTAGCTTTCCAGAGGCCACAGCTGGTCAGGGGTGATGGTAGGATTCTTCCCGCTCTGCAGAGCCCTCCTATGATGAAAGTCAGTTGGATATAAATTTGGCTTTGGGGAAGGGGTTTCACTTCTCTGGCTGTATTTCCTGATCTGTAATGTGAGTGTTGCAGGAGCACGTGAGACATGGGGTCTCTCCCAGTTTGCTCAGGGAGTCTCAGGTGTGTGCCTTAGTGTTTGTTCCAATCTCAGAGCTGGCTTCTGTGCTATATCAGGAATAATTACCAAGACTGGTTGGCGGGGCCTGGCAGGTGCATCTCTGAAAGGCTCTACAAATGCATTGAGGGTTCAGCAAAAAGGCCTGAGATTCAGGTCAGATGTGATAAATAGAAGGGTGGTCTCCAAGTAGTTCTGCCTGTGATTTTGTGGGCTGATGCCCCCAGAAGCTCCTGCAGCAGGTGGGGTCATTCAGAGGGGCAAGAGGCTGGCTGCTTTGACAGCCTCTGGAAGGCTGTGTTTTCTTAGTTCTATGCGGAGAGTTCCCAGGGCATTGGCCTACATAGTTGGTCTGCATTTCACATGAATGTGCATTTTGGTTTTTAACTACATAATTTCTTTATGGAAACCAGTAATTAAAAATATTGTGCTACAAGTGACTCTGCATTGAACATACCTACATACTCAAATAAAACTCACACAACGGGCACTTTAGGGAACTCACTCATGGGGAAAATCACTTCCAACTAGTGCAGTGGTGGCTGGAAGAGGGGATGGAGGAAGGTGTAGGGTTGGCGGCTGTGGGCTGGGGAGAGGGGGTGGAGGAAGGTGTAGGGTGGGCGGCTGTGGGCTGGGGAGAGGGGGTGGAGGGAGGTGTAGGGTGGGTGGCTGTGGGCTGGGGAGAGGGGGTGGAGGAAGGTGTAGGGTGGGCGGCTGTGGGCTGGGGAGAGGGGGTGGAGGAAGGTGTAGGGTGGGCGGCTGTGGGCTGGGGAGAGGGGGTGGAGGAAGGTGTAGGGGTGAGTGGCTGTGGGCTGGGGAGAGGGGGTGGAGGGAGGTGTAGGGGTGAGTGGCTGTGGGCTGGGAAGAGGGGGTGGAGGGAGGTGTAGGGGTGAGTGGCTGTGGGCCGGGGGGAGGGGGTGGAGGGAGGTGTAGGGGTGGGAGGCTGTGGGCTGGGAAGAGGGGGTGGAGGGAGGTGTAGGGTGGGCGGCTGCGGGCTGGGAAGAGGGGGTGGAGGAAGGTGTAGGGGTGGGTGGCTGCGGGCTGGGGAGAGGGGGTGGAGGAAGGTGTAGGGGTGGTGGCTGTGGGCTGGGAAGAGGGGGTGGAGGGAGGTGTAGGGGTGGGTGGCTGTGGGCTGGGGAGAGGGGGTGGAGGAAGGTGTAGGGTGGGCGGCTGTGGGCTGAGTCTTAGGGACCGTTCAGATGGGGACGAGTGGGTGTGGGGAATGGGCACATATTCTGGCCAAAGGGGACAGAGGTGTACTGTCAGGAGGAGCAGGAATGGGGGTGTCCAGGCAGCAGTTGATATAATACTCACCTCCCATTGGGCCTTCAGAAGAGAATTCAGTCACACAAAATACATCTCATCCAGTATTCCTGGAACAAATCTGTTGCAGAGAGTTAGCTCAGCTGTGTTATCCTGTATCTTGTGTTGTGCTTTTCTCACTCAGAACGAGGCTTCGCACTTGCCCGGGAAGATGGGTGCCTGAAGTCGGGGTGCTTTGCTTCTGGTGGAACTCTCACCACGCAGTGGTGATGCAGCAGATCTAAAACGATAGGATTCATAATTCTGCACTCAATCAGACACTGCCTTCTACCACCTTTTAGCATGGAAACTGGTAGAGGGCTCTAAAATTTAAGACAATTCACAGGATAGAAAACGAAAATTAAGCATGTTCCATTTATTATATGATGTAGTATCAACTAGATAAAAGTTAACATTATAAGGTTTAAGATAAGGCCTCAATACAGAAGTGAGATTATATTAAGTCCACTTTATTAATCATCTGCTACCTTCCAGGAACCCTGCTAGGTATTTTACTTCTTTTTTTTTTTTTTTCTTTTTGAGACAGTTTCGCTCTTGTTGCCTAGGCTGGAGTGCAGTGGCGCGATCTCCGCTCACTGCAACTTCCGCCTCCCAAGTTCAAGCGATTCTCCTGCCTCAGTCCCTGAGTAGCTGCGATTACAGGCGCCCGCCACCACGCCTGGCTAATTCTGTATTTTTACTAGAGATGGGGTTTCTCCATGTTGGTCAGGCTGGTCTCGAACTCCTGACCTCAGGTGATCCGCCCACCTCAGCCTCCAGGAAGTGCTGGGATTACAGGCGTGAGCCACTGCACCTGGCTGGTATTTTACTTCTTTTACAATGAATCCTTTTTATAGTTCTGAAAAGTAATTTTGTCCTTATTTTCTATATGAGGAATCCAAGGCTCAGCAAAGTTAAATCATTGGTCCTAAAGAAAGAAGTGGCACGAAGGATAGACCCGTGGGTCTTTCTGACAACAGACCTGCAGCCCTGGGTCTTTCTGACTACGGACCTGCAGCCCTGGGTCTTTCTGACTACGGACCTGCAGCCCTGGGTCTTTCTGACTACGGACCTGCAGCCCTGGGTCTTTCTGACTACGGACCTGCAGCCCTGGGTCTTTCTGACTACGGACCTGCAGCCCTGGGTCTTTCTGACTACGGACCTGCAGCCCTGGGTCTTTCTGACTACGGACCTGCAGCCCTGGGTCTTTCTGACTACGAACCTGCTGCCCTTTCCACTCTCCACTAGTCCATTCTAAGGTCAGAGCACACGTGTTCCGCTGGGGACAGAGCTTGAGAACCATGGCTGATTTCCCATGGGATGGCTGCATGCTTTCCCATCTGCAGGCAGAGGCAGCCAGCTCCCTGCACTCTGCCATGCTCTTCATGAAAGCTGGTGAGGTCTGGGTGCTGGGATTGGTATCTTCTTGTCAAATCTTAATGAACTCGCTTTTCCATTCTGGTTAATTATTCTGACAACAAATGGCACGTGGTTGTGTGAGGACTGCACCCGAGAGTGGAGCTCCAGTACAGGGAACTGTGGCCCCGCAGAGCTCCAGCCGCATTGCGGCAAAAACGCCAACAAACGGAAGCAAGGTCGGGCCTGGACTCTGTACCCCCTCATGCCTACTCTGGAAGTCCCAGATTCTCTCTGTGTGCATTTATTCTGGCCCAAGGATAATCTGGGGTATCTCGACTTGAAATGGTTGGGTTTTTTAAGATGGTGAGGGGAAGTGGAACAGGGATTTCTTTTGAAGACAGGGGTAAATAAATGTGAATAGTTGAGGTTAGCTCTCAGTTTGTCAATCTAAAAGCTTGTGACTCTTCCCAAATGATTTCATTTCTGATCTTTTGCCTCTGGACATACCTCCTCACTCCTACCCATAAGAGCATCCTCTGTCACGCTGGCAGAGATTCGTTTCTTGTCTCTGGATGGGATGTGGGCCCTCTTCTGCTGGGATCCTTCAGTAGCTTCTTGCTGCCCTGGGATCGAGTGTGAGTCCTCTGGCGCTGCGTAAGCCTTGGCTTGCTTCTTCCCTGGTCTCTCTCCCAACACCCAGGCAGCCTCTTAGCCACGCTGACCAGCTGTCCCTTCGTTCCACTGGGCCTTGCCTATGCTGTGCTCTTCGGACCGGCTACCTCTCCCTCAATGCTCAGAAAACTCAAATTCATCCTCTAAGACATAGCTCAAGGGCCACCTCCACTTGGAAGACCTCCCTGATCTCAGCACTTATTGAGATGTTTTAGAGTTGTTATATTCTAGGATGATTTTCTGCTTATTTGTCCATCTCCCTGGATAGATTGTGTAATCTTTGAAAGCAGGGAATATGTCTGGCTTTTCATTTTACCTCCAGGGCTAGCAGACCACTTGACAAATAGCAGGTACTTATGTATATGGGGTGAGAGAGTAAAGTAAGTGATTTCTTTGCGACCTTAGATAAGGAAAACAAGCTTTTGTTGAGAAGATGTATTCACTGTAAAGGAATTTGTTGCAAGCACACATTTATTTCCCAGCAAATGTTTAATAAACGCATCTTATGTATTTACCATGAAGTAGTCTGGGGCGTTAAGCAGGAAATTTGTGTTATGTAAAAGCTTAGAGAAAAGGCATGTTTGGGGGGACTTTAAAAAACAATTCGATTTTCAGTTCCTAGAACAGTGTCTGGCACATGGTAGGCACCTGCTAGGCATTGTTGAATGATCGAATGGTGTGCTCTAGAGCTTAAAAGGATTTTTCATATATGTGGTCTTACATTGAAATTCAAACAAAACCCCCCAAAAATGTGGACAGATTATGATCCCAATTTTAGACTAGAAAATGGAGACACAGAAATGTGAAGTGATTTGTCTCATGTTATTGGACTTGGTCGCATAGTACAGAGCCAGCAGCAGCCGGGCAGAACCTGAAACAAGGTTCATTCTGACTGCTAGTTGGGGAGAGTCTGAGAGCTCACATACACCCTCCATTGTTCATACAACAAACACTCTTTGAGCACCTACAAGGTACAGGCACTGATCTTACGGTTAAATCACTCAGCAGTCAGTAGGCAAGTGACAACTCTGGCCTGCCCTGAAATGAAAGGGGTCTTGCTCATGGAGTGTCTGCAGCACGCTGACTGCAAAGGGGAATGCCAAAGGCATGGGGCCTTCCTCAGAGAGTCTGACTGTGTGCATGAGATGTCCCTGGGCAGAGGACAACAGATGCCAGGGACAACAGATGCCAGGCCCACAGTGATTAGCTTGGGATATAGCTCTGTGATGGCTGTAATGGGATGGAGACCACAGATGATGAGTTAGTACTGCATGCCAGGCCTGTGCTACACAAGCCTTGAGAACACAGAGAGAAACAGCACAGTCACTGTCCTCAAAGCAGTCCCAGCCAGTAGGGAAGACAGACATATACGCAGAGGGAAGTGGTGCATGCTGGGATATGGCCTGTGTGGGGTTCCACTCCATGTCAGGAAGAGGCAGCTAACCAGACAGGGCGCTGAGCAGAGAGCAGGGGATGGCTCATGTGCACCTCGAGGTGGAGTAGGGAGGACAATTCGGGCTTATATTTAAGGCAAAGCAAGCAGCATATTCAAAGCTGAAGTGTTTTTGCAGAACTGGTAAGTTGGAATAAACGCAGCATACGGCACAAAAGGACAGGTGGGAGGAGAAGGCGAGAGGGGGACAGGAAGCCAGGAAGGAATTCCTGTGAACCAGGGAGGCCATCGACAGAGCTGAAGCTAAGAGCTCTCATACAGAGAGGGGTCAGTGCAGGACCAGGCAATATGCCTGTTAGAGGCTTGAAGAAAAAGAAGAGGATAGTGGCATCCAGCCAGTGTGGATGACTTCTAGTGGACCAGAAGTACCTTCTGCCATGCTCCTTGGGTGAAGGCCATCATATCTTCCTCCTCTCATGCTTCTCTGCCTCTGTGCAGACCCTCTGTGCAGACATGCATTCGGATGTTTTTTGAGCAGGTCTGTGCCTTTCCTGGAGTGGGAGTGAGGCTTTGATTCCCTCGAAATCACCCTTGGCACTGCTTCTCCTAGGCTAGAGCTGCAGTTCTGTCCCCCTTACTCTTGAAAAAGCACGTGGGGAGGAGTGCCCCATCAGGAGGTGCCTCTGGTCCAGCCTTCCTCTCGTCACTTCCAGGCTTGCACCACAGCCGTGGGGAGAGCCTGGGATTCCAGCCTGGGCGGCAGAACCTCCCAGGTCCTCCTTCCCTCCCTTGGCAGTTGGCGCTGAGTTCTGATACCTGCTTCTCACCTCCCCTTTGATTTTTGCGACCTGTTTGGATGACTCCCTGGCTTACTGAACTCAGCTCTCAGCTTGATTCTTGATTCTGTATATTTGCTGAATAAATATTGAATGAATGGAGGCCTTTGATCTCCCCACCACTGACAGCTCTTGGAGAGAAACTTCCATGGCCTTGATCTTCTGAGAACCTCGCTGGCCACCTGAGGATGGCTTGTGATGTCTTACCTGAAGAACTGGTGTTGTCTAGGTTAAGTCACATTCTTTTCTGTGAGGCATGAGCAGACCTTGGATGAGACGTTAGAGTGAATGAGAACACCCACAAAAAGTTTTGTAAAGTCTTTGTCTTTCCTGTTAATATTTGGCAACTTGTGTCTCCTCTAACCTAGGGGGTGGTGACTGCCTCTTCCACGTCCAGGAGCAGACCTTGGTCACCATGGAGATGCTTCCTGCTGAGAGCTGCTCACAAAGACTGTACCATGAAATTTGCTTTCCTTTTCTCTTTCAAGGCTTCTCTTTTCATAATGACTTTCAAAACCCAGCAAATGGGAAATGTGTAGGAAGCAGTGAAGGCAGTCCTGCTGTAGCTGGGGGTGCATCGCGGCTTCTGGGAGGGCTGAGACACTGCCTTCATGTGACAAGTATTTTAAACACTGCACCCCATCCTGGAGGGCAAATTGCCCTCCTCAACCAAGTCAGACTTCACAGCAAAGCTGAAACTCATTGCTTTGGCAGCCTCCTCCTCTGTGAGTTGCAGTTCCACATTTTGACAACACTCAAAGCACTCGTGCTTATCAGAAACGACAAAAGATGCTGCCTCGAGATTCTACTGTATCTCTGTGTTTAGAATTCATATCAGTGTTAAAGAAAATTGAAGAACAGTCCTCCCATTATTTTACATATCACTGATGGGCGAGTGGACCATCAGTGATATCAGAAAGGTTATCAGTTTGGTAAGACTAGTGTTTCCAAGTTCTTCTCTCCTACTTTGTAATTATGAAGAAGAAAACACCTGTCCTCTGTGGCAGGGCCTTTTCCAAGTATTGAGTTAAATCAGGAAGTGGAGACTCTGCCCAGGTTCTGTTCTAACACTGAGTGAGCCTGGTCAAGTCACTTGCCTTCTCTGGGATTAACTTATTCACAAAAGGAGTCATTTCAGCATGCATATTCTATGCCACTTGTGTATTCTCTCATTGGCATTTCCTAAGGGGCTCATGTAAAGTGAGGCAGGAAAGAATGAACAATAAAGCCTGACTCGATTCATTACTAGTTATCAAATTCACTTGGGTTGATCTATTTGTATTTAATAATATTTGTCAGTAGGACTGCAAATTACTAATATGAACTGTAGAAAATGAGAAGAAACAAGGAGCCCCACAATAAAACTAAAACACTCCTTCCATAGAGATAGGTGTTTGAGGAAATAAATTCATGGTTATTATTCTATGGGCATATGTGTTTGTGTGCATTTGTTTGTTTATGACTGAAGTGATTCATCCCATACCTACTGTTTGTAACCTACCTTTCTTACTTGTCTACATATAAACAGTTTTATACATTCAACATAAAGACTAGTCTCTATTTTTCTACTGTATTTTTTTTCTGTGATGAAATAGTGTGCCTTCACATTGAGGTACCAGATTACCCTGTCACTGAAGAACACTGAGGTTTATAAATTTGGAAAGGAGAGCTTCATTTCTCCTAAAGGGCTGCAGCCTGCAGACCAGCCATTCTGACTGGCTGGGAAGTGTAGCCTCCAGACAGAAGCTGGAAACAGACACTAGGAGGCAGGGGCAAAGGGAACAGGGATTTTTTGTGAGTGAGGTTGCTGAATATAAATATTCAATAAGCTATAGGAGGAGTCGTGAATATTTATGAAATGAAAAATGCAGGCACGTGCAATTGAGCTTCATGCCTCCTCGACCCATGTTAAAGAAAAATGGTGCTGATAGCTTGATTTGAGGGTAGAGTTTTCTGCTTTCAAAAGGTGCAGCAGAAGACATGAAGACCCTTATTCTTCATCCTTCTAGACTGGCCAGAACCACTCCCTGGCCCCCTGGCCAGTGGTCTGTTATCAGGAAGGAAAGCTGCTCAATTGTGGTACTGAAATTGCAAAAGGGAGAGGCAGCATCTGGTAGTTGGTTGATGTCAGTGGTGGATTCTTTTGAAAGGGCTGGTTTCTGTTTACCCTTAGGGCATAAGCCTAATCACGATTAGCAAGTGAGAGAGTAGAACCATGCCTGCCCGACCTCCTATCCCCTCGTGGCCAGAAACTCTGTTTCCAAGGTTACTCTGGAGTCCTCTTGGAAAGGAGGGGATCTGTTCAGTGAGTTGGGGTCCTTGGGATTTTTTTATTTTTCAATACCTATCCTCCTACGGCTTTTATTTAGTCTATTTCCAATATTTGTCTACTATAAACAATGCTGTGATTAAAAGAGAGCTGGAGATAAATCTTTTTATACTTTCATGATAA
Source organism: Homo sapiens (assembly GCF_000001405.40). Lineage (NCBI taxonomy): Eukaryota > Metazoa > Chordata > Mammalia > Primates > Hominidae > Homo > Homo sapiens. The sequence continues at coordinate 2,899,755 of NC_000002.12, read as the reverse complement.
GTTTTTAGGGTAAATTCTTAAATGTGGAATTGCTGGTTCAAAAAGAAACTTACAACTTAAAGACTTTGGATACTTATTGACATATTTCTGTTTTGGAAGGCCTTACTCAACAGGTTTTTCACTCTCTTCTGAAAAGTAATTGGGAACTTGTTGGTTCTAATCTTAATAGTTCATCATTAAGATTTTTCTTTCACTTAATCTAAGAGTTGTATGCCAAAAAGAGCATTTAAGCACACATGGGAAATTTATTGGAAGAAGTTTCCTTCTGCCACACACTCCTATCTGCTGACAAGGTCATGGAGAAATTCAGCTTTCAGAACAGCTCATCTTTAACAGTTTTTGTGATAGCTGTTTCCACTAGTCTGATATACTGTTTTTCTTACACTCTTCCTGACTTAATTATTATCAAAATAATTTTGGCTCATGTTAGGATGAAAATATTATATTATTATTGTTTTGAATTGCATTTTTAATTTTGAATAATAAGTATTTGATGCTATACATTTCTTATGACTACAGATTTTGTTGCATGCCATAAATTCTACGTGTAGTTTCCTCATTGTTAATTTCTAAGTAGTGTGTAGTGGTAGTTTTGCCAATAAATCCACTGAAAAAGATTTTAAGAAAATCAAAAGAGGCTTTATTCCAGTAAACAGTTTGCAAACTGGGGAGACACAGCCTTTGGCACAAAACACAGGTGTGTCACAGAGAACAAGGAGGGTTTCTCTTTTATAGAGAAAGTTTCTGCCCCGATTCCCCCTCCTTATGCAAATGAGGGGTGCAAACTTGCTGAGTTCTGATTGGTCAATACAGGTCACAGTACACTGGCTTGTTCAGGCCTCACGAACAGGAACAGACAGGTATGGAAGCCCCTAAGTAGAGGCAGCTGTGCAGAGGACTGGTGTGACCTCCTGTGTGACCTCCTATGTGACCTCCTGTGTGACCTTGTCAGCAGGTGGCCCTGGACTGTCCTTTGAGTTCAGGCCCAGTGAGCCACTCAGGAGCCATCTTGAAGGACTGGCTCTGTGGGGCTTCATAATTTGCTTTATTTCTTTAACTTAAGAGTTATTTAGATTTTTCTCTCTCTCTCTTTTTTTTTTTTTTGGTAATTTTCTTTTTTTTCTTTTTGCTTATCCAAAAGTTCTTTTCAGTTTTGTGGCATTGAGGTAGACACTGTAACTTATATGATAACACATATCTCCCTTGTGAATTGTACCTTCTATCATAATTTTATTCTATTTATTATTTTGGAGAGATTATCTTTCATTTTCTAAGTGTGCATCTACATTCAGAATGTCTTTCTGCCCATTCCTCAAGTAAAATGAGACATTTACCACACTTTTCTTTCTAGTAAATGCTCAGTCAGAAATGCAATTATTTCACATCCTGAGTATTAATATTGTTATTGATCAGTATATTATTAATTAATGATTGTATTAGTTTTGTTAGCCTTTAAAAATTAGGCCAAATTTTTGTGATTTACTTGTTATATTGTTTACTCTCATTTATTTTATATCTTCTTCATTCCATTCTTGCAGTGTTAAATTCTATTCTGTGTTGATTATTTGCAAATATTTTTTCAAGAAAGGTATTCAACTCCTACAACTTTTTTTTCTTTTCTAGTAGGGTCTTTTTGTCAGCCTTAAGTTTGACTATAACCTTTTTTTAGGTAACATTCTTTGAAAGTTTAAAGAATTTTTTCAAGTACTACGCTTTATTTAATACCAATCTATTTTATTTTTTTCATTTGTAGGTAATATGTTATTTTATTGGTAATGGTGGTATAATTTTTAAAAATCCTGAATTACATATATTTGTGTGTATGTATTGCATATATGATTTGTAATAGTTTTTCATAAAATTTAACTACTTTTCTTGATCTTAAGCTTTGGATTTCTCTTTAGTTCCAGAATATGTTTAACCTTTGATTTTTTTTTTTTTTTTTTTTGAGTCAGAGTCTCATTCTGTCGCCCAGGCTGGAGTACAGTGGTATGATCTTGGCTCACTGCAGCCTCTGCCTCCCAGGTTCAAGCGATTCTCTTGCTACAGCCTCCCGAGTAGCTGGGACTACAGGTGTACACCATCACACCCAGCTAATTTTTGTATTTTTTGTAGAGACAGGGTTTCACCATGTTGGCCAGGCTGGTCTTGAACTCCTGGCCTCAAGTGATCTGACCACCTCGGCCTCCCAAAATGCTGGGATTACAGGCATGAGCTGTGCCTGGCCAAGCCTTTGAATTTTGTATGTTCTTTTTACTTCTGGAATTCCTAAATTGGAGCTCTGAGGTTTGCTTTCTTTTGGATTTCACCTCATAATTCAGATCTTAGTTTTTTTCTTCGTTGTTCTAATTCATTGATTTAGTTTTCTGAAGGTTTCAGTCTTCTCCTTTCTGCAGTCTTTAATTAGAGACTATTGTTTTATATGTTTTACACATTCTCTCTTGATTCCAGATCACGGTTCCAAGGTCTGTGGGTGCCACGTTTTTTGAGTTTACCGAGACCACAGATTGGAGACTTCGAAGTGCCCTCCAGGTCCAAGCAGCAGGCCCACCTCGCTGCAGAGACAGGGTGCGTTCAGAGCCCTCTGCTTGTTTTTTAAATTTTTTTAAATTTTTTAAAATTTCTCTGCCTTGTCCAGCATGTTTCCCCCTTGTTGCATATCCTAGAGAGGGAAGTCTGCTTTTCCAAGAATGGAAGCTGGGGTGGATTTCAATGGTGATTAAGTGGCCCCCTATATGAATCTTTCAGACCCATCTAAAAGGCCTGGAAATGCTTAGAGTTTCTGTTATTTTGCTTTTTCGGTTGAGGGATGAATAGCCTCTGAGGGGGATGTGGACACAGAGCAGAGGTGGTGACAGCAGGGAGAGTGACCTCCATGCGATGCTTTCATTCTTTAATTGTCTTCCCTGGAATCTGTTCACAGCTCCGCCTGCTCTGTTAATTGATCTTCTGTACTGTAGCAATCGGGAGCACATTCTGGACGTTGTTCACAGCTCTGCGTAGCACTGAGAGATACTGGAGGGATTCTTCCTGATGAGGTCTCAGGCCATCATTCTTTCTATTCCTTCCCTCCAGGTCTACAGGAGGGTGTCATTTTAGTCAGAACGGCAGAGCCATGGATAACACTCAGTCCTATTATGGAGCTGGACCCGGAACCCAGAAACTCAGAAAAGTTAAGTGATTTGTGAGTAACATCCACATGGAGCCGCTGGAACTGAACTCAAATACAGGTTTAACCTTGGCATTAGCTAAGTGACTGCTGTGGTTTGGATAAGATATTTTTGTCCCCACCAAATCTCATGCTGAAATGGGACCCCAGTGTGGCAGTGTTGGGAGATGGTCCTGGTGGGAGGTGTTTGGGTCATGGGGGCAGAGCCGTTGTGAAGAGCTTCATGCCATTGTTCTATTAGCAGAGAGTGAGTTCTTGCTCTCTCAAGACTGGATTGGTTCTTGGGGGGATGGATTAGTTCCCGAGAGTGGGTTGTGATAAAGCCCAGACACCCCTCATATTTAGTCCTTCTTGGCACCTTCCCACCGCCCATTTGACCTTCTCCACCATGTTTTGACACAGCATGAAAGCCCGCACCAGAAGCCGAGCAGATGCCAGCATCAGGCTTCTTGTACAGCCTGCAGATTCATGGGCTAAATAAACCTCCTTTCTTTATAAATTACCCAGGCTCAGGTATTCCTTCATAGCAACACAGAGGGACTAAGCAGTGGCCTAGAGCAAGCCATATAGATTCATTTAGCTTCAGCCTCTGCAGCTGTAATGTGGGCCTAATAAGAGTGCAGAAGTTAAAGGACTGTGCAAGATTCAGAGAGAATACATGTATGCCACCCAACCTACAGTGGCACGGGGTGGACTCTCAATAAATGGGAATCACTACTGAAACACTGTATACTACTACTATTCTCGTTGCCTAAGGTATTTTAGTTACCTATACTTATTAGTTTTGCAATGAACAATATACCAATTTGTTCAGATCAGAATCATCCTTGGGTGAAAGACGGTTGGGAAACAGGATATTGACATGTTCTTAGTGTATTTCCCCTCAAGTCACTTATTATTTACAAGGAGAAAATAACACCTTTAACTTAGAGATATCTGGTGGTTATCACCTTAACTGAGTGATAAAACTTACATCCCCAGTAATGGGACAGTCTTCTACGTACTTCCTAAAGGGATATGTGGAAAAAGATATGATGTTGCTTGTATAGTGTTCTTGCCAAAAATAGTTAGCCTGAATTGAATTGTGAGAAAGCAATCGAAGTCCAACAATGAGAGATCCTGCAAAACAACTGGCCCAGGCTTCCGAAGTGTTAGAATAAAGGAAGGCAAAGAAAGGTAGTGAAATTATCTTAGATTAAAGGATGCCAAAGAGGTATGATAATAAACGCAGTACAGGGGACTTTGGAAAATTAGGACATGGACTGAATATTAAATAATATCTCCATGTCAATGTTATGTTTTCTGAGTATAATAAGGGCATTTGGTTATACAGGAGCGTGTCCTTGTTTGAAGAAGATACATACTGAAGTATTTAGGAGTAAGAGTCATGATACATGAAACTCCTTTTCAAATGGTTCAGCCAAAAGGAGTGTGTGTGTGTATACAACATGTAGAGAGAGTTGTTTAAAGCAGATGGGGTAAGAAAGGTAAGATTACATACGGTTCTGATATGATACCAATTATATTTGTGATATAACTAAAAAAATTCCTGCTAAGGAGAAAAAAGAAGCAAAGAAAATCATGGTGAATAAAAATAAAAGAAGGTAAAATGTAGACAATTTGTAGCCTTTACATTGCAGGAACATAGTGAGGATTAAACACGACAGGGTGTTAAAAGGTAGGCTGCTATGGTTCCAGTGCTCGAGTCTCCTCTAAAATTCTTTGTGAAACTTAATCCCTTATGCAGCAGTAGTAAGAGACGTGGCTGGCTGGGTGCGGTGGCTCATGCCTGTGACCCCAGCACTTTCGGAGGCTGAGGTGGGCAGATCACGAGGTCAGGAGTTCGAGACTAGCCTGGCCAACATGATGAAACCCTGTCTCTACTAAAAATACAAAATTAGCTGGGTGTGGTGGCACATACCTGTAATCCCAGCTACTTGGGAGGCTGAGGCAGGAGAATCGCTTGCAACTGGAAGGTAGGGGTTGCAGTGAGCTGAGATCATGCCACTGCACTCTAGCCTGGCGACAGAATGAGACTCTGACTCAAAAAAACAAACAAACAAAAAAAAAGATGTGGCCTTTTGGAGGGGATCAGTGTTCTTATGAAAGGGCTGGAGAAAACCAGTTTGGCTTTTTATTTTTTGAGACAGAGTTTCACTCTTCTTATCCAGGCTGGAGTGCAATGGCACGATCTCGGCTCACCGCAACCTCCGCCTCCCGGGTTCAAGCAATTCTGCCTCAGCCTCCCAAGTAGCTGGGAATACAGACATGCGCCACCACGCCCGGATAATTTTGTATTTTTAGTAGAGACGGGGTTTCTCCATGTTGGTCGGGCTGGTCTTGAACTCCCGACCTCAGGCGACCTGCCCACCTCGGCCTAGCTTCTTTTTGCTCTTCTTTCGCTCCTGCCACATGAGGACATGGTGTTCCTGCCCTCTGGAGTATGCAGCAACAAGGTGTCGTCTTGGACGCAGAGACTCGGCCCTCGCTGGACACAGAACCTACCGGTGTCTTCATCTTGGACTTCCAGCCTGCAGAACTGTGAGAAATACATTTCTGTTCTTTATAAGTCACCCTGTCTTAGATATTTTGTTATACTGGCAGGAATGGACAGAGACAAGTACTAAACACATGATCAAAGCTGAACAAAGTTCATTGTAATTTTGCAAACAGATATTTGGATTTTAGTTAAGCTGTGTTTAAAGTGTGCTGGAACTTCATTTGATTAAAAGTAGCCCAGTTGGTTAGACAGGATCTTATCCACAGTGAGACCATGTTCTTGTAGGAACACATGGCAAGGCAAGGGTCCCTGCCCACCAATGGCATGGATGGTGACCTCTCTCCTGTGCTGGCACCTAATGTGCCAGGCAAAACTGGCATGGGGGCAGCTCTCATTTCTCTTGTGTACGTGAAGCTTAGCTTGACAGGTGGCACACAAGACAAGCTTTTTGAAGGCCAGAATGAATACATGACCGAGTTAATGAGTTAATAAATGATTCTTTGAAATGTTTAAAATTATTACAACTATAAGCACTTTTGCATTTTGGAAAAGAGGTTCAGGTGTCTGTAGATATTTTTCTCCTGAAACTTGCATGTACAACCAAAAGATACTTGCTAATGTAATCAATGATAATAATGCAGGCTCCTTCATTGACAAACCCACCTCCCCAGGCGTAGCTGAATTATGTTGAAGGAGCTAAGAGGTAAAGGCTGTGCTGAAGCAACCCCATCACCCATGTTTCTTAGTTGTTTCAAGTATAGCTTTTATGTCAACCTATTGTCTTACTGTCAAATTGCAGAATAAGTGTCCCAGCTTAGGGCTCAGGAAACGTGGACGTTTCACTGAATGGGTATCCCAGGGTTCGACTTCATTTCATCCATTTATCTTTAAGCAAATGTTACTTGAATGGCAGTCAGGTGTGTTTGCCTGGAGCCTGGCAGAAGTGGAGCTTCCAAGATGAGTCAAAGACACAGATAATTACCATGCATGTTACATGTGACCGAGGCCTGTGAAGTGCCACCACAGTGCTGGTGAGGGAGCAGCTAACTCCACGGGGGCTAAGTCCTAAAAGGCTTCATGGGAGCCATATCTTATGAGATGGGTCTTGAAGGAGGAGGAAGGGCTCAACCTAGAACAGAGGAAGCAAATGCCAAGCGCGACTGAATTATGTTGAAGGGCACAGAGGCATGAATGAGCTGATCAGTTGCATTTAGGAAGCATCATACAGTTTGTTGAAGCTGTGCTATAGAGTTTGCAAGAGAAAATGAGGTCAAGGGAAGCGAAAGAAAAGCAGGAGCTAGACAGCAAGGGACTCATATTCCACCTAAGGGGATTGGACTTTATTTTGCTAGCAACAAAAACTGACTGGAGTGCTAACGAGTCGGGAAGAGGCATGACCTCATTTGCATTTTGGAAAGTCACATTTGGCGGGATCGTATGGTCTTGATTAAAGTGGGAAGGAGAGAGAACCTGGGCAGATTGCCTTTTAGATTATTGCAGCGGTCCAGGTGAGAAGAGTGGAACTGACCGAGGCAGGGCCAGGGATCCGGAGTGCAGGGGGGAGTGGTGCGTGGATGTTTAAGGTGAGGGCTAGGTCTGAATTGCCCTCCTGCAGCTACCGAAGGACTCTGCATTTTGCTTTCGTGGAAATTACATCTCTATCTTGGCTGCTGGCCTTTAACCCTTATCATGTTTATACACATTAGAAGTAGAATTTATGACAATTAGTAGAAATTGATAATTTTTATTTCTTAATTATATTGTGAGGAGATTGTATGATTGACAAACATTTTTTTCCATATGTGTTATGGTTTGGATGTTTGTCCCCTCTGAAGCTCATGTTGAAATGTGACCTCCAGTGTTGAAAGTGGGGCTTGGGCCGGGCGTGGTGGCTCATGCCTGTAATCCCAGCACTTTGGGAGGCTGAGGTGGGTGGATCATGAGGTCACGGGTTCGAGACCAGCCTGACCAAAATGGCAAAACCCCGTCTCTACTAAAAATACAAAAATTAGCTGGGCGTGGTGGCAGATGCCTGCAATCCCAGCTACTCAGGAGGCTGAGGCAGGAGAATTGCTTGAACCCGGGAGGCAGAGGTTGCAGTGAGCCGAGATCGCGCCACTGCACTCTAGGCCGCGCTACAGAGCAAGACTCTGTCTCAAAAAAAAAAAAAAAAAAGAAGAAAGTGGGGCCTGGTGGGAGGCGGTTGGCTCATGGAAGTGGATTTCTCGTGAATGGTTTAGTGCCATCTCCTTGATGATGAGTGAGTTCTCGTTCAGTTAGTTTACAAGAGATCTGGTTGTTTAAAAGCATCAGGCAGCTCCCTCTTCTCTCTCTCGCTCCCACTCTTGCCAGGTGACACACCTGCTCCGCCTTTGTCTTCCACCATGATTGGAAGTTGTCTGAGGCCTCACAGGGAGTAAATGCTGACACCATGTTTCCTGTACAGCCTGAAGAATCATGAGCCAATTAAACTTTTTCTTATAAATTACCCAGCCCTAGGCATTTATTTACAGCAACAAAAGAACGGACTAACACAACATGCAAATCTTGTTTTCATATTGCATGGTGAATTCCACTTGAAAAATTCACCACCTAAATGTTAAATAACTGTGGGTTATTTTTCAGCCAAAAGGTACTTTTTCTGTGTTTGCAATGGATCAGCAACGAAGACTTTTCAAAGGGTGTCACTGTTTTATACATTGAATTGGCAGAGAGTGACTTCATTTGGTAGAAGCGCTATAACCACGCATGGACTTGCTGCAGGGGAGACGAAGGCCATGTGGGGCCTGCAGAGTAAGGGGCACTCCATGGCCTTCCCTGTTCTCGTCAATGGCAGCTCCATCCTCTCTGTTGTTGCAGGGGTCAATAATCCTAGAGCCCTTCCTGACTTATCTCCTCACACCCCACATCCAGCCCCAGACGTCCTGCAGCACCTACCTCCAGATGTGCTTACATTTGGACGGCTTCTACCACCCTCTCCAGCCACTGCCACCTCTCACCTGGACCACAGCCAGAGCTTCCCAAAATTCCTTCTGCAGCCCTTGCAGACTCTACCCCTTTTCCCCACCCAACACCAGACAGGTCCTACTGTAAGGTAGTCAGGGCTGCCCCTCCCTCTGCCCGAGGCCCGTGGTCTCCAGTGCCCACGGTCTTGCCCTGGGATACTCCTGCCCAGCCCCTGAGCTTCCTTGCTGGCTGCACCTTCCCTCCTGTGGAGCCCTCTCCAGGCTCTTCTCTCCTGCCCACGTCCCCTCCAGGTGTCTCCACAGGTCCCTGCTCACCTGCCTAGCCTGTCTGGGGGGTCCCTCACACCCCATCTCTCTCTTCACACTCTCCGGCTCATTCATGCCACTTCTCTTCTACCTCACACACTTTAGCTATTTGTTTATTTTTTATGCTTCTTTCTGTTCTCTCGAATGAAAGTTGTATAAAGGCAGAGATTTTGTTCCTCCTTTTAAAAATCTGCTGTTATCTACAGCACTTGCCACGACGCCCAGAATGTATGGGGGCTCGGTGAATATTTTACAAAATACGGAGGGCACTCAACTTTCTCAGGAAAGGGCTTTTAGGGCGAGGGACCTGTTTCCAGTGTTCACCTCATCTTGAAGCCACTCTATGACCCCAGCAGTGGGGCTGGGCACTGTGAGAGGCTGGCATGGGTATTGCAGGTGGGTTTCTGGGCTGGTCTGAGGTTCTGAGCGTGCGACTTCTCGAGTCACGTCTCCTCTCCGAGTCTCATTCTATGTATGTGGGAAGTGGGGAGACATTGAGTGTGTGTAAGAACCTGGCTAACACGTGGTTTTAAGAAAATGAAGATGGATAGAGGACAAATGTTTGTGAGCAACAGTGGAAAGGTGGATGGAATGTTAGGATGAGCAGGGTGCCTTGTTAGAAACTACAGGTCGACATGACTAGTCTCCATACAGGAAAGGTCTATTTGACATGACTAGTCTCCATACAGGAAGGGTCCAGTGTCTTTAGAAACCAGGGATTTGATGAGCTTGCTCCGACAGGCTGGGTGTTTGCCACGGAGTTGTTGTTAATTTCTTCCCAGACCAGTCTGCAGCTCTTTCTGCTGTGGGTGAGAGCCGGGACCGGCCTCTAGACTGGTGGTGGCGTTTCTGCCGGGCTGTGCAGGAGGCCGGGCCAGGGATGCTGTGCTTGCTGAGGCTGCTTAGCTCTGAGCTGCTCAGATGCTCTGATTGAGTCACGTTCTTCTTATCCGCAATCAGGAAAGAGGACGTGATTCGACACAGCACACTGCATCCATTATGATCAGATTGGGGAACATTCTTTCTGATAAGCATTATCCACCAACCTTGATGGCAATCGGCGTCGGGGGGAGAACTGTTCCAGTGGCCGGCTCTGCAGGGTCCTGGCAGCTCCACGGGGGCTTCTGCCTGCTCCGAGCCACGTTTTCAGGGGTTTTGTCCAAAGCGCCTCCTTTCTGAGCTCCAGTCCCTCGCTTCTCTGCACAGTGCGCACATCATGGCTTCAGGGGGAAAACAGAAGAGGTTGAGTATTTGGCAGCACAGGCGACGTACATTCAATTTTTAAAATGGAATTCTGTCATTGGATTGCATTCTATTTTGCTTTTTAAAAGAATGGGTTTGCTGTGAGTGAAGACAAAGCGCCTCTGAGATGGGCGCTGACAGGTGGTGAAATAAAGATGACATCGGGCACTAAATTGCGGAGGAAGGAAACACTGGAAGACTCGGGTTTGAATCCTGACTTCACCGTCGTCCTGTTCTCAAGAACGGAATGAAACGCGGGATGCCTAATCAGTTCTGTGCACTGTGAATCACTGTACAAAGATTAGGTAATATGCTCAGGGAGTTGCTATGTTTTTAATCCCTTCTCTCCAGTATTCTTTGTAATGAAACCTAAAAATGGAAACACTTGGCCTTCTCCTTTCCTGTGGGGACCCTTTGGTAAGGTACCTTTGCCATGCAAACCTTCACCTTTCTCTCAGACCTATGCCGTGGAAAAAAGAAACAAGCCATGGTTGAGGTGCCTGTTGTCAATAATAGAGTAGGTTATTGAAATGCAATGAAAGAAAGGCACTTTTACACCTTGCACACTTGCTTCCAAAGACTGAAAAATGCAATTACCAGTTTCCCTCTTTGGCACGATGATCACATTTTAAGTGCATAAATCAAAACCTGTCCCACAATTACAGGAGACACATCACACCGCCCACAGGCTTTGGACTCACTCGTTTTGCTATGCTGAGAATGTACTTTATGTAATTTTTACTTTATTTGAATTTTAATTTGTGAAAATTATTTCTATAATTACTGTCCTAAATAACCTGTAAAATTAGCATAAGTATTTCTAAAAGCACCTTTCAAAATGTGTTTTTTTTTTCACTTCTCTTACATGCCCCTTTTCATAAAGACCTGTTACATCCCTGTGCTCATCAGGAGAGTGGCACAAAAGAGGGTGCCTTTCTAGACTCTGGGGTTGAGGTGCATTGAGAAAGGTTAGATTCTCTGTCAACTTTTTAAACAAAAACAGAAGGTAAAATCAGTAGATTTTCTCTGCCTGCTATGATTCAAGCTATGTATCACCTCTAAATGCTATTCATAAAGTCACCCAATACTTTGAGTTTTTGTGTAAAGGGAGAAGGAAATTGACAGGCCTCAGTGTCACCTGGCCCCTGTGTAGTCCTAAAATATATTCCCTCTATCTCAAAGTTAATTGGTCTTTAGGGGCGGAGCTGATGACATTTGTCTCATCTTTCCTGTGCTCACTCACGTGCTGCTTTCAAATTCCAACACCTCTGTGATGCAGGCTTGGGATGTTGAGAGGATGTGGTTGGGAGAAATAGTGGCAGAAGAGCTCTCTAAGGGCCTAGTGGGGAAAGAAGAGCATTTCTGATGTAGAAAAAAAAAATGATGACAATAGCAAATCAGGTTAGGCTTACTTCACTCCAACAATATCCAAAAAGGTCTTAATGACTTGTGGCAAGAAGGCAGGTTTGTGTCTGGTATTGTGGTTTGACTAAGGCAGGTGTGAGGATTCCTGTCTACTCCCTGGGTCCAGACACAGGTGTGGGGCTTTAAGGCCCTGGGAGGGGCAGCCTTGAAGCAAAGGGCCTGTGGTTGGCTAGGAGGAGGAGGAGGTAGGGGCGCAGGAGCCTTGGTGTCTGTATTCTGATGGAGCCAGGTGGGAAGGGTGCAGCCCATAGCAGCAGGGCAGACCTGTGTCTGAAATGCAGTTCCTCAGCTTCACAAGCCCTGTCACTTTCAGCAAGTTACCAGCCTACTTGGGCCTCAGGTTCTGCCAATAACAGGGAGATGTCAGCAGCCACATTGCAGGATGGTCATGAGGATGAAAACGAAATAATGCATGCAAACCATCTCACACAATGGCTGGAGAAAAACAAGCATTAGGCAACGAGAAGGGATTTTATGCCGTTTTCTGTTAATAACACTTTAATGTAATTTCATGGTTACACATGTTTTAGATATCCCCAGAATAACTGGGAACCTGAGAACTATCCCCCAGAAAGAGTGTCCTTTAAGAAACAACCTGAATGAATTTACGACAATTTGTACCAATGGAGGTAATTCAAGACAATGTTCATGGATAGTGCTTCCTGAGTGCTATGGGATGAGTCATGTCCCCCAAAAAGTTATGTTGAAGTTCTAATCCCTGGTAACTCAAAATGTGAGCTTATTTGAAAAGAACATTCTTGCAGATATAAGGAATTCCATTGCGGTCACACTGGAGTAAGGCGAGTCTCTAATGCCAGTAACTGGTGTCCTCATACAAAGGGAAAATTTGGATAGAGATGCACAGAGAAGGATGAGGTAAAGACACATGGTGAGAACACCACGGGAAGATGGAGGCAGAGACTGGAGCGATTCAGCCACATGCGAAGGAACAGGGAGAATTACGGTCTCTCCTAAAGCCAGGAGGTCACCGTGAAGCAGTTTCTCCTGCACAGCCCTCAGAAGGAGCCAGCACTGCGGATGCCTTATCTCAGACTCACAGCCTCCAGACCTGCGAGGCAGTAAATTGCTGTCATTTGAAGCCATCCAGTTTGTGGACCTGTGTTACAGCAGCCCTCAGGGATGAATACACCAAGAATGTTTCTCCCCCCTTGGTGTTTCTTCCTTAATATCCCTTTTTCTTCCTTTGAATCATGTTTTTTTCTCAACGTGTCTAATCTCCAGTAGGCGTATAAAATCAGTCCTGGGAACTTTTAGCCGCAGTGTCATAATTCTTCAAAGTATTCTTTCTTGTTCAGAAGAAAATCTATTTTCCTGGGTGATTCATTTTCTTAGTGCTTCTGTTCAGAAAATGAAGTAGAGTGGGCCTTGGTCTGCTGATGATCCAGGATTATGTTGAAAATATTCCCTGTAATACTTCTTGCAGGATGTTAAGACAAATGAAAGGAGATATTTATGAATTTGGAACCACTTAACATAGTGTAGGGCACATGGCAGGCAGTCTGTTTTTTCTTTGAATTATTATTTACTGAGTTAATGGACAAGTGTACACAAAAGCTTAATGAAGAAAATGGTCATGGAGAAAAAGAAAAATGGGAAGTAGAGGTATTGATGGCTGTCATAATAGTGCCTTAGATGCTTGGAGCATGTTACAGATTACAAAGTAATTTCCCCATTCTCTCATTCCATCATCACAAAAATGCCTTGAAGTAAACAAGCAAAGGGTATTCATTTTTTTTAATGAAAAAAACTGGAAGTCCAAAGTGATTGAATAATCTCTCTATGGACCCATAACTAATGATAACAAAGGTGACGCTTGCTGGTAACTGACCACATGCTGGGCACTATTAAATGCTTGATATATACAATTTTCTTTAATCATCAAAGTAGCCTCGTGGGACTTACTCTACCATCAAGTGCCACATAATGACATTTCAGTCAACGATGGACTGCACATGCAATGTTTGTTCCATAAGATTAAAATACTATATGTTTACTGTACCTTTTTCTATGCTTAGATATGTTAAATACACAAATTCTTACTGTTGGCCAATAATATTCAGTACAGTAACATGTTGTACAGGTTGGTAGCCTAGGAGCAGTAGACTACACCACATAGCCTGGGTGTGAGGTAGACTAGAACCTCTAGGTTTGTGAAGTGCACTCTATGATGTTTGTACAACAACAAAAGCACCTAATGATACATTTCTCAGGATGCAGTCTTACTGTTAAGTGATGCAAGATTTTACTAGTGTTCCCAGTTTACAGAGCGGGAAACTGAAGCTCAGAAAGAGAAATCGCTTTCCCAAGGAGACACAATTATAGGTAGAGTAGCTCAGACAGTCCAAGGACAAGGTCTGTGTTCTTAACTACAATGTGACACTGTCTGCTGTATAGTTATTATTATTATCATTATTATTTTTTTGGAGACAGAGTCTTGCTTTGTTGCCCAGGCTGGAGTGCAGTGGCACAGTCTTGGCTCACTGCAGCCTCTGCAGGTTCAAGCGATTCTCATGTCTCAGCCCCCTAAGTAGCTGGGATTACAGGCACATTCCACTGCAGCCGGCTAAGTTCTGTATTTTTAGTAAAGACGGGGTTTTACTATGTTGTCCAGGCTAGTCTTGAACTCCCGGCTTCTAGTGTTTCACCTGCCTTAGCCAAAAAAATATGCTGGGGTTACAGATGTGAGCCACCATGCCCAGCCTGCTGTGTAGTTATTAAATGTAGAATGTAGTCATCACAATTTTCTCATTGTGTACTACAACAATAGCTACAAATGATAAAACAATTAGCTTAACGTTAAATATGTAAGAGTTTTATGAAAATACTTTTAAAAATCTATTAAATGATATGAAATTACATGTTTAAAAAGCCAAGATATATACCAAATTCATGGATAAGGCAACTTGGGATTGTGAAGAAATGTATTTCCCCTCAATAAATCTAGCAATGTAATGCCCTTCTAATAAAAATTCAAGTGCAATTATTTTAAAAATCAAACTACTTCTTTTTTAAAAGAATTGTAGAATGGCTCAATTGAGCTAATTAACATATGCATTGCCTCACATAATTATCTGTTTTTGTGATGAGAATATTTAAAATCTACTCTCTTAGCAATTTTCAAAGTACAATGCCTTCTTACTAACTATAGTCACCATGTTGTACAAAGATCTCTTGAACTTATTCTTCCTATCTAATTGAAATTTTTTGTATCCTTTGACCAACATCTATCTCACCAACTCCTACACACTCCCCCAGCCCCTGATAACCAACATTCTATTCTCTACTTCTATGAGGTTGACTTTTTTAGATTCCATATGCAAGTGAGATTATGTGGTATTTGTCTATCTGTGCCTAGCTTATTTCACTTAGTATATAATGTTTCCCATATTCACTCATTTGTCATGAATGACAGAACATTTCTTTAAAATATCCCATTATATATATATATACAAAGTATTTATATATACACATATATAAAGTGTTTATATATACACATATATAAAGGATTTATATATACATATATAAAGTATTTATGTATACACATATATAAAATATTTATGTATACACATATATAAAGTATATATACACATATATAAAGTATATATACACATATATAAAGTATATATACACATATATAAAGTATATATACACATATATAAAGTATATATACACATATATAAAGTATATATACACTAAAGTATTTACATATACACATATATAAAGTATTTACATATACACATATATAAAGTATTTACATATACACATATATAAAGTATTTACATATACACATATATAAAGTATTTACATATACACATATATAAAGTATTTACATATACACATATATAAAGTATTTACATGTACACATATATAAAGTATTTACATATACACATATATAAAGTATTTACATATACACATATATAAAGTATTTATATATACACATATATAAAGTATTTATATATATACATATATATGTATATATGCCACATTTTCTTTATCCATTTATTAGTTGATGGACATTTAGATTGTTTCCATATTTTGCCTACTGTAAATAATTCTGTAGTAAACACGGGAGTGTAGATACATCATTGGTATATTGATTTAATCTCCTTTGAACATACACAGTGTAGTGAAATTATAACCACAATGAAATATCACCTCACACCTGTTAGACTGGCTACTACGAAAAAGACAAACAACAGCAAGTGCTGGTGAGGATGTGCAGAAAATAACTTTTGTATATTGTTGATGAGAATGTAATTAGAACAGTCATTATGAAAAACAGTAAGTTTACTCAATTAAAAATAAAACTACCATATTATCCAGCAATTTCACTACTGGTTAAAGTCAAACCATTGGCTGGGTGCGGTGGGGGCTCACGACTATAATCACCATAGGAGGCCAAGGCAGGCAGATTGCATGAACTCAGGAGTTCAAGACCAGCCTGGGCAACATGGCAAAACCTCTTCTCTACAAAAAACACAATAAATTAGCCAGGTGTAGTGACTCTCTCCTGTAGTCCCAGCTACCCAGGAAGCTGAGGTGGGAGGATCACTTGAGCCCAGGAGTTTGAGGCTGCAGTGAGCTGAGATCATGCCACTGTGCTCCAACCTGAGTGTCAGAGTGAGATCTTGTGTCAAAACAACAACAACAATTTCTAAATTTATGAAATGACAAGTGTCCAGAATAAGAAGAGACAATTTTGAAAATGAGAAAAGGGGAGGAATTAGCCTGCCAGATGTTAAGACAGGCCAGAAAGGGACAGTAAGGAAGATTGTGTGTCTGGTGAAAGAACTGACCTGTAGAGAGAATAAATAGATAACAGATTTCTAGGACTGGTTTATATCTTTGGGAGTCCAGTACATGATAGTGGGGGGCACCACACGTCGGTGAGTAGAGATGAACGGATTTGTAACCGGCATTGAGGTAACATGCTCAGTCTATAGAGAAAGTGTGGTTGTATTGCTGCCTTGCACCAAGCAAGGGCAACCTCTGGAAGGCATGAAGATCTCACTGTGAAAGACAAAGCTGTAAAGATAATTGAAGAGAATGGAGGATGTCTTCATAATTTGGGGGTGAGGAAGGAATTCTTAAGCAGTATCTCAGAAGTACAACCCATAGTGGAAAGAAATAGATTTGATGACTCAAAATGTTGTTTTTCTGTTCAGCAGAGGATACCGTGCAGTGAAGAGATGAGTGATGGACTAAGAGAAGACCTGAAACTGACAAGAGATTGTTATGCAGAATATACAGGTTAATATATCTTCAAATTAAGAATGAAAAAAAAAGAAGAAACCCAAAAATGTGTAAATAAAATGAACAGGCAATTCAGAAAAGGATGAGTCTGGGTGCTTAAAATAATATGAAGAGATACTCAATGCATCGGTAATCAGAGAAATGCCAGATTAACTATATTTTTCTTTCATTTCATACCCCTGGGATTCTTTAGGTTCAAAAAGCCTAATAAATCCAAGTGTTGGCTAAGGATGGATGGAAACAGAAATCCAAGCGCACAGAGGTGGGGTAGGAATAAACCCGGGTATCTGCTTTGACAACGATCTGGTCGTATCTAGTGAAAATTACTGACTGATGTACCCTAGGGCATGGATTAATGCAAAGACACAGTGACATAGGAGATAGTGTTCAATGCTGCATTGAGCAGAGTTTGTGTAGCTCAGAGACGCAGGCCCAAGGGGTGTGTGGCTGAGAAGAATGGTGTCTGAACCAGGTAGAGGCTCACTATGGGACAATGCATCACCAGCAAACAAGACCAGCCCCTGTCCTGTGGTAGAAGCACAAGGCACTGCTGAGAAGCCAGTGAAGGCCTAGCCCAACACTCTTAGTCATTTAAAAATGTCTAAGTAGGCTGGGGGCAGTGGCTCAGTCCTGTAATCCCAGCATTTTGGGAGGCTGAGGTGGGCGGATCATCTGAGGTTGGAAATGTGAGAGCAGCCTGACTAACATGGAGAAACCCTATCTCTATTAAAAACACAAAATTAGCCAGGTGTGGTGGTGGGCACCTGCAATCCCAGCTACTTGGGAGGCTGAGGCGGGAGAATCACTGGAACCCAGGAGGTGGAGGTTGCGGTGAGCCGAGATCACGCCATTACACTCTAGCCTGGGCAACAAGAGTGAAACTCCGTCTCAAAAAAAAAAAGTAGGCAAACCGTTCTGCACATTCTTCATGCACACAGGCATATTTAAAGACAGACGCCATGCACAGGAAGTGGCTCTCTGGAGGTGGGGAAAGGACTTAAGAGCAGACATAGATGATGAACTGAAAACATATAAAAATAAAGTAAAACAAACAAGACAAGATGTTTGAACAGTTCTGTTTTAAAAATATGGAAAGCTTCCTGAATTTGCGTGTCATGTTTGCACTGGTCGCATAGCTCTGTGATGGTTGCTGTGTGCACGGGACAAAACAATTCCCATAAATCACTTGGAACAGTGAGAAGCACAGCTGAATGCTGGGTATGGATCTGTGATGAGAGAGGCATGGCGCCTGCTTCCCTGTGGCTGACAGGCCAGCTGTGCTACATGCAAGAGGGACTGGGTTTGAATTCAGGGCTGATGGGCTCCCAAATTCATTGTTTTTCCACGAAACCAGATGTTACATTATACTGTAAAGAAAGCAAAACGAAGCAAAACAAAAACCTGAGTGATCAAGAGAAGTTCAAGTTGTGGGAGGGAACACAGAAGCAGAGGTCACTCATCTCTGTGCTGGGTAGGATATTATCGTGGGCTTTGGGTGGGCTACAGTAGGATTTTGAAAGGCCTTTCCTATGGAGAGAAGGGTGTGGGCAAGGCTATGCCAGCATGGGAAGAGACAGCGAGTTGGTAAACAGAAGCACAGAACTTCAGTGGCAGTGAGGCTGCAAAGACAGTTTGGGGAGACCTGTGGAGGCCTTGGATGCCAGGTGAAGGTGCCCTAACTCTGCTCTTCAGGCAGAGGGCAGGGCAGGAGGCATCTGATGGCTGAACAGTGCAATAGTGTGATTTGCCTGCTTTTTAGGAAAATGGCCTTGGTGGGGCCATAAAGGCGGGCCCATGAGCGAGAGGGCAGGGCAGCAAGGGCACACATGGAAGGGTCAGGAAAATAAAGAGTATGGTGTGGATAACTTAGGTGGGAAGACAAGTCTAGGTGGGGCAGGGGCGGCTGGAATGAAGCATTTGGGGCTGTCTGCAGCCAGCCTGTGCATATTCAGTGATTAAACATGGGGGTTGAGGGAAAGGAAAGAGAGCGTCTTTTGTTTAAATCTCTTTCCTTTCATCATTGGGAGTTCCTTGTTTGTAACCAAATACTGAATGGTGGGGGTGAGAATTTAATGTGTGCTCTACCTGAAAAAAAGTTGGTGTGAATATATCCTATCTTGTCAGAGCTGAGAAGGACCTTATATATATGAGAGGCCCTTCTGAAATAATGTAAAATCAGTTCTTTCAAATGAAACCTTGCATGGAAGTTGCACATCACCAGAGTTAGCAGGGGGAGCTGCCCTGGGAAGCAGGGTGAGGATGAGGGTGGGTTCCTGTGAGCCTGGGCACCTTGGGCACAGGGTTCTGCCCGTGGAGGGAGCCCAGCAAGTGGGAAAGTCATGAGGTCACATGGAGAGACTGTCACAGCATTCAGCCTGGGCTGGGCCAGCTCATCTGACCCCGTGCTCTTTCCCCCACATCAGATGGTGATTTTTTCTCACCTCTGAACGGCACCTGCATTCACTGGGGGTGGTAAAGAGCCCATGTTTGGTAAAGACTTCATCAAAAGAATTCACTCAAGTGGAATTGCAACTCAGTTTATATGGAGGAAATAAACTTCCATCCCAATAGTAAAAATTGGTTATTATCATTTTATTTGCAACCAGTACTACTTCTCTATACAATGCCCTAGTATTTGCCACTCTTGCAAAAAGTGCCTTGATTCTATACTCCAGTCACGACCATGGAGCAGCTAAGATTGGTAGGATGGTTGCATTCCCACATGGTAAATATAAGCACTTAGTTGCATAAGAAACTATGGGTTTGCTTTTGGTAGGCTTGTGTTCTTGGTTGGGGTGGGGGCAGGAATAAAAGAGCCCTGCAGATTTGCAAAGCTGCACATCCCGCAGTGGGGGACTCCCCAGAGCCTCACTCAGCTCCTGTCAAGGACGAGAGAGCACAGGCAGGAAGTGTGCATCTCTGGGACAGTGACTCTGTGCAGACTGAGGGACAAGGCACTCCCGGCAGCCTCTGACCTCATCTCCCCCACACTCAGATCTTTTGTTTGAAAAAGAGAATAAATGATTTTAACTCGAACCACGTTGTCACTTTGTGTTCGAAAAGGTGAAATGAAATGTTCGTTGACAGGTGAGCTGAGAATGAAAGGAAATGTTTCATGTTCTTCCTTGAAACCAGCCTTGCCTGTGTGATAGAGCAGCAATGAGAAAATTTTGCCAAAGGAAATACTCACGGCTGGAGTTGCTAAAAAACATCTGCCCATCAGGGCAGAAAGCCTAGCGAGGACGAATTCCAGCTGATCCCTGGAAGGCTGCACACCCACAGCCTGTACCTCTCACCACCTAGTTCATTGTGGTACCAGGGTCTAACGGTGCCTTGCACACCACAGGAATCCATAAACCTTTGCTGAGCTGGGCAGGAGCTGGGCAGGATGCTGGGATCAGACAGTGAGGCTGCTCCTTCTAGAGAAGTTGGCAGGTCTGCAAAGACCTGGGGAGACTGATGGCTCTAGAAAGGAACAGGAGACTGGTCTTAGATCTGTCCATCCAGGCCCCAGGCTGGGGAAGTCAGAGGCCTGTGAGATTCATCCTAACTCTGGGCAGACACAGGTTGTTGGCTTGCTGTTCTTTTATATCCATTCTGGGGTGGGGGTCCCTGGAGCCTCTTTGAGCTTGGCAGGTGGAGGTGCCTGCTGTGCCCTGGGGTTAGAGCTGGTTCCACATGGAGGTGGAGGTGGGGGACTGGGTCTTCAGAGAGGCCAGGTGTTCTGAGGAGCTGACTCTCTTTGGGGCCAGTTCTCAGTCATGCTCACAGGGAGGGAATTATTCTCACTGGGTGCTGAGTCCAAACCATGCAGCTCCCACTCTGGAGACGATGAGCTTTTAGCCAAAAAGCTGCCTGGAGTGCCTGTGGGGCAGGGGATGGGGTCCTAATGAGAGAGGCAGGAGGCAGAGAAATTCCAGGAAGACAGGAGTGGGTACCTGGCAAAACCCCACCTTCAAGCCGAAAAGCCTGAAACCCGCTGCCCAAAGTAAGAACTTATATCCGTGTTCGCCCACTATCTCCTGATTGGTTCTTCCTGAATAATGTCTTTTTACCAATTGAATGTTGCCTTTTCCAAAACTACCTGTGGCCTGCCCCACACCCTCATCCTGTGCCTATAAAGACCCCAGACTCAGTTGGTAGAGGTGAGAGAAGTGGCTTGACTGGAGAGAGGCGACTTGACTTCAGTGGGATGGCTGGACTTTGGAGGAGAGATGGCTTAACTTCGGAGAAGAGCTAGCCAGAGATGACTAGACTTCATGGAAGACTACCTGTGCATCTCATCCCCTCTCCAGCTCCCCTCTTTGCTGAGAGCCATTTCCATTGCTTAATAAAACTCTCTGCCTTCACCATCCTTTAAGTGTCTGCATGACCTCATTCTTCTTGGATGCGAGAAGAGCTCGGGACCCACTGAGTGTGGGTACCCAAAAAAGGCTGAAACACTGGACTTTTGCCCTCCCTGGCAGAGGGCAGCTGACCCACATGACCAGGTGAGGGGCCTATTGAGCTGATAACACACCACTGTCCACAGACAGCTGAGCTAAGAGAGCATTGTAACCCATCCTCTGGGGCTTTGGGGGTCACAGGCACCCCCATCTGGGTGCCATTGTGGGGCCTGCCTGGAGCATGATCCTGCCAATGCCCAAAGCAGCCAGCTAGATCCCACACTTGCTTGTCATGTGCCTCCTGCAAGGAGTTGAGCAAGGTGGGCCAAGCAAACAGGGCACCCCTGTCGCAAGTCTGAGGAAGGAGTTGAGAAAAATCCTGCATGACTAACACCCAGGGCTCTGGGATTTTTGGTGGGTGGGAGAAAGTCAACTTTTATGCTGCCTTGTGACAGCTGAACAACCTGGAGCAAGTGGCACACATCTTGGAAGAGTTTCTTTATCTATTAATTAAAGGTTTTCATCAAGAGCAGATGGGAAAACATTGCATGTGAAAGATGCACTTTGTAAAATGTTAAGTAGGAAGGTGTGTTTTAGGACCCTTTGGCCTGGGCCCTCCTGCCAAGACCTCATCTCGGCATTACCACCCCTCATAGCACATTTCAAATGCCGTCTGCTCCGTGGGAGCCGGGAGCAAGCCAGAGCTGCCTGACCTTGAGAAGCTACCCGCCTCCAGGCTGGTGCAGCTGCACCTAAATCATCCCAGGGAGGGCTGCTCTGAGCTGGCTTTCAAGTCTTCCTGCATAATGAGCTCCAGCATCCCTGCCAATCTTGCTGAGTGCACATTAACCCTTGAGGGGAGAGCGGTTCCCTCAGCCTTGCTGTCAGCGCTGAGCGGGAGCCCCTGTCGGGCACGCCCTGCCGTGTGGGCATGGCTCCTATGATACTCTTTTATCCCGGGACTCCCCACAGCTGTGGAGCTGGCGCCCTCTTGTTCTGCTTGCTTTAACTTTTCCTGACACCTTCATTTCTCCACAAAGGGACGATTCTATTTTTCTAAACTGAGGGCTAGTGAAATTACTTTGTTTTTGAGAATTTGAGGGCTGATTTTCTGATGCCTGAGGATGCCCTGGCACTGTGACTGGGTGTCCTTGTTGAGCTGTCTTGTGGCTGGACCAGGCGTTTGCGCCTTGGACAGTTTCAGGCAAACTGTAGATACGTCCCTCCACCCTCTCCTTGAAGGCAGCCGGATTGTTTCATTAATTCTGAAAACACGGGTGAGAGCCCTTTAATGTGCCACTTGTGCAAATATATTCAAATGATCATTCAAATGATTTAACAGGAGAAGGGTCAGACTTCCCAGCGTAAATCGTGTTTTTAATGTGCCTGTCTGAGTGATTTCATTAGGTTGCAATGTTAAAGAGAAGTGTATACCGATGCATAACTTATACAAATGCATGCAAATGATGTGCCTGCTGCTCTCTGGAATGGCCTCAGAATGGAATTCCTTGGAGATCCCCCCTGAATTCCATCACTGTATGTGGATTGGCCGTTATTATCACAAAGACGAGCTGCACACAGCAGGGACATGATTATTACAGAGGTGGGGTGGAGTTGGGGGAGGGGAGAACAGCAACAACACCCAGGAAGCTCTTCCGGCCAGGGGAGCAGGCTGTCATTCAGGGCTGGAGGGCACAGCTGAGGCCAGAGGCGCAGCCTCTCACTCGGGGCTGGAGGGCACAGCTGATGCTCCCATCACCGTCCCCCACTGAGCTGGGCTTGCAGCAATTCGCCTGGTGCTTGGAATACAAATCAGCTCTCAACTTTTGAACTCCTTTTGGTAGGAAAAGGAAAAAAAAATCACAGAAAGAAGCCAACTCCATACCCAGTCAAGGGACAACTTCAATTCCTTTTCAGGGAGAGCGGCTGGGAGAAGGGCCAGGCAAGGACACTGGGGCTTCTGCTGAGACCCGTGATGTGGCTGCCCGGGCGGGTCAGCCCATGGAGGGGTCACACCGCTCCTGTCTGACTTTCGACAGGGGAGGCCAGCGGCCTCTGGCAGGCTCCCTCTCTAGGGAAAGCTACAACATTTTATTGGAATTTTTAGGGTCTTTCATCACTATGTTGCAAAGAGCTCAAGCCAGTATATTTATTCAGGACTCAAGTCTGGAGGGAAAAGGGCTTCTCCCCTTCCCCCACCTCTACTGTCCCTTCCCCCTTACAGGCATGAGGAACCTTTTCTATCCCTCCTGCCTCCCCAGAGAAAAAGGCAGGATACCCTGGGGTATGAGGTTTCGAAGGATCCTTAGACTTTTATATCAGCCCTGTCAGCAGCTGAGGAAACACACGCAAGAGCAAAGGCCCTGGCTGCCTCAAGCCCTTCACTGGCCCACCTCAGCACAGCAAGGGGCACAGACAGCGTGGGGACACCCAGCCTGTACCCAGGACCCAGCCGCTTTGTGGGCCATGCCCACCGGCCCTTGCCACCCTGCTGGATTCTTGCTGGTTGGGGTATGTACACAGGTGTCCTTTGTACCGGGGCCCTTGCTAGGTGTAGGTGCTGCTCTCCTGCCCAGGCCACAACTGCACCTTTGGCTGCTCTATGACCAAGCTTACATCTCCACAATGTGCCTATTGTCTACCTAGACCAAGAGTAACTGTCGATTAATCACGGGGTCCTCCAGAACCCCCACATTTCTCCTATGGGTCAGGCCTGGTGCTTCACTCCTTCCTGCCTCTGCCGGGAGCTCCCCATCCCTTCTTCACCCGGCAGCCTTATTCCATGTTAAGACACAGAAATCTCCTGTAAATGCTGGGATCCTACTGCACAGTAGGGTGATGGCGGTAACAGGAAGGTTTGCGTTTTTCAAAATAGCTGCGAGCACACCAGGCTGAGTCAGCGGGGGTGCCCGGTGAGCAGCCTGGCAGCTGCCCGTTGTGCATGGGCAGGGGAAGCCAAGGGGCTCAAGCCAGCCAGACCCTGGGTCCAGGGAGGTGACCTGGGCCACCCTGAGGCCAAGCCGGAGACACCTGCGAGCCATGTGCAGCAAGCTCAGGAGGGCCTCCCTGACCTGCCTTGGGAAAGTGTCCCTGGGCAGTGCTATCAACCCAGGTGACCCTGCGTGCTCCTGGCTCAGTGCTTCGGTGCCTGGCCTATGTGGCCAAGGTGGCAGGGCTGCTGGGGGCCCTGCGAGGGCCGAGACCCTTAGGCTGTAGAGGCTGTGGCACAGCACTGTGGGATGGGGGAGCTGGCTGCACCCAGGCGGCCTGGGGCTCAGTGGCTTTCTGAAAGCTTTCAAAGAGGTGAAGTGTGGCCCGTTCACACTGGGGCCAGGACATGGCGACATAGTGAGAGGGGGAGGCCCAGGTGCAGGGGCCGGAGAGCTTATGCTTAGGGTGCAGTGGGAGGGCAAGGGTTGCCTCGCACATGGGAGACGCCAGGGCCGGGCTGCGGGTGACACTGTGGCCAGGCCTTCCTCCCTGGGCCTCACCCTGAGCTGGGCAGACACTGACCGGGGCTGGCTCTGGCTCTGGGCGGAGGTGCTGGGGGGCTCACTGCCCAGGTCATCTCCGCAGGGTCAGGGGTCTGAGCTGCTTTTAGCAGCAGCTTCCCAGACACACGACGCCAGTTTCCATTTCTCCTTCAGCATCATTTCTCAGAAATATGGTTCTGTGGCCATTCACCAACAACAGTTGGTGAAATGTGGCTCTGTTTCTGGGGAGCTGGTGATATTTGGGTTTAAGTCCTGCAGATGACGTGGTGAGGGCTGGTGGAAGAAATTTGACAGGAGTGGAGAGACCCTGGACCTAGACCTCACTGGGCCTTGCACCCACTGTGGGACTGTGGTCTGGCACGGGCATTTCTGAAGCTGTGGCCACGCCATTGCAGCACGCATCACTCCTGCACACCCAGATGCAGAGCTCGGTGAGAACCTCACTGTGGGCAGTGCCAGGCACAGCAGGTCCCACGTATTTGAGATGCTCAGGAGCCCCAGGGCCTGGAGGGAGACTTTTGGGCCCACATGCCCCATGTTTGGGAAGGTTTGGGCTTAACCAGGGAATAACATCATGCATTTTGCAGCTCCCTTCCAGCTGCAGAGCCAGACGTTCCGATATGAAGTTGGCTCCGTGCGTAAATCACAGCAGGTACTCAAAGCAGTGGTTACCGCTCTCCTTATTCCTGCTTTCTCTTCCCTGAGTTCAAAAGCCTGCAAAGCCAGTTTTGGGAAAAAAAAAAAAAAAAAAAAGAAAAGAAAACAAAACAAAGGAAAAAGAAAACCCACTCTAGTCCTTGTGGCGAGGTAAATACTGCAGAATTGACTCTGGCATCCTGAAATGTGGTGTGGCATCGTAACAGGGGAACAAGAATATGGGAGCAATTTAAACCAAACAAGACTCAAAAATGACAGCAATCACGGACCTGAACACGACGCACAGGACGATGACTGTGGATGTGGGTTTTCCCCTTTGATTGCTGGCAACCTCATCAATGCTTTGCCTGGAGATTCCAGAGCACGAGTGGGGTGGAACACCTGAGACCCACCATTCAGACATCCTGGAAGGCCTCAGGCCTCATACTGTGTGGCTTAGCGATCCCCAGGCCCCAGGCCCCAGGCCCAGAGCTGGAGCAGCTCTTGGAGTCCAGCCTGTCCTCCACCAGCTGTGAAACTCTCTCCCAGTTATGCCTCTGGGAGGTGGCTTCTCAGTCCTCATACTCCTGTCTTGTAGGGTAAGAGAATACATACGGGGAACTGACAGAATGCGGGGACCCCGGAGCATGCCCAGCGCAGACCGATATTGCTTGAATTGTGTCCTGATTGCAGCCATCACCACAATTCCTCATTGGCTTTGGTGGAAACCTCATGTCAGCCACACATCCTGTCCCCTGGAGTGTCACCACCTGGTGCTTCTTCTGCACCTGGAATGCCACGTGCTCTGCTGGGCCTTCACCAGGTCACAGGGTCAGCTCAAGCACGGCCTCTTTCATAAGAGTTTCCTATTTTCCTTCCTATTTTTCCTCTCCTCTGTCTGTAACATGTGTTCCTGTATCGTCCTAGGTTATTTATTCAACAAATGATGATTGAACCTCTTTTATGCCCCAGAGACTGTTCTAGGCACTAAGAATATAGGAGTGAACAACACACACACACTCACACACACTCACCCACACACACTCCCACTCCCACACACTCCCACACACACACACACACAGTCACTCCCACTCACACACACACACACTCCCACTCACACACTCACTCCCACACACTCACACACTCTCACTCACTCCCACTCACACACTCACACACACTCACACACTCACTCCCACTCACTTGCCCTCATGGAGACATTTTATTAGAGGAAGACATAAGATAAAAATCTATAAGTAAACTACATATTAGATGGTAGTAAGTATTAAGGGACCATTTTCTACAAGGAAAGGGGATAAGAAGTGTGGCCAACAGTGGCTTTACTGGAAGCTGACATTTGAATGAAGACCTCACAAAGATGGGAGAGTTTGCTGGGCTCATCACTGAGGGCAGGATGTGCAGCAGGTTCAAAGGTCCTGAGTCAGAACGTGCTGGTGTGTGTGGGGAGGCAGTGTTGCTGCAGGGAGGTGAGAGCCAGCAGTGACAGGTGAAGGCAGAAAGTGTTGGGAGGCTGGGTCATATAGGGCTCTCGGGCATTTTAAGGACTTTGGCTTTTACCCCAATGAGATGGACAGGGTGGTGACTTGATTTGACTTTTGTTTTATTAGGTGTCTTATTCAGAGTCATTGATACTGTCTCAGTGGCTTAGTAAAAAAAGTCTCTTTTTTGCTCACATGTCACAGTCTGATAAGAGGCCCCCTGGATGGGCCTCCTCCCAGCCAGTGCAGGAATCCAGGCTGCCTGAGGCCGGAATCAGAGGCCTCAGAATAACTGCAGCCAGAGAAGAGAGATGGGTCGGGGAGCACTCTCTGCCTTGGACTAGAAGTGGCACATCGCTTCTGTGCGAGGTCCGTTGGCGAGAACGTCACGTGCCCAGGCTCACTGTGAGGGCGGCTGGGAGCACCATTGTCGCGTGTCCAGATGAGGAGACGATGTGTTGCACACAGCATTGTCTGCCATATCAGGAACGTGCTGGCTGCTGTCTGGGGAAGGGGAGGGGACAAGGCATAAGCGGGAAAACGAATTCTCCATGCGAAGCAGGTCTCCTCTGCCTCCCGCCGCCCTACCGTCAGGAGCTGAGAGAACCTCCTGGCCCCTAAGATTTCTCTTGAGACCTAACACCAAGGCCACAGCAAGTGCCCCTGCATCGTGCCCCAACAGCGCCAACCGCAACCCACTGTGAAAGGGCCAGGTGGGTGTCTCTGAGGATCCCATTTTGCAAACGAAGAAACTGGAGCTCCAGGGTGTCACTGGCGAATGACAGGCACAACCAGGACCCAAACTGATGCCCGACTGACTCTTCCCATCACCATAGAGTGTTGCAGACACTAGTGGCGTGGCAGGGCCGCCGTCGATGGCTCTTCAGTGTGCAGCAGAAGACACGGCCGAGGTATGTGTTTCTCAGAAGGCAAAGGCATGCATTTCAGGGATATCTTAAGATTATATCTTCCTAGTTTTTTTTTCAGTATAACATGCACTTTTTCATGAAATGATTATGATGGTGGATACAATTTTTTAATGCTCTTATTTAGTGATAAAATTCACTGGCAACACCACGTAGCTTCTCAGTTACAAACAACAACAACTCACGTAACAAATACTTACTGAGAGCCCGTGATGTGCCAGGTGCAATTCTAGACTCTGGTTTCATAATGACCCCAGCACTGCTGCCTGCGGCTTGGGGCCTCCTCCTTGTCTGAGCTCTTGTAAATAGGGAGTGCTGATAGTAGGCAGATTATGTAGGTTTGACTGGCTTTCTGAGAACAAAATTCTGTGGTCAGATAGAAATATATGAATGTTGTTTTGGATGATAAAAGCGGTCTTCCAAGAGGAGTCGGGTTCCAGCTACCTGACTGATTTTAGATTTGGGGAACTTCAGGGAAGCCCAGGTCGCATTGTGTTCCTTTTGCACCAGCTCATTTCTGTGGCTGCAGGGCTGGGGAGAGTCTGTTCCTGACATGTGGGGACATTCATGTAGTGCCATTTATCCCATTATCAATGGTCATTTTATTCAATCCATGGGTCCCGCCAGTCACTGGGTGTAATAGAAGCACAATTCCTTCTGAATGGAGGGTTCCTCCCTTACTTTAGGGTTCTAGAATGGGGGAAAGAATTAGAGACCCCACCCTTCACCAAGCAGGTCGCAGGGCAGAGAGAGCATGGGCTTGGAAGAGGGGCAGACCTCTGGATGATTTGGGGTGCCCTGTACTCCTGTGGAACTCACGTCTTTGAACTTCAGTTTAGTTGTGTGTTAAACGGAAACAATAATGTTAGATTTGTTATGCAAAATTAGCTGCTATAAAAGCCCTTGAATTTCATAAACCCATTTTTTTGCTCACCAGGAGTCCACACAAATGTCCCTGGCTGGTGAATGGTCTTCTGTCACACAGGGACCTGAGGACAGAGGCCTCCATCCCGTGGCTGTTCCGTACCCTGGGGCCTGGAGGCCTCAAGAGAGACAGGGTGGAGAAGCCTCGCCTGCTTCTTAAAGCCCCTGCCTTGAATTTACACACATCACTTCTCATTTTCCAATGGCAAAACTTAGGCCCGCAGCCATTCTGGGAACAAAGTGGGTGGGACATGCCGTTCCTGATGGGTAGCAGCACCAGGACCAGCTCCACTGCATGGAATAATGAACCCACAGCTTTGGTGAATAGGCAGCCACCTCTGCCACATATCATAGCTTGTTGGGTGGTTGTGAAGCTTGAATATTATAACACATGTGAAGCATTAACCTTGGAGTGCCCTGCAGTGCAGGATAAATGCTGTTATTTAGTTAAGTTACATTCTGTCTATGTCATTTATGAATGCATAGTTTAGAATTAAGTTTTATAATCTCCTCCAAATTCAGTTTCCCTCTGTGTAAAATGAGGAGGGTATGATCTATCTTAAAGGATGGCTTTCAGGATGAAATGACATAATATAAGGAAAGCACCTGCCATAAAATCGGTGCCCCTGAGTGGACCTGCTGTCACGGTGAAAGTAGCAGCAATGGGACTCGGCGATGCCTGAGCCAGAGGCTGGCAGGGCACCTGCTGTGGCCTGGGGCTGAGAGAGCACGTCTGTCAGCAATTCCAGCCTCTCTTTACTAGCTGTGCCCTCTAACTAGATGCATGTGGTTGTTTCCTTGTGTCTGTCTGTCTTTTCAAATCTCTGATGTGGAAAAATGAACAGAAACTTGTATTTGGGGGAGGATCTGCATTTGCCTTTCTGAGAGTGTGGCAGAGCACAAGAATTATAATACTTCATCGCCAGGAGTTCTCTGGAATGCAAGTTCTACCTTGAAACTAGGTGGGAAGCAGAGTGTAAATGCCTAATGCTGTTGAGACATGCGGTTGGAAGATAGAGTTAATTCTGAATGCAAAGCAGAGAACAATTGAAACACAGACTTTGCCTCCTTAAACAGGAGCGGGTCCCTAATGGGGATACATTTCTCCTTCTACCATTTTCTCATGCCACGGAACCCCCATTAATCCATACGGAGGAGGCGATGAGAATGCGAATGAGGATCCTATGGGAAGTCTGCACATCCATCAATCTCTGTCCTCTTCAGAAAGGCCAGCTGATGTCCACGTGTGTCTGTTATTGACCCATATGCGTGCTCTGACCCACTACAGCGTTTGAGTTGGGAAGTGGGAAAAGGTCTTACTGTTTGCAGTTTTGCTGACCAGGAGTCTATAAAGCATGTTGACAGATAACTGATGAACAAATACAAAGGCTTTGGGAGATCCATGGAGCAGCTGAGAATGCTCAAACCAGAGCCTGGGGTTAGGTTCTGGGCTGGCTCGCAGAGCCCTTCCCGGGTGGCTCTTGGTGACACCGTGTCCTGGGCGTGGAACCTCACCCTTCTGTAGACTGACGGTGTCCTAGGGTGAAATGGGCTCTTTCTGAACTCAGGTTTATTGAGGTATGATTTACAAAGAGTAAAATTCACCTTTAGGGTAGACAGCTGTGAGTTCTGATCAACACACACAGTTGTGCAGCCACTACCACGATCACGATGTAGAGCCTTTCCATCACCCAAAGTCTCGCCTGAGCCCCTCCCTCTCAGCACCCCCTCCACCCCAGCCCTTGGCACTGCTGATCTCCATTCCCTCCCTGAGGGCTGGCTTTTCCAGAAGGTCATATGGGTGAGAGCCCAGTGTGCGTTCGTGTGTTTGACCTCACTGAGCAGCCGTCTGTTGTGTTGTGTGTATCGGAAGTATGTTCCTTTTACTGTTGAGTGCTGTTCCACTGTACAGACACGACAACATTTTCCCATTCACCAGCTCATGTGTGTTTGCATTGTCCCCAGTGTTTGGATAGACAGAAACTTACCGGTCACCTCGAGCAGCTGCCCTCTGATGCTTGAGTTCTTTTTGTCCTATCCTGGCCAACTGGCACCTACCTCCCAGGGTTGCTGTGACAATCATATGAATTAATATATATTATAAAGCACATGGACTCGTTTCTGACACATGGGGGTGCAGCATCTGCGTTAGCTACTAGTGAGAGGCAATGGGGAAGGGCTCAGACACTTCCAACAGCCTTGTCTGCACCTGTCACTTACCGTGTGACCTTGGACAAGTTACTTAACCTCTCTGTGTTTCCGCTTCCTTATCTGCAAATTAATGATAATAATGGTGCCGACTTGCAGACTTCATGGTGGAACTTAAATAGGGCTGATTAGTGGATACACTGAGAGCTGCATTGAGCTATCTATAGACGTTTTGTGATTGTCTCCACTTTCTAGGATTGAACTTACTGCTCTATAAAGTGGGGATTCTGAGTCAAAATTTTAAAAGGTGATGTTTGCATGGAACTTTGCACTCTGCACAGCTCCACTCTTGGCATTAAGTCTTCTCTCAGGGAGAGCTGCTGGCATGTGGCATGTGGCATCCTTTTCCCTGGATTGGGACTGATGTGGCTGATGCCAGGAGTGGGGAACAGGAGGCTGACAGAGCCAAGCCCACGGTCTGATGAGGAGGACTGGGGTTGACTCCGGGGAGCTCCCGCGGGGCCACTGCTGCCCCAGTGGTTGCCTGGCAACAGCCTGTCCATCGCTCCTTCGAGCCCAGCCCTGAGGCTGCATGACTGCTGTCCCTGTGGTGCCTGTGATGAGAGTGTCCTGCATCCCCTTTACCCATTGACCAGATGGGAACAAGGGTTTCAGGGCCACCAGCCCCGTGGATGAGGACTGCTCAGTGCACACGGGGAGGCGCAGGAGGCAGGGGCAGCCAGTGGGGAACACTCACCAGGTTCCAAATGGCTTCATGCTCAGCAGCAAAGCATTTTCATCCTGGGTGGATCAAAATAAACACAAACTTCTTCCAGGCCCAACAATAGATTCTCTCCAAAACCAACAAAGAAACAGAAACTCAGTTTGCTTAACTTCGGATGAGCTGAGGAACACTCACACTTCTTTGTTTCCGGCATAAAATTATTTCCGCCACCTCCAACTTGTGCCCCAGCACGGAAACCCTCTTCACTTTATTATTCTGCCGAACTAGAGCAGGCAGAGCTCCTTTCTGTGAGTTCCAGGACACCTAATGTATATTTGGCAGGGTCTGTATGAAACCTTGGACAAGTCTCGGGGTAAAATGAATGTCTGGCTGGGAGTGTTTTATTCTCAGGAAGAGTGATGGCTACTTGGGTGTCCAGAGCCGCTTCCAGGTGAACAGCTGCGGATCCTCGCGGGTGGGCAGGGCATGTGGGGAGGGGGCGCCATCTGTGCCCCAGAGGCAGCTGCACCGGCTGACTGCAGGTCCTGCTTTGGGGCGTCCTCCTGTGCCATCCCAGACTTCCTAGCAGTTCAAAGTGCTGCATTCACGTTAGCGAAAAAGGCGGCCTTGCAGGTTGGAGGCTGTGGTCAAACTAAGCTGAGGCCATGGGGTTGAGCGATCTGACCACTTGCTCCAGGGGCAGGGGCCAGCACAGGCTCCGAGGAGCTGCAGCAGAAGACCATGAAGCCAGAGGAGGGTCAGGCGTCCCTGCAATCTCCACCTCGGCTCTGCCTCTCAGCCTCACTTGGCCTGAGCGCAGGAGGCCAGGTGCCTGAGGATGCGGCCATGGCTGCAGCTGCCTTGGGTTTCTAGAAAAGTTCTGAAGGTCGTGCCTGGTGTGACATAAACCATGTTACCTGTGAGGCATCTATTAGAGCTGGTAAGATCACTCCAGTCAGCAACTCCTTAAAAGTGGTGCTCTTCTCTTTGTTCTCTCTCCCCAGCCCAGGAAGCATCTGCTGTCAGCCCCGCCGAGCCTGGAGTCTGCCGGGATGCTTGAGGGGCTGGGGCTGGCCAGGTTGCAGACGTTGGGCGTTTCATCGAGGCAGTTTTTTGTAGTGTGGATGCTGGTTTTGGTACATTGTGCTCTATTGGGTGCTAAAGCCCTTTAGCATTTTCTCTTCCACCAAACTTCCAGGTGAATTAATGCAATGCTTGATGGACTAGCTGGTCATTGACAGATTGGTTGTGGAGTAACTAATTAATCCGTTGGTGCAGCAAACACTAACACTTTCCATCCTCGTTAGGAGCTCCACTAGATACTGAAATGCAGTGAGTGCAATAGGGCCATGGCCCCTTCTCCAGGCAATGCCAGTGGCGTGCAAGCCTTGGGGACGTAAGTGCTCCCTCCCGAGAGGACATGTGGGATGGGAGTGCGTTGGGGCCGCCACCTGGCACACTCTCAACAAGGCTTCCGGGAAAGCTGACTCTTTGATCCTGTTGTTTTTCACAGCTTTGTGGGAACGTGCTCAAAAGAACGGCAAAGCACCCAGGGACACGTGTGGCTTAAGGCCAGCTGACCGTGGCACATGCTGCACGTTGCTCCCCCTGCACCGATTCCTCCCATTCTTTTCCTAATAAAACACTGATTTTGTTCTCTGTGCACGCATGAGTTTCAGGCACCATTTCCCAGCCCAGGAAGAGAATCAGGATGTCATCTTTTCCTCTTGAAGCTTCTGCTTTCCTCTTCTGGACTGGAATTAAAACAGGAGGCTGGAGGTGAGGCAGCCATCTCGCAGCCATGAGGTGACCGTGGAGATGGAATCTATCGGGAGAGGAGAAGGGGAAAAGCCTGGGACATTGAGGCGTCAGGGGGACCCCACCCCACCCCAGACAGGGGCCCTCACACCACCCCAGACAGACAGGGGACCCCACACCACCCCAGACAGAGGCCCGACACCACCCCAGACAGACAGGGGACCCCACACCGCCCCAGACAGGGGCCCTCACACCACCCCAGACAGACAGGGGCCCCCACACCACCCTAGACAGACAGGGGCCCCCACACCACCCCAGACAGTGGCCTGACACCACCCCAGACAGACAGGGGACCCCACACCACCCCAGACAGGGGCCCCCACACCACCCCAGACAGACAGGGGCCCCCACACCACCCCAGACAGACAGGGGCCCCCACACCGCCCCAGACAGACAGGGGACTCCACACCACCCCAGACAGGGGACCCCACACCACCCCAGACAGGGGCCTGACACCACCGCAGACAGACAGGGGCCCCCACACCACCCCAGACAGACAGGGGCCCCCACACCACCCCAGACAGGGGCCCGACACCACCCCAGACAGGCAGGGGACTCCACACCACCCCAGACAGGGGACCCCACACCACCCCAGACAGGGGCCCGACACCACCCCAGACAGGCAGGGGACCCCACACCGCCCCAGACAGGGGCCCTCACACCACCCCAGACAGGGGCCCCCACACCACCCCAGACAGCGGCCTGACACCACCCCAGACAGACAGGGACCCCACACCACCCCAGACAGGGTCCCCACACCACCCCAGACAGACAGGGTCCCTACACCACCCCAGACAGACAGGGGACTCCACACCACCCCAAACAGGCAGAGGGCCCGACACCACCCCAGAGAGGCAGGGGACTCCACACCACCCCAGACAGACAGGGGACTCCACACCACCCCAGACAGGCAGGGGACCCCACACCACCCCAGACAGATGGGCCCCCACACCACCCCAGACAGACAGGAGACCCCACACCACCCCAGACAGACAGGAGACCCCACATGACTCCAGACAGACAGGGGTCCCCACACCACCCCAGACAGGGGTCCCCACACCACCCCAGACAGACAGGGGACTCCACACCACCCCAGACAGACAGGGGACTCCACACCACCCCAGACAGGAGACGCCACACCACCCCAGACAGGAGACGCTACACCACCCCAGACACACAGGGGACTCCACACCACCCCAGACAGACAGGAGACCCCACACCACCCCAGACAGACAGGAGACCCCACACCACCCCAGACAGACAGGAGACCCCACACCACCCCAGACAGACAGGGGCCTCCACACCACCCCAGACAGACAGGAGACACCACACCACCCCAGACAGACAGGGGACCCCACACCAGCCCAGACAGGGGCTCCCAGGTTTCCTGGAGCTGTGGGAAATAAACCCTCATCTGCTGTGCTACTCCCAGGCTTGCTCCTAGGCAGCCAACACCGTCCCTTTAGAACCCAAAATATCTGAGACAGGTCTCAGTCAATGTAGAAAGCTTATTTTGCCAAGATTAAGGGTGTGCCTGTGGCACAGCCTCAGGGGGTCCCGACGACACGTGCCCAGGGTGGTCGGGTGCAGCTTTCACACATCAGTCAGTATGTGTACGATGCAGCTTTGACACATCAGTTAGTATGTGTACGATGTCCACTGGTTCCGTTGGGTAAGGTGGGACAACTCGAAGTGTCCCACTAGGTCATAAGCAGAGAAGAGACACAAGATTGCATTCTTCTGAGTCCTTGATCACCTTTCCACTGAATACACAACTTAGTCTGGCCCAGTGAATCTGCATTTTTACATAAACAATAGGGCAGAGGAAGTCATCAGATACACATTTGCCTCTGGGGAGCCTCAGGGGGATGACTTTGAGTTCTGTCTGTCCTTTGTCCATAAGGAGTTTCCTTGTGGGCAAATTGTGAGGGAGGTCTGTAGCTTCTTGTCTTGCAGAGACCTTATTTAGGACTAGAATGGGAAGCAGCTTTGCCTGATGCAGTTCCCAGCTTGTCTTTTGCCTTGGCTGAGTGATTTGGGGTCCCGAGGTTTCTTTTCCTTTCACAGACACAGTGCTATTCGGAGCTAGGGAAAGGTGGTGAGCATGCCTCTCCTGTGTGGCCACCTCAGGAGGGCTGGGGCATGACTCCACCATGGCTGTGCATAGGCTCGGAACCCAAGCTGGCAAATAATCGGTGATGGCAGGCCCTGGTGCTCATCCCATCTATCCAGGCACCGGTGTTCAATTTCACGGACAGCATCATCTTCAGGAGTGCAGACTTGGAGGTGGGTCTGAATCGAGCTCAGCCATTTTCATCAGTGTGGCCCTGGGCAAGTGGCTGAACTGTTGCAAGCTCCTTTCCTCCATCTGTACAATGATGTGAGTGACGGTGCCTCCCTTTGTGGGGTTGCTAGGCATTCAATGAGATAATTGGGAAGTACTTAGTGTTCGTTGATTATTATTGATATGAGTGTTCTTAAGAAACATAAACATCCTCTGCTTCCTGTTCATGTGCTCCAAAACCCACCAACAAATTCCATCCTCTCCCAGTATCCACTCCCGGGGAGCTGAACTCAGGGCTGTTGGAGCCACGCCTCAGGTCATTCATGCCGTCGTGGGCAAATCAGTCTCCCTGGGTCTCAGTTTCCTCATCTATAAGATGAGATGTTTGTACTAGATTGATTTCCAGGTCCTTTTTGTTGGAAGGTCCTGTGATTTTTATCATTCTCTGTACACAATTCTATTACAAGGGAAAAGTGGTTTAAAGCAGGCAAGTTTCCCTTGCTACCTAAAGATGTCACTACATCAACTTTGCATCTTTTATTAGCATACTTTTTCTTAAGTCTCCATTGGTTGAGCAAAAAGAGATGAAATTCGCATTGATTTTCTCAAGAAAACTACATCCACTTGCCTGGTTTGAGGATGTTTTTACCAAGGGTGGGTCCTGAGGTTTCTGTTCCCCGCTGGCCTATACAGACATGGCCATGCTTCCTGGCGTGACTTTCATCAGATGGTAACAGCTTCACCCTGTCTTGGGAGGATGGCGCCATTCTTCACTACCTCTTGGGCTGTTGACTCTTTGATTTTATTTTGCTGTCTGACTTTATAAATTATATTATGATATTTTTCAACACTGTGGATCAGTCTACCAGCCCATGGGCACCTGCACCAGAGGGTTTTACAGAAAGTGCAGGATTGGTGGGGTGCTATTGTTCCTTTCTGAGCAGGTAGAATCTTTGCCTCTCAAGCTGCCCAGACAGGTTTAAGAGGTGGTGACTTGGCGGGTGACCAGCACTGATGGTGTCTCTCTCAAAAATGACGACCCTCTGACTGTCCTTGGCTGTGATGGTCTCATCTTATTTGGACATTTAAGCTCCTCCTCTGGGTTGGGTAATACAGTTGGAGCTGTGGAGATACAGCTCTGAGAGGCAGTGTCTGCTGTGCCTGTGAGCTGTGTTGTCCCCTGAGGGTGCGAACCACTAAGTCTCAGCTTGGTCTTTTATTAAAGGACAGAGCATTTGATGTCCACCTTTGTCCATTGTGGGGCTCCAGGCAGTCTGTGTGGCCCCAGTGCTCACTGATGAGTTGTGTGTGTTTGTATAATGTGGATTCTGGGGGGATGCAAGAGTCGGAATTTCTGTCAGGTTGTCTGGTGTGTAGCCCTCCCTGCACAGTGGGGTGCCACCCGCAATAGCACATACAATAATCTACTGGGATATGGTGCCTGGATCTGATGGGCCCTGGGTGCAGGCCTCCGGACTCAGAGCACCTGGATCCCATGGGCCCTGGGTGCAGGCCTCCGGACTCAGAGCACCTGGATCCCATGGGCCCTGGGTGCAGGCCTCCAGACTCAGAGCACCTGGATCCCACGAGCCCTAGGTGCAGGCCTCTGGACTCAGAGGTCAGCTTCCTGAAGTCTGGGGGGAAGTGCTGTCCTACTGGCATGGCTTGGAGACAAGTGGGACAGCTGATTTCTTTGCACCATCTTTCTTTCTACTTTGGAGCACAGAGCATCTGGAATTCCTGAGGTTGGTCCTACACAGGGTTTTTCCATCTATTTTTAACTGAAGTAGCTCTTACAGTGTGAAAGCGTTTGGCTGAAGGTGACAGAAATTTCACAGTAGGAAGAAGGTGTGGTGCTGCGTGTTCCCCTCATAGAAGCGTCCTGAGGTCGTGAGGCCCTCGACGAGCTCCCTCGGGGTGGCTCCTGTCCTGTGGTGGCTCCTGCTGTCCCTCATCATGCAGTGGGCACTCCCAGGTTCACATCCCAGTGGGGCCCCAGCCTGGCTCTCCCCTAGTGAGCCGTGCTCCCTCTGCCACTCTGGGTCACTGCTTCGCACCCTTCTGTGACAGCCCTACCCCTCTGAAGCCCGGCTGTCCGTGGCCTTGGCCTTGCCCTCTTCCTCTGGTCACTATGGAGTTTGAGCTCACCGCTGACTTCCTCCGGGGCCAGGGCATCTGCTCATGGCCCCAGCCCCTGCCTGCTGCCCGCATCATCGGCACCTCTGCATTCACAAGCCGGGAAGTGTGAGCTGGGAAGCCTGGGTGTGGGGAGCAGATGAGGGAACAGCCTAGGAGGCAAAGGACTGCAGGGAGACAGAGACGGCTGGAGGCCCCGCCAGTCACACAGTCGGAAGAAGCAGAAGGCCTGTAGCCGTACTGTCCCCATCTCCTGTGAAATTCTGTGAAGTGTCGTGCACCTGTCTGCATAACCACAGTGGTTCCCTGTTGTCCTTTTGTCAGTTGCAGCACGCTAGGAGGAAAGGTGTGGTTGGAGAAAGATTTTTAAAAGGCCCTTATTGACCTCTCCTGGGGTTTCTGAACCACCGATGACCGATGCCCCTAAATGACCCAAGAGCAAGAGGTTGCAGAGAAACCACAAGCAGAGCCAGAATGGACTCCCAGGAAGTATGGGCAGGGAGAAAATCAAGACGTGAAGTGGGAGAAAGGCTGGTGTCCCTTTCTTCTCTTTTATGTCTGAGCCTTATTCAGAACAGGCATTTGGAGTAAGATGAATGCCATCCTTCTCCTCCCCTGGTGGGCCCATTCACTCACTGGCCCAAACCCTGTCCTGAGCCCCGTCCTGAGCACTGTTTAGGGCCAGAGTCTGTGGCCAGGCTGCACCTTCACCTGCGAGGGGCCCAAGTATCCCAAAGGCCCACTCTGCTGAGCAGGGGACACGACTGTGAACATCTGGGGAGAGGCTGCCCGGGCCCCTGCGCCCCGGCCTGCTTGAGGCTGCCTGGCTCACATTCCCTGGCCCTACCCCTTTCCCAGGACACTGGGGAGAGCTCCCTCTGGGCAGGCCATGGGCCCTGATGAAACCACCCTTCCAGGGTCTCTCTCCTCCTCCACCTTGTTCCTCTCAATCACTATCGCGCGTTCCCTGTCAACGTTCACTCTATCATGTGACACTCTGCCACACGTTATATATCACACACTCTCACGCATCGACAATCTCACGTTCACTCCACCTCACGTTCACCTTCACACATTCACTCTAGCTCATGTTTACTGTCACGTGCTCACTCTATCACGTGTTCACTCTATCACGTGTTCACTCTATCACATGCTCACTCTATCACACATTCACTCTCATGTTCACTCCATCTCACAACCACTCTCACACATTGACTCTGTCACACCTTCACTCTATCTCATGCTCACACTCATGCATTGACTATCACACATTCACGCCATCTCATGTTCACTCTCGTGTGTTCACTATCCCATGTTCACTCTATAATGTGTACACTCTATCACACATTCATGTTATGTGTTCATCATCTCATGTTCACTTTCATGCATTCACTATCCCGTGTTCATTCTGTAATGTGTCCACTCTATCACACGTTTGTGTTATCATGTGTTCATTACACGTTCACTCTACCACATGATCACATGTTCACAATCACACCTTCTCTGTCATGCATTAACTCTATCACATGTTCACTCTGTCACATGTTTGCTCTATCACATGTTTACCATGAGTTCACTATCACATGTTCACTGTCATGCATGGACTATCACATATTCACTGTACCACATGTTCTCTACTATGCAGCCTCTCTCACGCATTTGCTCTATTACATGTTCACTCAATTACACGTACATTCCATCCCACAGTTGCACAGTTGTGCTATCATGTGTTCACTATTACATGTTCACTCTCATGCATTCACTCTCACGTGTTCACAGCATCACACTTCCACTCTCATGCTTTCACTTTATCACGTGTTCCCTCTATCACATGTCCACTCTATCACATGTTCACTCTGTCATGCATCCACTATCATGCATTTGCTGTACCATGTGTTCACTATCACGTGTTCAGTGTGTCATGCTTTCACTCTATCACATGTTCACTCTATCACACGTTAACTCTCATGCATTCACTCTCATATGGTCACTCTATCACGTGTTCAATGTATCATGCGTTCACTCTATCACATGTTCACTCTATCACACGTTAACTCTCATGCATTCACTCTCATATGTTCACTGTATCACGTGTTCAATGTATCATGCATTCGCTCTCACATGTTCACTCTATCACACGTTAACTCTCATGCATTCACTCTCATGTGTTCACTGTATCACGTGTTCAATGTATCATGCGTTCACTATCACACTTAACTCTCATGCATTCACTCTCATGTGTTCTCTATCAGATATTCAGTGTTTCACGCCTTCACTCTGTTACACACTCTATCACATGTTTGCTCTATCATGTGTCCACTATCACACTTTTCCTCTATCGTGTGTTGAGCATATCACGTGTTTGCTGTCACACACCCACTCTATCAAGCATGTGTTCACTATCGTGCACTAACTCTATCACACTTTCTCTACCATGCGTTCCCTCTGTCATTTGTTCAGTGTATCACTTGTTCACTCCATCACTCGTTTGCCCT
This sequence comes from Homo sapiens, assembly GCF_000001405.40. Classification (NCBI taxonomy): domain Eukaryota; kingdom Metazoa; phylum Chordata; class Mammalia; order Primates; family Hominidae; genus Homo; species Homo sapiens. Next base: position 2,859,407 of record NC_000002.12, on the reverse strand, counting down.
CTTGTGTGTCTGTGCCGTCACCGCGCCAGCCTCTGCCTGCGCCGTCACTGCGCCAGCCTCTGCCTGCGTGCTCTGGAGCAGGCTGCCTAACTATCCTGTACCTCAGCATCCTAGTCTCTGCGACTGGAGAGGTGACTCCTATGGGAAGGGCTCAGATCCCCATCAAGGCTGGGTGTTATTAGTGTAATGCCCAGAGCTAGAGAAGGGGAAGCGCCATGTTTGGAGGTTGGGTCCAGAGGATTCGCCAGCAGAGCAGATGTAGGATGCAAAGGACAGAGGAATCAGGAATGAATTATTAATTCTTGTGGCCTGGGTAATGATGGGGATAGGATCTCTTTATCAATGTGGATATCAGATAGGAAGTGGTCTGAGCTGGGGGAAGACAGGAAGGGAGATGGATTTGGGGGAAATCAAGATTTAAATTTTAAAATGGTATTTTGAGATGTGTGTGAAATTCTGATTGTAGAGGTTGGAAGGTGTTGCGTGAAGAGTCTAGGGCTTATGACAGGAGTGATGACTGGAAATATAAAATGGGGATTTGTCAGCTGTAGTGACATTTAAAACCATGGGATTGAATAGCATCACAAAGACAGCACGTGGGGATGAGAGAGGAGGGCTGAGGGCTGAGGAGCTCTGGGGTGGGGATGTCCAGGGAGGAGGCTCTTTGGAGATCTTTGGTCCTCTCACCCACTTCACAGAGGCGGGAGCTCATAACCTTCCACTGGATGAAGCTCTCTCTTGGCAGCGAGGGACTTTCTGAGGGACGGTCAGAGGCCAAGAAGCACTCCCCTTTCTTTGGCCTGCTTACCATTGCAGCGCTGAGATGTTGCCTTAAAGAATTAAGGGCTAAATCTTGCCTCCTTGGAGGGAATGATTTAACCTGTAAACTTATGAGCAAATCAGAGAAAGGTGAAGAAGAGAAAGGCTGCAGGGCACTCAGGCCTGAGAAGGCAATGCTCATGTTCCCTCTTTAGTTTTTAAACTTAATTCTATTTGGTGATTACCCAAACAGTATACCCTCATTGGAAAACATTTGAATATTGTAGAAAGTTATAAAAAAGTAAAAAATCATCCTTTAACCATCCACGCAGAGATAAATACTATTGTCTTCTCCTATACATTATTCAAGTCTTTCTTCTATGGAAATTTTCTTTCCCTCAAATGGTAGATATACTTTTGTATACTATCTTATGCATCACACATTATCATGAGTGTTTTTCTAGGTAATTGAAAACTTTTTAAAGAAGTGACATTTTTAAAGGTAATATAATATTGCATCAAATTAAATTACATCACATAATATCTTGTTTAGAAAATTTCCTGCTGTTAGACCTCAATGTTTTCCCCAGAGAAAGGATCAGCATTTGTAATTTGATGGCAAAAACAACTAGTTATGACAAAACCAGTCAAATAAGAGCTTTCTCCGTCCTGCCACCAGTGACCCATCCTTCTATTCTGCACTTTCCTCAATGAAGGTGTCCTGGATAGAGGAAGTCTGTACTCTGGGAAGAGACCAATTTTAAACTGGGTAAAAGCCTATAGTTTTGATATTATATTTGATTGGATTTCCTATTATCTGCAATTGACTAGAGAACTTCTTATGACCCAAGAGTGTCTTGAAGAGTTCTGGGTCCTGTCCACGTCGTTGTTGAGAGTTAGGAGAAAGTAGTTAAGGGAGCAGTTTTGTAAGACAATAAGGCAATGGAGTAAAGGAGTACAGCAGCTTTCTGTTTCCAGCGTGCTATCCATGTCTTCCAATACACTGATCACACCACACAACTTTGGGTCAAAACTTCTGTTAGTATTTTATATTCTTTCTTTTTATCAAAGAATATGAAGTTTTAAAAATTCTTAATAAGCACAGGAAATTGCTCTCTAGAAAGGTTAAAAAAAGCATAGATCTTCTGGAAGTATCTAATAGAGCATTTGGTAAAGTTTGCTTCTATAACTACTTTCCAACATTGGCAATGACCTATTAAAACAGATCTTTTTATTTTAATTTTTTTTAATCAGTGGAGGTGGCTGTTTTGTATACATTGATTAAACATTTGTATTTCCTCTCTTATGAAGGGTACATTTCAACATCTGGTAATGAGCAGAAACAGGCCAGATTATTGGCAGCTGTAGGTGGCTGGGTTAGGTTGTAGGTGAGTGATAACATTACTAATAGTAGCTAAGTAACGTGACTGAGCACTTAGTGTGCCAGACCCCATGAGGGAGAGCCCTCTGGATCATGCACTAGACACGTTTCATGAAATGTCCTCACCCAAAGCCTCCTGGGTGGCACTGTAGAAGCACAGCATCCCTTCGGGATGTTAGGCAACTGGTGGGGGCCCAAAAGCAGCTTCCAACATGGAGTTCAGTTAAGTACTGGCAATGATCCTATCAGAGCTCATGCCTGTTCCCATGATGATCAATTCCATTTTGTTCTTATGCCTAAATATGGGCAGAAATAGCAGAGGACAAGGAGGAACTGGCTGCCTGCTTACCTTCCTGGAGAGTTCTGAGGAGGTGGATGGATGTGGGAAGTTTCAGTTCAGGTTAAGAAATACTACTAGATACCTCCTCTGGTAGAGGCACTGCTGTGTCACTCATAAGCACAAGTGGTAAGAATATTCTAATACAGAATATCAGAAAAACAGAAGCCACTCTAAGTATCTTCAAGCAGTAAGGAAATAATACAGGGAGATATATATATATATATATATATATATATATATATATATATATATATATATATATATATACACACACACACAGACATAATAAGTCCTTGGGGAGTGATAGCCAGGAAGGCCACTGCTTGCTCTCAGGATATCCAGACAGGTGTGAGTTAATGGGAAGCTGACAAGGAGAGGAGGAGGCTGTAGGCATTGCAGGGACACCACCAAAATACCTGCTCCAGAGTCCAGAGTGGGTGATTTCAATGAAAGTGCCTGGAAGCTGGTGGAAAAATCCTACCTCTGCCAGCCGACCGCTGACAAATATACGCCAGCCCGTGATTGCTTATGAGAAATATATCGTTTTTCCTTTCCTGCATCCTAAATTTTATGTGAATGACTTTCATTGGACCTCTGCCTGTCAGGGAGTCTGTGAAGCATGGGAATACGGGGTATCGCTGTCACACAGTTCTGTGACTTGGAGGTGATTCAGTAGAAACGAATGTGCTGAGAGGAGTACGCAGAGAGGGCATGGAACCTGAAAGACCCTTGCTGAACCCGAGAGCTTCCTGGAAGTGTAAAGTTTGACTTGAGGTTTTTTATTATTATTATTTTTTGGATGTCTGGGCCTTTGATATGGGGCTGTACTTACATATCCAGAAAGCAGATTGAACTGCATGGACAGACACATGAAGACAAGATTTAGATTTTCCTGCAAATATCTCTAGCTTCAGGGAAAGTTGGGATTAAGTGGGACAGGACTGGAGCCATGGAAACTAGAAATCCTGATGAAATCTGTTAGGGGCCTGGTCTCAGGTAGTGGAAATGGAGAGACAGGAGACATTTAACATGTATTTTGGAGGTGGAATTACAAGGACATAGAGATCAAATGGATGGGATCGGCGGGGGAGATATGAGAAGGGGAGAAGCTTACTGTGGACCCCTTCGTGGTTGGCTTGGATGAGTCAACAGTGATGCCATTGACTTGGAGCAGGAATAAAACATAAAGGGCCAGGTTTTGTGGGAAAGAGAGTGACTTATGTTCGGGACTTGTAGAGCTTGAAGTATTTGTGGAACATTCAAGTGACTTGACAAGTCAACAGTCAGGTCTGGGAACAAGTCTCCAATTTAGGCAGCAACAGGACTTCAGGTGCAGAATTGCTCGTCTACTGCATGGATGTGGAAATGAAAACCATGAGTGCCGATGAGATCAGTCAGGGAGGGCATGTAGAAGGTGAAGTCTGATTCAGAATTCGCTGTGGTGGGAGGGCATGTAGAAGGTGAAGTCTGATTCAGAATTCGCTGTGGTGGGAGGGTCCATTATAGGACTCACTGAATTACTGAGATTAAAAATGAGATGACTTTGTCTTCACCAAAATTTCGTAATAATCACTGATAGCTTTCTAAAATTGGACAATGTGCAAAGCATTATTGCATGCACTGCCCACTGCTAGCTTATGATTTTTATCTCTTTCACAGATGAGGAAACTGAAGCTCAGAGGATTTTAGGTCAGACAACCAGTAAATGGGTGAAGCGGTTCTGCCCAGCCCCTCCACCTCTTCTTTGTTTCTTCCTAAGTCATGTCATGACCTTCTGTCCCACACTTATGTTTTCTCATGGGTCAAATGCGTTACACCCCCCAGAATTTTGCAAAATCACTTTACAAAACACTGACAGTAACATGGGAATTGCTCCCCACTTATTACAGATAAATGCATCCAGAACTTCACCGATGGTCATAGGGTGAAAGTTGAATGTGCCCATTGTAATTACATCAGTGTTAGCAATAGCGTGAGTTGTTTGCTTAAAATGATTGGAAATTGTTTATTTTTCACGTGAAAGTGGAGGAGGTTGAGAATGATCATTGCAGAGTCTTCATGCAGAGACAAGCATGTGGCTTTCTTGAGCGCTCATAGTTTTCAGGGTCACTGTTACAGTGGTAGCTCGGAAAACAGGATGTTCGAAGTAAAATTAAAGATTAAATATTAAGTCTGAGGGTCTCAGAATCCACCTGTATACCTCCTTATTGTTGACCCTTTATCCTATCTTCAGTTGTAGCTGCTACATAGTTGAGAGTCTCAAAAACCTCTTCGGATTGTTTGACAAAATATCATAGAGTCTGCCCCGTGGATGGAGTTTTGGATGAAGTTATAGAAGCCTAAACTGCAAATAAAAAATAATCAGATCATTGGCTGTAAGATTCATCCAGTCCAACTTTCCATGTCTGGCGCTGGCCTTGTAAGCAGGACATGGAAGGTGCAATTGGGATCATCCCTTTGTTCCTTCAGTACATCAGTCAGCCTTGGGGCACAGAAAGTGTGCTACTGAGCCAGGCTTTTGAGCCATCAGAAATGTGCAGGTGGGCAGGGGAGGAAGGAAGCTATCAATATTGAGATCTACTCAGAGACAGGCATGGGCTCAGGGCTTTCAAATGCTATTTCATTTTGTTTTGTAACAACTCCAGAGGGATGTGAATATGCTGGAGTTGTCGGTAAGGAACTCAAGACCGGGAGGGATGAAGAGTCAAGGCTGCATAAGTGTCCAGCTATGAACGCAAGCTAATCAGCCTTTGAGGCGTGGGCTCTGCGACGTCCTCATGTTCCCCAGTGGCTCTCTCCAGGCCTTCATGTATGCCATGTCCACGCTGACAGCTGATAGGTGCCACACTCAGGCTGCAGAATCCAGTCCGCTCTGTGTCTCCCCACATCCTCATGGATGAGGTGTTCCTCCTAGAGCTCATTTATCTCCTTCTCTTCCTGCAAAACTTCCCCGTTTTCGAAGATCTGTTTCTAGATCTATTTTAAATGATCTATTTCTAAAATTCCTTAATATACTAAGTTTATTTTACTCGTTGTCAATAATATGGTCTCATTTTGCATTTAATTCATTTATTTGTCCATATATCCATTCTTTATTTATCCAGTTTTCATTGACTAAATTTTTTTGGGGGACTCTCAGATGTTATGAGCTGAGAATATAACATGAGAAAACACAGCCCATGGCTGCTGGAGACGTTTTGTAGCTGGGGAGACTCACATTACACACAGAATTATAATGGAATATAAGTGTTGTAATAATTCAGGAGATTGGCAGCATTAATTCTAGAGTTAAGCAGAAAGGTCAGAGATGGAGAGTGGTAAAAGCTTTGGAAACAGAGCTTTGAAATAAGGTGGAAAAGATGAGAAGGAGCTACCCTGGCCCCATTCCAGGTGGCTTAGGAGAACTCTGCATAGAGAATGCACAGAGCCCACAAGGTCAGGAAGCGCATGGAACAATCTCTTTTCTGTGTAACTGAAGCCTAAGTGTGCATGTGTTTGTCAGTGTGTGGTGTGTGTTTGTGTTTGTGCATGAATATATGTGTGTGTATGCATGTGTGTAGTTTGCATTTGTGAATGTGGTGTGTATATATGTGGGTGTATGTGTGTGTGTATGTGCTCATGTATGGTGTACGTGTGTGCATGCATGCATGCATGTAGTGTGGTTGTACATGTGTGCACATGTTTGTGTGTCTCTCTGTGTATGCAGTGTGTGTGTATATTGTGTATATGTGTATACATATGTGTATATGTGTATGCAGATGTGTGGTGTGTGTTTGTGTGTATGTCCATGTATATGTCATGTGTGTCTGTATGGGTGTGCACATGTTTGTGTGTTTATTCATATATATGTGTTTGTGTGTATGTATGTGATTCTATATGTATTTGTGTGTTTTTGTGTCTGTGTATCTACAGTGTGTGCATGTATCTGTGTGTACGTGTGTGTGGTATATGTTTGTGTATGCATATGTGTGTATGCATGTGTGTGGTGTGTGTGTCCATGTGTATAAATGTGTGTATGTATGTGCGTGGTGTTTGTGCATGTATGCATGTGTGTGTGTTTGTACATAAGTGTATGTGGTGTGTGTTTGTGTGTGTGCTTGTGTATATATGTTTGTATGCATGTATATGGTGCATGTTTGTGTGTATGTGTGTAGTGTATGTGTATGTGTGTGTGTGGTGTATGCTTGTACATGTGTATGTGTGTTCCTGTGTTTGTGTGTATATGTGTGTATGTGGTGTGTGTCTATACGTGTGCTGTGTTTGTGTATGTATGCCTGTGTTTGTGTGTATATATGTGTATGTGGTGTGCATTTATGCATGTGTTTCTGTGTGTGTGTGTGTGTCCATGTGTATGTGTGTGGTGTTTCTCCATGCATGCATGTGTTTGTATATACGTGCATGTGTGTATGTGGTGTGTGTATGTGTTTCTGTGTGTATGTGTGGTGGGTGTGTCCGTGTGTGTGTGTGGTGTTTGTGCGTGTATGCAATTGCTGGTGTGTATATATGGACATGTGTTTATGTGGTGTGTGTGTGTGTTCATGTGCTTCGTGCGTTTGTGTATGTATGTGGTATGTGCTCATGTATGGTATGTGTTTGTGTTGATGCGGCGTGTGGGGAAGAAGTGAGAGCTGAGGCCACCATCACGTTAACAGCTCTAACGTGGTCACACGCAGCCAGGAAAAGCCATGGAACGCGGCCATAAAATGAGTGGCTGCAGCTTTTCACCTTGCCTTGCTCGTGGGAGCAGAATATGTGTCCCAGTCCTTGCCTTGGCCCAGAGGCAAATGGGTGGAAGTGGCCGTGCTCTGAGCTTGCTTCAGCCTGCTGTCTCCTGCATCTCTGTTCTCCGGAGCCTCTGCCTTGCCCTGTGGAACAAAGCACTGTTAACTGCGTGGCTTAAAACAGCAGGAGTGTGCTCCCTCCCAGTCCTGGACACAAGAAGTTCAAATCAAGGCATCTGCAGGGCCTGCTCACTCACTGACGGGGGCACCCTTCTCTGGGTCCCTGCCTTCTGGCGTCAGTCCCGTCTCCGCCTTCGTCCTTACAGAGTGCTCTCCTTCCCGAGTGTCAGTCTCTCTCCTCTTCTGAGGACATCAATCGTTTTGGACCAGGGCCCACCCTAGTGACCTCCTAACTTGATGACACCTGCAAAGATCGTATTTCCAAATAAAGTCAGGTTCACAGGTACTTGGGGGTAGGGCTTTGACATATCCTTTTGGGGAACATTCTCGACCCATCATGGCTGACCCCTGGTTCAAGCAGGTGGGGCGGGGGGCGCTGAGGGAACTACCCGCAGCTGGAAGCAGAGCTGCTCTGTGAACCTGCCCAGGGCCTGTGTACACTCCTGAGTCTTGGGGCAATTCCTTATGCAGTGTCCCGGAGGGGAGGGAGGGACAGCTGGGAGGAAGAGGAGAGGAGGGTGAAACCCAGGAGGGAGCCTGTCTCCAGAGGCTGTGCGTGCGAGGGGCAGAGGCTGAGCTAGGGGAGTCACTGAGGGGCCTAGAGAAGAGGATGATGTAATGGGGTCTGTATTTAAAAATAATTCTGCTGACCCCCGGTTGGCAGGAGACATGGCTGGACCTGAGGCAGGCCCTCCGTTCTACCTTCAGTCCGATGGGGACCTGGGGCCCAGGGCACCTTTTGTCCCCTGACCCTCACAGATGGCCCCAGACATGTGCCCCCCATGCAGGAGAGCAAACGGTGGGGGGTGTCGCCTGGTTACAGTGATAAACTGCCTTTAGAAAGGGGACCTGAGCCTTCACAATGGTTAGCATTCTCCCTGGTAGGGACTCTAGGGGAGGCTGCCGCCTTCACAACCCCCCTATGCTGCATAATGATGGTAATTTTGCCCTTGAGGCTGTGAAGCCCTGACACAAATGAAGCCTTACTACCGGGAAAGGCTTGGCTCTGTGGTGTGCAGGTGCCCGCAGTGGCTGTTAGCAGTGATTTAGGCCGAGTGACAGGAGCAGGCTGGCTGAGCGGGGAGGGGCAGAGGTCCTCAAAAGGCACCCACTGACTTCATCATTTTGTTCTGAGAGGGCCCTGCATATCTCCAATGTCCCCCAAAACAACAAACGGGGGGGTCTGGTTACGTGTGTTCCGCGGATCCTGAAATAACTCATTCCGCGGGATTCATGGGGCACCTGCTTGTGCTAGGAGTAAGTGGCAGGTGGGGGTGGCAGGTGGATGAGCAGCGCCGGTGGGTACCCTGATGGCTGACACAGGCGGCCTCATGTTCCTGAAAGGCTCCGCAGAGGAGCGGAGGCCTGGCCTTCCTCGCGAGGGGTGGACCGGGACGGGTGGCCAGGCATCAGGAGCAGCAGAGGAGCCGTTCCCTGACACGCAGTGACTTGATCCATCCAGGACGCATCTGGGGCGCATCTCTGTGGCAGGATGGCTCTCTGCAGGGGGCAGTGGGCAGGGCTTCTGCAGAAACCCTGAGGAAGGCTTCCCCGGTGACTGGGAGCAGGAAGGGTGTCTGTGTGTGCTCTGGGGCTGGCCTCTGCTATTGACACTTGCTGTGAAGCGGGGCTCCCGCAGTGTCAGTGCAGCTGGACCTGGCCTTCCAGAGCAAGAGTGCAGGCTGTCAGAGCCCGGGAGCTGCGCAGGATGGGCACCTCAGGTGTTCCAGGAAGGGCAGCCACACGGGGGTGGGAAAGGCCGGGCTGGGCCAGGAGGACCCTGCCCCAAGACGCCCCTCCTGTGCTGCGCAGTCTTGGTGGCTGCAGATTCCCACTTACCTGTGATTTGGGGTGACTTCCTCACCTGTGAAGGAGGGGCTGCTGAGAGCACCGGCCTCTCCAGCCCTGTCGGCGAGGTCCCTGCCTCACGCTTCCACTTAGGAGGCTCTGGCCCAGAAATGTTATAGAGGGGAATGACACTGACATCCAATACATGATGATTGATGCATGGACCCTGCTGCCTGCCCCAGCTGCTGGAGGGAGGGAAGCTGCAGGAAGGAGCTGGGGCTGTCCAGGGTCAGGGCAGCTGCACCATAGCAGGACCAGGGGCCTCTCACGGCGGCTGGACCATGGCCGGGGCTGCCCTAGGCAAGCAGGTAGACCAGGGATCAGCATGAGGACTGGACCCTCACAACAGGGACGGACTCTTCCATTCATTCCAGAGCTGCTGACCCCTGTGGCTCTGCAGGGCCCAGGTGTGACCGCAGCTCCTGAGGTGAGCACGACCCAGGCTCTGGCAGAGCTCCATGGCACTGGGAGGCAGAGTCGCATGTGGGCATCTGTGTCAGGTTCTCTGTGGCCTGCTTGCCTGGGGAAGCTCTGAATCACGTCTGTTGTTCCAGAACAATCACTAATCACAACCAGCCTGCCCTTCCGTCCACTCCCAAAAGCATCCCAGGCAACTGAAATGAGGGGACGGGAGCCTGGCAGTGTCCACCCGGCCTGACCCTGCAGGGCCCCACAGCCAAGGGGCCTGGGCAGTTTCCAGCAGGGAAGCAAAAAGAAAAAAAGAAGGAGGGGGAGGGGGGAAGGGCAGGAAGGAAGGGGGAGCCTTCAGGAAAGACCCTCAGTGTGGAGGAGGACTCTGAGCGGCCAATGGGCTTGCAGTTTCCCTTAGGTGGTGGAGGGGGTCTAGGGGAGGCCAGGCCTGCACCTGTCTCCAGGCTCAGCAACTCCCATGCTGTGGAGGGGGCAGGCAGATGGTAGTTGCACAGGTGCAGAGACACCAGACCACTGACCTTTACTGACCTCCTCCACCCTGGGTGGGACAGCTTTGGGGAGTGAAAGGGCGGTGCCTGCCTTGACCAGGCCAGGAAGCCCCTGCTTGAAAGGGCTGAGCCTTGGAGGCTTCCCTGCAGTTCTCTCTCCGTCCCCTCCCTTCCTGACTTCCCTTCCCCCACAGGCCCTCCCCTAGTCCTACTCTCCCACCTCCCTCCCTGGGTCCCCTTCCCCGCAGTCCATCCCTACAGTCCTCCCTCTCCTGCTCTCCCTCCCTGGCTTCCCTTCCCCCCATGCCCTCACCAAGTCCTCCCTCCCTCCCCTCCCTCCCTGGCTTCCTTCCCCCACCCAGGCCCTCTCAACAGTCCTCCCTCCCTCCCTGGCTCCCCATCACCCCCAGGCCCTCCCCTCTCCCTCCTCTCTCCTTGGCCTTGCTCAGCTCCTGGTGAGGCTGGGCGCCTGGCTGCTAGTCTTCTGTGAACAGCTGGTGTCTCCCCAGCTGCCCCTGCAGTCCGTCTCTTTTCCATTCTCCCTGCCTCTTAGGATTCCTGTCAGCCTGAGCCCAGGACCACAGTGGGGAGAGAGAGAGGGGATGGGAGAGGGAGGTGGGGGACGGGGGGAGATAAAGTGTGCCGCAGGGGAGGAGACACATGGACTTGTGCTGGGCTCACAGCTTCCTAAGCAAAAAACAGCAAAGACCACTCCCAGCCTCCTCCAACCACAGGGCGGCTGTGCTGGTGGGAAAGGTGGTGTGTGTGTCTATGTGTGTGCATGTGGGGTACATGCTTGTGGCGTGCACTCATGTGGCATGCACTCATGGCATGTGTGATACGGTGTGTGTAGTGTGTGGTGTCTGTGGTCTGTGTATGGTTTGTGTGTGTGTGTGATGTGCTGTGGTATGTATGGTATATGTGTGTATGTTTGTGTGTGATTTGCTATGGTGTGGTGTGTATCGTTTGTGCGTGTGGTTTGCTCCTTTGTGGTGTATATGGTTTGTGTTTGTGCGTGTGGTGTGCTCTGCTGTAGTGTGTATGGTTTTTGTGTGTGTGTGTGTGCTGTGCTGTGGTGTGTATAGTTTGTGTTTGTGTGTGTGCTGTGCTGTGGTGTGTATGGTTTGTGTTTGTGTGTGTGTGCTGTGCTATGGTGTGTATGGTTTGTGTGTGTGTGTTGTGCTATGGCGTGTATGGTCTGCGTGTGTCTGTGTGCTGTGCTGTGGTATGTATGGTTTGTGTTTGTGTGTGTGCTGTGCTGTGGTGTGCATAGTTTGTGTTTGTGTGTGTGCTGTGGTGTGTATAGTTTGTGTTTGTGTGTGTGCTGTGCTGTGGTGTGCATAGTTTGTGTTTGTGTGTGTGCCGTGCTATGGTGTGTATGGTTTGTGTGTGTGTTCTGTGCCATGGTGTGTATGGTTTGTGTGTGTGTGTGTGCTGTGCTGTGGTGTGTATGGTTTGTGTGTGTGCTGTGCTCTGGTGGGTATGGTTTGTGTGTGTGTGTGCTGTGCTGTGGTGTGTATGGTTTGTGTGTGTGCTGTGCTGTGGTGTGTATGATGTGTGTGTGTGTATGTATATGTGGCATGCTGTGGTGTGTGTGTGTCCCCAGCTGCACAGGGTTGTCACACAGAGCCCAAGTGCCCTGGTCCCTGTGTTCTTTGTAATCACAGCCATGGCATCTGAGTGTGGCTGGGAGGGAGGCCACCTGCCAGCCCCGGGGGCTGGCAGAGACATTTGCTGGCATCTGTGTCCTTTGGTCTAAGGCTGGCCAGGGGTGGCCCTGCAGGGAGGGAGCTGGACGAAAGACAGGCTCTCACTCTCCCTTCTCTACTTCCTTCTGATGTGCCTCATTGTCCGCCCACACCCTCAGGCCCCAGCAGTCAAAGACGGGGTCCAGGGACAGACCCTCTCTGCAAAGCAGGAGCAATGATTCTGGGTGTGTCTGCCTCACAGGGCTGTGATATGCAAATGTACTTTTTGCATATATTTCCCTTGGCAAATGCGCACTGAGGGCCACTGGGGGCTGGAGATACAGAGATGGGCAAGACAAGGTCTCTGCCGCCAGAGGGTGAGAGTTAATGTGGGAAGGGGCAGACAGCCAGACAGTGGCAACACCCATGAAAAATGAGGCCAGAGGGCACAGGGTCAGCTGACGCACCCCCACCAGCAGAGGAGATGGCAGCAGACGGGAGATGCTGGCCCAATCGTGTGTGTGGAAAGAGGGAGAAGGCTGGGCCGGAAGAGAACAACACCCACGCCTGGACGGATCCGCGGCACCTTCATGAGGCTCATGGGGACAGGGACAGTCAGGCCTGCTGTCCACATGGCTGGGAGCCACCCACACAGCCCTCGCCTGGCTCTGCCTCCAGGTGACGCTGGCTATTCCTGGGAAAGGCCACCCTGCCTCCCTGGGCTGCTGCACCTGCCTCATGGACATAAAGGGCTCCACCTGCCTGACTCACTTCCAATGTGGTATGACCTTAAATAACAGGAGAAGGAGGAGGAGAGCTTTGAAAACTGAGCCTGGTGCTTGTGTCTGTTCCCACCACCAGGCAGCTGGTGTTGTTGGCTCAAAACCTGGGCCAAGCCTAGAGCCCTGCGTGACCCTGTGCCCATCACTGTCCCTGAGCTGGAGTCCTGGCTGGTCTCTGCCTGCATTGGTCACCTGTGGGAACCCAGCAAACATCCCTTCTGGCAGCAGCAGGTTCCTGCAGCTTTATCTTGGCTCAGCAGGCCAGCCCAGGCTGCCCCCCGCGCCTTTCTCTCAGCAGCTCTGTGGTGAAGCTGCCAACTTGGATGATGTCCAGGGGCTAGGCGTCCCTTGAAGAGGCCTCCCCAGCAAGCCTCAGCCTGCAGGCATCTGTGAGGGAAAAAGGGCTCAGGTAACAGAAGCCCCCTGTGTCCTTCAGAAATGGCAGCGAGCAGGGGCGTATGGGAAGGATTACGCAGTGAGGAAGGGGGAACAGACGGGGCTTTCTCCAAGAGGGGCAAAGACAGCTGTTGAAAAATTCAGAGGCTCCTGTTCAGGGCTGGAGGAAGAAAACCTAACCACGTCCCCATCACAGTGCTTCCGATGCCTCCTCCTCCTGATTCGATGCTATTTTACCTTCCCTAGTGGGCAAGAGGTGATTATAAGGGAGCCAACGTAGTGGCTGGCATTTCAGCGAGGATCCCAAGGCAACAGCACCAGAATCACAAGTCAGGACGGATCCCAGATCCCAGCAGCGCCGAGCCCATGCAGATGGAGCAGCCTTGCTAGGAACGAGTCGTTTCCAGCTAACACGCTTCCCGTTTTGGAGACAGTTCTGGGTGTAGAAGTTGAGAGAAAACCTCCCAGGGAAGGATCCTGTCAGAGAGGAGGGCCGTGGCCACCCCAGGCTGGGTCTTGCCATCTTGTCCTTTCCCTGGGGATTCTCTTGCTTTGAATTTTGCTGCCACCATCTAGAGAGGAAAAGGAGAGAAAAAAGAAAGGCAATAAGAAATGAATTTTAAAAAGGGTTGGCCTCTGGAGGTTTTTATTTTTGACTTGTACTCAAAGTGAGGATGATGGATCAAATCTTTCAAAACCTGGGCGAGTTCCTCTCCTGAGCTGTGCTGGTGCCTTATTTCTGGTGCTGGTCGTGGTAGGATCCACAGTCATCACATGGAGTGCATTCTAGTGGACAGGGACCAGCAACATTGTGTGTGTACGCACATGTGTGTGTGGGGGACAGACAGACACAGAGGCAGAGACAGGTAGAGAGAATGTCCCAGCCATGCAGCGTCCACCTCAGCGCACGGCAGGAGAGTGCATGCCTGCAGCGAGGCAGCACAGACATGGACAGGCATAGGCACGCTCGGGACCAGCTGGCTTCATCTCTGTCATGCGTCTGATAGGTGTGACTTGCATGATGCCAAGTGTGGGTCCAACGTAGAGACATCCATACCACAGCCTCTACACAAAAGGCAGCTACTCCATTTGATGTCTGCTCAACGATTCCAGGAAACATTGGCTGCACTGTTGACTGCGGTGGTCTGAGGTTGATATGGTTTGGCTCTGTGTCCCCACACAAATCTCACCTTGGATTGTAATAATCCCCTCGTGTCAGAGTGGGACCAGGTGGAGGTAATTCAATCATGGTGATGGTTCCCCCATGCTGTTTTCGTGATAGTGAGTGAGTTCTCACGAGATCTGATGGTTTTATAAGCGTCTGGCATTTTCCCTGCTGGCTCTTATCCTCTCTCCTGCTGTCCTGTGAAGAGGTGCCTTCCTCCATGATTATAAGTTTCCTGAGGTCTCCCAGCCATGTGGAACTGTGAGTCAATTAAACCTCTTTTCTTTACAAATTACCATTCTGTGGTATTTCTTCATAGCAGTGTAGAAACACACTAACATAGAGACGTTTTCATCTGGAAGCAGAACCAGACCGGGTTTGACTGGCTGCTGAGCTCAGCCTCTGTCTCAGGTGGGGCTCTGCTGTCCCCCAGGCCCTGCATGTACTGGACTCCCAGAGCCTGCTGTAGGTGGAAGGAATGCGGGAATTAACTGCCCTGCTGCTTTTCCCTGGCATCCTAGAGCTCAGTCTGGAAAGGTTAGAGACAGAGAGGCAGAGGATGGTCTTGGCATATTTGGGGGTTTAAAATGCAATATTTTATTTGTAGCCAAGATAAGACCTTGACAGCTATTGAGGTCCAAGAGGCTTGATTTGGGCTTCACTCCTCACACTCTGCCTTGCCTGGCCTCTTCCCTCACGCCTCTTTTTGCTCCCTGCAGGACTCTTCTGCCCTAACTTCCCCATGTCTTTGCTCTGGTCAAGGAGAGCATTTGCCTTGCCACTATTACATCTGCATGGAAGGTAAAGGCATGATGTGTCTCCTTGTAGCAGGATTGGGCCTGGATTCTCACTGTGGAATGGAAAATCTTGCCCCCTGGTGGAAGCTTTCAACCAGGTAAGCCACTATATTTGACATTGAGGATAGGGTACATCCTGAAACCCTGATGCAGAGTCTGTGGGTGAAGACCCAGTGGTCTACTTGGAAGGGCCTCTGGAAGTTTCCTGAAGAGGCGGTGGCTCTGTGCACGTTTCTCTGTGTGTCTGTGAGCATGCGGAGAGGCTCTATGCAAACGAGTGCTTGCTTTGCACTCCCCTGTATGTACACGCGCACACTGAGCTCGCACGCTGCACCTGCGGCAACTTGGAGCACTCCATTTCCCATAGAGACTCTTGCCCTGAGTGTGGAAGTGTTGGTGGCCTTACCGGGTCTCTGAAGTTTCCTAAACTAACTAGGATATTCCACTGCATTTTAAGCAAAGACTAAGGGGGCAGACTAAGTGAAGACTAAGGGGGCCCCCTCCCTGCTCTAGGATCTGAGGCCACATCTTCATTCATCTGAGGATGCATCTATATAGAGTGATTTTTTCCCCTTGGAACATAGCCCTTAAGGAGGGAATGACTCTTGGCATGCTCTCCTTAGCCTGTGATTTTAGGCAGGGTCTTAACTAGACTAACCAGGATAACAATGACCAGACTTCAGGCTTCTTGAAAAGCTCAGGGAGACATCTGCATGTCTGTCTCTTCCCACTCTTGGTGTAAAATGGCCCACTTCCCAAACCCTACCACGAGCCTTAGGGAGTGCGATGAAACATTGTGTTTTTATAAATACATAAAATAACTCTCTTATTCCGATCATGCTGCTATAACAAAATATCTTAGACCAAGTAATTTGTAAATAAGAAATTCATTTCTCACAATTCTGGAGGCTGGGAAGTTCAAGATCAAGGTGCTGGCAGCTTCGGTGTCCAGTGAGGCTCCTCTTTGCTTCCAAGATGACACCTTGTTGCAGTGTCTTCCCATGGCTTAAGGCACAATGGAGCAATGGCAGAATGGCTGCACATTATGCACTCACAGGGCAGAAGAGGCAAAAGGACTAGGAAGGTCTCTGAAGCATCTTTCTTAGGGCATTAGTCTCATTCTTGTCAGTGGAGCCCTCAGGGCCTAATCACCTCCCTAAGGACACACCTCTTAATACCATCAAATTGGGATTTAAATCTCAACATATAAGTTTTGGAGATATACGTACATTCAAACTATAGCATTCTGTCCCGAACCCTCCTAATTCATGTCTTCACATACAAAATACATTCGTTCCATCTCAACATCCTTAAAAGTTTTAATTAATTTCAGCAGCAATGCAAAAGTCTAAAGTCTCACCTGAATCAGATACTGGTGAGACTCAAAGGTGGTTTGCGTCTTGAGGCAAATTCATCATCTATGAGCTGGTGAAATGAAACGTTTTATGTGCTTTCAAAATACAGTTGTGGGGCACGTGTAGTACAGACATTTGTATTCCACAGGGCAAAAATAGGGAAGAAGAAAGGCCTTAAAGATCAGGAATCAACATCGGCTCAATGCTCTGCCCTCCGGGCTCAATGGGGCTTGGATCCCACCTTCCAGGCACCCTGGGGTGCAGGGCCCAATCCACAGTTTTGTCACACAGGAGTTGGGTGCTGAAGGCTCCGGGCAGCCCCACTCCCATGGCTTTGAGCAGCCTTACGCCCATGGCCTCACTGGGCGTTGCCCTAGTGGGGGCTCCCTGCAGCTGCCCTGTCCCAGACACCCCTCTGCCTGGGTCATGTTACTCTCTAGAACCCTCTAGAACAATCTAGGTGGAGGTAGTCATGCTCTCATAGCCTTTCTGCACAAACTACATTCCCCTCCAGCCCACCAGAGCCACACCTGGGACCGCCGAGCAGCTTGGTGTCTGAGTGCGGGGAGTAGAGCTCAGATGTGTGACAGGGCTAGGTGGCTGTGGCCTCTCCTTTGATGCCATGCCACTCTTCAGGCTCTGAAACTCCTTTGAGGTCATTCTTCCGTGGTCATGGACACTAGGTTCTGGCTAATCTCCCCATTGTCTTCATGAATGGCACCTGTCTTCTGCTGAGATGGCAGATTCATGCTAATTTCCATATCAAAGGTCTCTTGGCCACACCCTTGTTCTTTCCCAAACAGGCTTTCTTGTGTTTCCCAATATGGATAGGCTGAGAATTTTCCTAATTTTTAAGCTCTGCTTCCTTTTGGATTACCATCTCTGTCTTTAAATTGCTTCACTCTTCTCCCATCTCACTATGAGGAGTCAAGAGGAACCGGGTGCTCCTGCAGCCCTCTGCTCAGCCAAATATCCACTTCCATTGTTTGGGGGTTTCATCTTCCATAAAACACCTGACACAAACACAATCCAGCCAAGTTATTCACCATTTTATAACAAGGATGGCCTTTCCTGTGTCATCCTCATTTGTATTTCATTCTCAAACGTTCCTCATTTCCATTTGAGAGCTCACCAGAAAGGCCTTTATCATCCATATTTCTACCAACATTCTGTTCATGACCACTTAGATATTCCATAAGGCGGAGGCTCTCCCTGCAGCTCTCCTCTGTCATTTCTGAGCCTTTACTGGAATCACCTTTAAAACCCACTTCATGGTGATTTGGTTCCCCAGCCAAGGGGAAGGGAGGTTTCTTGGACTTCTTTTTTTGAGGTCATTAACCTTACTCATGAGGGCTCTGCTTCCATGACCTAATCAACTTCCCAAATCTTCCAGATACCATCACCTTGGGGTTAGGATTTTAACATAGAAATTTAGGAGGCAGGCACAAGCTTGTAGACTGTAGCAACCACTTTTGTAGGCAAGTTGGTCTTGGGTCGGCGTCCATCTCCTCCACAACATACCCGTGCCTCCAAGTACATTCCAGTTAAAGCATTTCTTAAAAATTCACTTTATTCATTTTCTCAGGAATGAATTTGATTTACAATTTTCAGTGCCCTGTAAGCCCTCAGTGCAGTTGGGCTGCTGGAGAGGTGTGGGCTGTCAGCTGCAGTACTGTGGCCTTGGCATGTCATAATACCAATTTTCAAATGGTTTTGCTGAAGCAGACTTGTCATACCTTATGTTAAGTACTGACCTCCATACATTGGAGTGGTATGTCCGGATCAAAGGGAATCCAGTTGGCATGATTTTATTCGGTTAGGTTGTGTTCACTAAATTGCTATTTGCAAGAATTGTCTGACATCCAGAAAGCCACTGAAGGGCTTCAGGCTTTTACATTTCACAGCGTGTCATGCTAAGAACAGACGCAATTGGGATTTCAGAATCGGCAATACTGGTTTTAAGGCTGAGACAGATAGCATTCCGTATACTGTTACGTATATGATACAGACTTTTCCTGACTTCTGCGGGGGACTTCCCTCTTCCATATGCCTTCTCTGTGGGCATCTGGTGAGTCTGACTCAGATTTCAGGTAGGCGCGGCTGCACCTGCCGACTCAACACAGACTGTGTAGGCAGGCCCCGGATGACACTGTCTGTGGGAGACCCCCAGGTCTATTTCTAAGCAGTGTGCTCCATCCCAGCTTCCCACACCCGGTGGCTCCATGGCAGTTCTGGAGCAGCCACTGTCTCTCAGGGAGCCGGGAATCCAGGATGCCCGCTCTGCAGGCTGAGTGCTGTCTGCCTGGTTCACTGACTCCATACCCAGGACCCACAGCCAGCCGTGGTCGGGTGATGCCCTCCACATTCCAATACCTGGAAGCAGCAATTCCTGTGAGCACTGTGCCTTTTATGGTAAGACTTTAGGGAAATAACAGCAGAATGAGCAGAGAATGATGGCACCCCCTTCCACATGCTTTTTACTGAATGTGGACTGGAACGTGGGGGGCCCTGCTGGCCTCCATTTTGCAGGCCTCTGGTGGGAGCCTCTGAGAAGAATTGGTCAACAACAACAACAAGAAAGTATGTTTTGAAGTTGGATTCTCTTGTGCTGTGCAGCCTCCTCCTCTGGACTTAAAAATGGCCATACTGGTATCAGCCATCGGTCTGCGAAGGGCTAAAGGTCCGGGGCACCTGCTGAGTGTGGCTGTACACCAAGTCCTCTCTCAACTCGCTCTTAGGACAAATGCTGGTGCTTCTCAGGCTGGATCTGACTGGCTTCTGGCTTTCACAGAACCGGAATAAGCCGGAATGAGCCGGAATGGCCTCTAGAGATGCTCTGAGGTCGGCAGGCCAGACCATTCCTCCTGGAGCCTCTGCTTCACCGAATTCTGATGGATCCCTGCCCACTCTGCTTGGCCTGTGCCCCTCCTGGCACCATCTGCCTGAGCCTGGGCTGGCGCTCTGTCAGCCTTTGCAACACAGCTATGAGACTTGGAAAGCTGGAGTTTGGTTTAGCAGAGAAATGCATTTGAAATCTTCCCTCTAGGCCCCCCTCTTTCTGTTCCCCCTCCTCACCTCCCTCCAGGACCAATTTATCTGCCAGTCCAGCCTCCAAGAGGAGCTGGGGCCAAGTTGGAGACCTGCTTATGCTTGTCAGCCTCTGTGGCCAGATGACAAGAGAGCAGCCCACAGCTGGGAGAGGACTGGGAAGTCCCCGTGTGCAGAGCGTGCTTAACAGGGGGGCGGGCAGGTCAGAAGCTTCCCCCTGGCTGCAAAGGAGGTGTGGAGGACAGGTATGCCCTGTCCCTGAGGGAGACACTAAGCCTTGGCATGTGTTTATGTGAGCATGCATGTCTGGGTGCATGGATGTGCATTTGTGTGTGCATGTGTGTGCACATGTGCCTGCGTGTACACATTCTGGTGTGGTAGAGAAAGAGCTCAAGGTGGCATCAGGTACTCTCGGGCTGTCTGGAGTCTGCACAGGTGTCTCTGCCTCGGCCTTGGCATGTACAGTCGGTTTGAAGCTCTGCTGCTCGCCACGGCCCAGGGGAGCTATGCCTGTCACATTGGAGTGTGCACAGCTGTAGCAGTAGCCTGGCCAGTGCCTGGCAGGAGAGGCGACCCTTGCTCTGGAGTCCTCAGCTGCTGGCAAGAGGCAGTGAGTGTATCCATCCTTCCATCTATCCATCCATCCATCCATCCATCCATCCATCCATCCACCCTCATGATTCTCTAGCCTGACCTTCTGTGGGTCAGATCTCCAGACTGTGGGGATGCGGGAGAAGATGAATAGAAAAGGTGTGTTTTTCGCACTCAGAGGATGAAAGAGTGCCCAGGCCGGAAAGGAGTGCAAAAGTCACCCAGTCCCCACACCACTGGGTGTTGCATCCTAGGACGGTTTCTGTAGTATTAGGTATCACTGTCCACACGCCTCGTGGGGCAGTTGGTCCTTGTGGCCTCCCCATGATCACTGTCATCCAGTTCGGCCCTGTCTTCCCCGACCTCTTCTCTCTCTCTCTCTTTCTTTCTTTCCCTCTCTCTCTCTCTCAGCTCCCTGGAGTTCCATTCTTGGCCTCTTTGCACCTGCGCACAGTCCCTGGTGGTGCTGCACCCTCACAAGGGCTCCACGCCTATTTCTAGCTCCTGCCTTCTCTGCAGAGTTCCAGGCCTGTGTTTGGCTCTATCTACTTGGAAGACTCACAGGTTCTTCAAAACCAACCAACGTGAAGCCAGTTTGTCCTGACTTTTACCCCAAACCTGATGACTGCTTCATCCCCTGTCTTGAGAAGTCTCCACTGCCCACCCATTGTCTAAACCAGGTACCCAGAAGTCCTTCTTGATGACTGCCCATCACCTGCCCGGGGTCCTATCCAGCAGTGCATCCTAGTGCCCCTCCCACTGTACCCCGGCTGTAGTTCAGGATTTGCTCAGCTCTGGTCTTGCTGCTCCGAAGCCCCCACTGGCCACTCAGCCCTGCCATAAGGCCCATCATGCAGCTCCCCTTCCCTCTAACCTGCTTCAAGTCCATTCCCCAAACTGCCACAAGGCCCCTTCTCCTTGAGCCAATAGAACTCATTCTCTCCCCGGGTGAACACACACCAGGGCTCTGCATGCCTTCTTACAACAAACTGCGTGGTGGGCGCACCAGCCTTCCCCATCTGACTCTGTGTGCTGCCCACCTGGTGGTTGTGCTGGAGGTTTTGAAGAGTGAGACTTTGGCCCCAGGTCTCCTGCCTGAGAGCTGCGTAAACCTAGAGCCTTGTCTCACAGAGCCCCTGTTCCCACAGCATTAAAGTGGAGATGACAGAGTCCCTCCTGGAGAGCCGGTCTAGCCATTCAGTGAGTCAGCAGCACAGCTCCTCCAGCACGCAGAGAACAGCGGTCCATGGAGGGAGGGCGTGAGCCTGGGGTTTTACTGAGGAAGGATGTAAGTCTGGGTTTAACTAAGAGAGGGCGTGAGCCTGGGCTTCGCTGAGGGAGGGCATGAGCCTGGGGTTCCCTGAGGGAGGGTATGAGCCTGGGGTTCCCTGAGGGAGGGCCTGAGCCTGGGCTTCACTGAGGGAGGGCGTGAGCCTGGGGTTATACTGAGGAAGGATGTGAGTCTGGGGTTAACTAAGAGAGGGCGTGAGCCTGGGCTTCGCTAAGGGAGGGCGTGAGCCTGGGGTTCCCTGAGGGAGGGCCTGAGCCTGGGCTTCACTGAGGGAGGGCGTGAACCTGGGGTTATACTGAGTGAGGGTGTGAGTCTGGGGTTCACTGAGTGAGGGTGTGAGTCTGGGGTCTTAGTGAGGGTGTGATCCTAGGGGTTCACTGAAGGAGGGTGTGAACCTGGGGTTATACTAAGGAAGGGTGTGAGTCTGGGTTTCACTGAGGGAGGGCGTGAGTCTGGGGTTCACTGAGGGAGGGTGTGATCCTGTGGTTCACTGAGTGAGTGTGTGAGTCTGGGATTCACTGATGGAGGGTGTGAGTCTGGGGTTCACTGAGGGAGGGCATGAGTCTGGGGTTCACTGAGGGAGGGTGTGAGTCGGGTTCACTGAGGGAGGGTGTGAGCCTGGGGTTCACTGAGGGAGGGTGTGAGTCTGGGATTCACTGATGAAGGATGTGACCCTGGGGTCCACTGAGTGAGGGTGTGAGTCTGGGGTTATACTGAGTGAGGGTGTGATCCTGGGGTTCACTGAGGGAGGGTGTGAGTCTGGGGTTCACTGAGGGAGGGTGTGAGCCTGGGGTTCACTAAGGGAGGGTGTGAGCCTGGGGTCCACGGAGGGAGGGTATGATCCTGGGGTTCACTGAGTGGGGGTGTGAGCCTGGGGTTCACTGAGGGAGGGTGTGAGTCTGGGGTTCACTGAGGGAGGGTGTGAATCTTGGGTTTTACTGAGAGTGTGTGAAGCTGGGGGTTCACTGAGGGAGGGCATGAACCTGGGATTATACTGAGGGAGGGTGTGAGTCTTGGGTTATACTGAAGGAGGGTGTGAACCTGGGGTTTTACTGAGGGAGAGTGTGAGTCTGGGTTTTGAACCTGGAGGTCCTCTGAGGAGGAGATGAACCTTGCTTTCCTTTTCTTTCTGCCCTCAGAGTGGGTTTTTCAGTCCCTGAAGCTGCTGCTCTGCCCACTCAGGAAGGTGAGGAAGGCAGACGACAGCGTACATCCAGCCTCTGCTCTGTGAGTGTCTGTATGTGTGTCTTGTGTGTCCGCGTGTTTGTGGGTGTGCATCGGGGCAGTGAAGGGTAGCACTGAGCAGCTGCTGGCAACTGGGCCTCACCTGCAGCCCTGCTTTTTTATTTGTGTGGCCCATTGGATCCCAGCTGCCTTCTGTTTTATCCCTGGCTTTATGGGGGCCATCTTCCCAGCTGCCTCCCATTCCATCCTTGGCTCTAAGGGGACATCTTCCCAGCTGCCTCCTATTCCATCCTTGGCTCTAAGGGGCCATCTTCCCAGCTGCCTCCCATTCCATCCTTTGCTCTAAGGGGCCATCTTCCCAGCTGCCTCCTGTTCCATCCTTGGCTCTGTGGGGCCAATCTTCCCAGCTGCTTCCAGTTCCAACCTTTGCTCTATGGAGCCATCTTCCCAGCTGCCTCCTGTTTTGTCCTTGGGTCTATGGGGCTGTCTTCCCAGCTGCCTCCCATTCTATCCTTGGCTCTATGGGGCCATCTTCCCAGCTGTCTCCAGTTCCATCCTTTGCTCTATGGGGCCAGATTTCCAGCTGCCTCCTGTTTTGTCCTTGGCTCTATGGGGCCATCTTCCCAGCTGCCTTGAGTTCTAACCCTGCCTCTATGGTGGCCATCTTCCTCTGTATCCCATTCCACCCTTGGCTCTATGGGGCCATCTTCCCAGCTGCTTCCAGTTCCATCCTTTGCTCTATGGAGCCATCTTCCCAGCTGCCTCCTGTTCCATCCTTGGCTCTATGGGGCCATCTTCCCAGCTGCCTCCTGTTCCATCCTTGGCTCTATGGGGTCATCCTCCCAGACACCTCCAGTTTCACCGTTGGCTCTATGGGGCCATCTTTCCAGCTTCCCCCCGTTCCACCCTTGCCATTGTGTCCTTATTGGGTCATTTGTCAACAGCATCTGCTTAGCATCAAGCAGTGGTCCTGGATCCTCTCAGGTGTGGCCCTTGTAGTGATGGACATGATCAGTGCATGTAGGGAGTGGCCAGTGATCACATGGTCACATGGAGGTGCTACCCTCACTGTTCTAGGAAGGATACACTTGGGTTCTGTGGGCCATGGAGGTCGTGCCAGGCTCTGAGCCAGGGTCATGGAACTGAGAGCCACAGGACAGATTTGAGTCAATTGGTTTATCAGGAGCAGTAACAGTGACTCACAGAGGGGCTGCCTCCAAGGGCCTTGTACAAACAGCACCCCATTTCCAGGACCCACAGAGGCCCATGTGGCTGCAAGGGTGAAATGGGGTGGGACGGACCCTGCATGTGCCCTACCCACCCCTGCCAGACCACACATTTTTTTTTTTTTTGTATTTAAGAGGAAGAGGAGGAAGACCGAAGGGGGAGAGAGAAAAACAGAGGCAGAGAGGAGGAAAGAGCAGTGAAGGCTGTGACCAGATTCTCCTGAGGGACATGAACCACCTGACTGGGTTCTCTAATGTGGGCACCTGCCGCTGGCTTGTGTGTTTGGACTTCTGCTTCCGGTGGCATCTTCTCTGGCTGGCTGGTATCTTCCGAATGCTGACTTCTGTGGACTGAGAGGTCTTGCACCCCAGTTTCCCCTTCCCAAGGAAGTGACAAGGGAGAACTGGGCTTTGCCTCTGTCTCTGAGGGCTCCGAACACCCAGGCCACCCTTAGCCACCCCTGTCTGAGCCACTGCTGCCAGGAAGAACCCCAAGCCAATTCTTGCTGCCATTCTGTCTCCCTCCCCAGGAGTGCTGGCCACAATGTCTCTACCTGTTTGGTAGCCCAGTCTCCTTTATCAATGTCCATCTACACTAGCTGGTTTGAGGGCTTCTTCTGGATGTTCTGCCTGGGGGCGCAGCAGGCAGAAGGGAGGGCAGCTGGTGTCCAGAGCCCCCCTAGGCAGGCCAGCCTGCTGTGCCAGCACGGGTCCCCTCCAGGGCCTGTGCCCTTCTGGGCAGCCTCATTGCTCAATGGCCACCCACCTCCCCAAGGCCAAGAAAGCAACTGCCCTTCCACGGCCTGGGGTTCACTGAGTGAGGGTGTGAGCCTGGCACCCCCATCCAGTCTTCTTTTCAGTATGTCCAAAAAATTAAGTCATCTCATCATTGATATGCAATGTACGTTGGTGGGGGCATCTTTTAAAACGGAAATGAGAGTAATATGATAAGGAAAGACAGACACAGGCCCAGCCCCTGCTCCCATTAGCAACTCCCATGAACGCAGCACAGCTGCAGGAGCTGGTCCGGCTGCTGCATCCTCTCCCCGCTGCAGCTGAGGGCGTTCTGAGTGAGAAATTAATTCCTCATCGGAATTGTGTCTGAATTTAGCAGATAATAATTGTAGAGCTTTAAACTGACATTTTAAGAATGACCACTGTAATTCTGGCAAGCAACAGTGGATTCCATAAATGATGGAGATTCTAAGAACAGGATTGATTTCCACAGGCCAGGGTCGTTGATGCCCTTTGGAATGGAGAGCTGTGAAGGGGAATGCCTAGGCCTCACAGAGGAGGCTCGTGACCCGGACAGGTGTGGGACTAGGGGCCATGTCTGTAGCTCCCCTGCCACGGAGCAGAATCTGCCTCTCCATAAGCGTTAAGCTCTGGGGACTGTGACATCCACGCTGGGCCTGGCTCCTGCCTTCCGCCTCCTGCCCAGCCCCTGCCAGCAGCACATGGTGGAGACCGGTTGCCCAAAGCTCTTGTTCTCAGATGTGGGCAGAACGGGAATCTGCCATGTGCCCGTGGATTAAAAAAAAGAAACCCAGGCTGCTTTTCTGTCTGTTAGAAGGAGCCTGCACTTCAAGATAGTGGGGATGTATATTTTAAAAAATTTCACGCTCATGGGCCAAAGATTTTCCCGGGGCTGTGTGCTGATTTGCAGCCTATCATGTGTGGCTTTGGGACACTGGGGAAGGTGTGGAGCAGTTTAAGTGACAAACGGGTTGGAAAAGCAAAGGACACCAGGTGAGGATGATGGAATTTACATCCTGTTGCTTCCCTGATAGTTCCTGCCAATATGGGATCCCACTACTATCTTTCTGCCCTAAAAATATGTGTATATTGAGATAGAAACTGTTGTAATGGCTGCATGCATTCAGTAGAGGAAAGGAGAGAAGAAAGAAGGAACAGATTTAGTCCTGCCCAGAATCTGCACTTCCACGGAGGACGCCAGGATATCACGGGAGAGACTGCAGCTCTGATCAAATGGGGCGAGCTCTTGGCAGGAGCCAGCATGTTCCTGTGTTCCATTTGGGAGGACAGTTTACTTTAATGATGTACTTTGAAATCAGGTGGACGTCTGTAACTCCTGGACCTTTCGCAGCCTTTCCAGCCACGGTCATCTCTGTGGAGTCAGGGGCAGGGACTTTGGGATCAGCTTCTGCCCTTGTGAAAACAGCAGAGCAGCCTGAGAGCCAGGAAGGACCTCACCTGAGTATCAGATCACCTCATCAGGCTGAATTGTGTGGATCTAGGGATTTTAAAGAGGTGATTAAGGTAAAATGAGGTTATTAGGGTGGCCCTTGACCCAGTGTGACTGGTATCCTCATAAGAGGAGATTAGGACACAGCCACACAGAGGGACGACCACCTGAGGATCCCTGAGAAGATGGCATCTGGAAGGTGAGGAGAGAGGCCTCAGAAGGAATCAACTCTGCTGATACTTGATGCCAACTTCCAGCCTCTGAAACTGCGAGCAAGTAAGTTCTGATTCTTTAAGCCCCCTAGTCTGTGGTCATTGGGTATGGCAAACGGAGATGGTGAATACGGCCATTTCTATAGTTTGAATGTGTCCCCAAAAGTTCATTTGTGTTGGAAATTTGGTCCCCAATATGAGCAGTGTTGGGAGGCGGGATCTTTGGGAGGTGATGATGTCATGAGGATTCTGCTCTCATGAATGGATTAACCCATCCATTGATTACCGGATTACTGGATTGATGGGTTAGAGAGGGGTGGGGTTACTTATCACGAGAATGGGTTGTTAGTAAAAGCCAGGTCGCCTCTCTCTCATGAGCCCCCTGACCATATGAAGCCCTGTGCCCCCTCGGGACTCTGTAGAAAGTCCCCACCTGCAGGAAGGGCCTCACCAGATGTGGCCCCTGGACGTTGGATTTCCAGCTTCCAGCACTGTAAGAAATAACTTCCTTTTCTTTACAAACTACCTGGTGTCAGATATTCCATTATACAGCAGAAAACAGACTAAGACAGGCATCGGGAACCTCGAGTTCCTGACAATGGCAGTTTAAAACTGTTGGCCGTGGGTTCTTCCAGGGGTGGGGATCTGTGGCCGCTTGACTTGCATCCAGTGGGCCAATGGCCACTTCAACCAACAGAGGATGGGTAGGTGATACCAGGTGACTTTCTGAGCTGGGTCGTAAAGGGCTGTGTCCTGTGCTCAGGCTCTGGGTATGGTCACATTCCACTTGAGGAACCTTCTCGCCTTGGACTCAGCTGCTGTGTTGGGAGAAGGCTGGGAACAGAGAAAGGCAACATGAACAGACATGGTCAACAGGCTCATGGAACCTCACTCTTGAGTCATCTTGGCTCAGCCACTAGATAGGAGTCAAGAAACACCAGAAAATTCCAGGTTCTGGCCATCTGAGTTCTTTTGAGAGTTTTGGACATTGAGGAATAGAGGCTGACAACCACTGTTGTACCCAGTCCAAATCCTTGACCTATGGGATCCACAAGCTTAATACATTGGTGGTTGTTTCTCTCTGCTTTTTTCAGGGTGGTTTGTTATTCAGCAATGGATAATTAGAGCACTGACTCACCTTGATGGGCCTCATCATCATTCATCCAGAAATCTTTTATTGAGAAAAATAATATTTGCCATGTTGTGCAAGGAGTTGGGGTTGCAAAGCTGGGTGCTGTGATCTATAACACAAGGCAGCAGGATTGTCTGACCTCCGAGAGCCATGTGCCCTGGGATCATCTGGCCACAGTTATCTCACAGAATTCCTAATGCACAGTCTGTGTGGGAGGTGATGCCGGAGTCCCCCCTCCCTCTGGGCTCCTCCCCGTGCTCTGCTCACATCACTGGGGGGTTGGCGGCAGCCTGCTGAGTCCTTTCGACCCTCAGCCCGCTCTCCAGCACTCAGACTGGCCGAAACCTGTGCCGCTGGCTCCACCCTCAGGTCTCCCCACTCCTCTCATTAGCCACCGGCCTTCTCAGCCTTCTCTTATTCTTGTGACTCTTGCCTGACCCTGCCTCAGCTCTGTGTCCTCCCAGACTGCTGACTGTGAGGCTTTGCCCAGCGGATTTTCCATCGCCAAATTAGAGCTTTTCTTTCCTCGCCTGACTGCTCCCTGTCACTGTCTTCTGTATCTTCCTGTTCCTGATTTTGGCTGGCTATCAAGAGAAGAAGATCTACAATCATCCTATCTCTCATGGCACCTTACCATGTGCAACTCCCTCGTATCTAATACCTCACTTCACCTTTTCTGTTCTTCTATTTATGAGCTACGTGATGTCAGACAAGGCACTTAACTACTCTGGGCTTTGGCTCCCTTATTTAACGATAGGTATCATAATAATACCTGTCCTGTCCAATTTACAGTTTGTCTGACAGTTATTCATTTAACAAACATGCATTGGGTTCCTACTGAGTGCTGGGTGATGTATCCAGCATTGCTAAGACAACGGCCGTGAGAACAGCAAGCATGCCTGGGTTTTGCATTCTAGTGGGACGTCTTAATCTATTTTCTGCTAAAACATAATACCACAAACTAGGCAGTTGATGAAGAAGATACATTTACTTCTTGCAGTTGAAGAGGCTGGGAAGTCCAAGGGCATGGCACTGGCATCTGGGTCATCCCATGGTGGAAGGTGGAAGGTGGAAGGGCAGGGACTAAGAAGAGCACCAGGTGCCAGACTCACTTTGTAACAACCCACTGTCATAATAACTAACCTGACCTCACAACCCAGTCACCTCCCAACAAAGTTGCATTGGGATTGAATTTATAACACAAGAACTTTTGGGGGGCAAATTCAAGCCAGGCATGGGGGTTAGTGTAAATAAATGAATAGTGCATACTAACTGATTGAGGCCATTGTTAACAAAAATGAAAAAACAAGGGTGGGTTTGGGGAGTGGTGGCGGGGTGAACAGGCCTCTGGAGTGGCACATACGGGGAAAACCTCTGTGCAGGCAGAGACCTGGGCTGCTGAGAAGGGGCCGGACTTGGAGATCTGGGAAAAAGCATCTCAGTTGAGGGAGAAATGGAGCAAGCCTGGAGCCCTGAAGAGCCTGAGGACTTTGAGACCAGGGAGCAGGTACTGGTCATGGGGCATGGGAGACTGGCTCAGGCAGGACCAGGCAGGGTCTCTGTCCCTGGTAAAGAATGTGGGTATTATTTTGAGTGACAGGAGTGGCATACTCAGATCTGCTTTGGGATGATCCTTCCTGCTGCTGTGTGAATGCTGCAGCCAGAAATGGTGCTGGGGGTGTTATTAGGATGCTGCCATGACCCATTCAGAGATGATCGTGGCTGGACCACAGTGGGGAGAAGAGGGGGATCATCATAACCTGTTCCTGGAAGCCCTGCTGGGCGTGAGGGGAGTGGAGGAATTAAGAATGGCTCCCACCACTTGATAAATGGAGAAACCCAAAGCAGTCGTGTGGTTTTTGAGGTGTGGGGGAAGTGAAGGACTCCTCTTTGTATAACGTGTGAGCTTCCTGACATGTCTTCATGGGAATAGAAGGTTGGCCTTGGGATGTTTGCATCTGGAGCTCAGAAGAACAATACTAACCTGGAGAAACATGGGTGCCATTTGCTTAGGGTGTTGTTAGAATGCATAGAGGATGAGCATAATTTGGGGAGTGGTGACAAGCACCCATGGATGCCCCACACTACTTCTCAGAGCCCTCATCCTGGGCTCCATGTCCTATGGATGCCATAACAGATGTCCACAGACTTGATGGCTTAAAATAGTCAAAATTTGTTCTTTACAGTAATGGAGGCTGAAAGTCCAAAATCAGTTTCAGGGGGCAAAATCCAAAGAACCTGCTGAGCTGTGCTCTCCCGGAAGGCTCTAGGAAAGAGACCTTCCTGCCTCTTCTAGCTTCTGGGGGCTCCTGGTGTCCTTGGTGCCACATGACCTAATCTCTCCTCTGTGGCCACATGGCCTTCCCTGGGTGTCGAGTCTCTCTCTGCCCTCTTTTCTAAGGATACTCCTGATGAGATTTAGGGCCCACTCAGATAATCCACAATAATCTTTCCTTGTCTCTTCTGCAGAGACCTTTTTCACAGTTTCCAGGGGGTAGGGTGTGCTAATTGGGGACCATAGTCCAGCCCACTACGTACTAAAGGTTTGGAGAGGCAGTACTTCAACATTGAAAGCTGGAACTTGGGGTAAGAGTGCAATCTTGGAATTGCATTTCTAAACAAATGGAGTTGGGCTAGGAATATTCCTAGCTGTCTGACCACAGGCCTGTTTCTTGGTTATCAGACCTTAATTTGTTTATCCACAAAGTGGGGATAATGCCACGCTCATTCTCAGGACTGTTGCTTGGGTTTGATGAGATCACATGTGCAAAGTATTTGGGACCGTGCCTGGCATATATGAAGACCAGATAGAGGTCAGTTCCCTTTCTTCTCCTTGGCTGGTACCTAAGGGATTGGAGAGGTCCCCTTGTGTCACTCTCCAGAGCTGACCCAGCTTGTCTAGCGGTGTCTCATGTCAACCATAGCCTGGGATCTTCTGCAGGGAGGCTTACATAGAAAAACGGAACATGTGATGATTGCAAGCCCACCCAGGGTATCCAGGAGACCTCCGAGTGAGGAGGGAGGGCCAGGCATGTGCTGAGAAGTTGTAGGAAGCCCTGCCTGCTGCTCTCTCTGCTAATGAGCCGCAGAGCCTGCAGCACTGACAGGTTCATCCCAGGGACTCTGGAGTTCTCTGCAGGGACTGAGCCGTGAATCCGCCTGCGTGCTGAGCTTGTCTTTCCGCTCTCATCTTTCCATGGCAACCGGGGAAAGGGGGCCAGGATGTGGCAATCTCCACAGGAGAAGCGTGGGCGCGGCTGTCTGTAGGCAGCAGTGCTGGAAGGAGAGGAGGAACAGCAGCCCTGATTCCAGGCCAGCGCTTGATACAAGCCCATCATGGTCACATGGGAGCTCCTGAAATACCCTGCATCCTGTCTCCCTCTGGTCTGCCTGATGTTGCAGAAGAGGAAACAAACAGAGGGGCAAAGTGACTTGGTGAATGGTGCACAGCTGGTTAATAGGAGATGGGAGGTGGCATTGAAATCTGGGGCTTCTGACTGGCGGGTGACTCGCCGTCAGGGAGCACTTTTATGTGCTTTAAGGGGGTCCTCCTGCACCACTGGTTTGAATTCAGGTCAGATTTACTGAGGGGCCTTGTTGAAACTACAGGGCAGGCCCCATCATCGATCTCACCCTGAGAAAAGAGTAAGGGCTCCATACAATGTTAGGAAACCCAGGACTTCTAAGGACTTCTGCCCCGCCTAATTCATTTAGGGGTCCATCAGTAAATGTTCCACTGAGAACTTATTAGAATGTGCAGATGGTCTGTTCAAAGAGCATTACATGTACTCCTCATGGAGCAATCTTTGTTACAAGAAGGGATTGGAATGAGAGGGGAAAGAATAATCGAAATGGGGATTGGAGGGCCCCAGAGTGGTGACTCTGAGGTCCGGGCTCCATCCTGCTGGCCGGTCCCCCCTCGCTATGGTCACTCAAGGCTCATAAATCACCACTGGGAGCTCAGCGTCCCTCATGGTGACTCTCCTGTGACTGAATGGCCTTCATGTGCTCAAAGGCTACTTTTGTTGACTCCCAAATTGGGTTGTTGCACTTTCCACCTCCATTCCTAGTTCTACTCATCTGGGCTCCGCAGGAAAATGCTTCTTCTCTGACCCGACAGCAACCATGGATACGTGGAGACACCTCACACTTCACCCTGTGAGCCAGTCTCACCCACCTCATTCTCAGAATGGGGCAGACCCGGTTCCGCTCTCCCCTTGGGGCTGGGTGCCGGGGACCTGTGGGAAGGTCTGGGTGCTTGGGCCTGTTCTGCTCACCTCTCAGGCACAAGAGAGCCCAGAAGTGTTACTGGTGGCTGGACCAAGAGCTCAGGTGAATGTTACCCATGCCGGAGGTGGCCTCCAGGGATAAAATGTAGGCCTTATTGAGGAAAAAGACAACCCCAGATGTGGGATGTTATGACAAGAGGAGATTCCTGATCTGCAGACACAGAGTATGGAGTCTCCTCATGGGGACCAACCTCGGGACATCTTTGCCTCTCTCTCAGCCAACTCAGGATTCATCCTGCGATGTTTTTGAGAAGGGACTAGTTAGTTGTGAGGCAGCATCTTCACGGCTGGCCATCTTTATTTTTAGAAGGTTATATTTAATATGCAGCTGAAATCTGCTTGAAATCTGAGCATTCCAGGGGAGCCTCTCCAGGCCCGGGAGCTGCCCCAGGACCAGAGGCATCAGACCAGACCCATCTGCGTGTCTGCAGGGTCCCATCGAGGCTCAGCGTATGGGAGCTGCAGTGTATGGGAGCAGGGACAGAGGACAACGCGGCGCGTGTGCTGGGCGTCTCCTGGTATGTGGCCTGGGAGGCACGCTGCGCTTCCTATTTTACAGAAGATGTCATCTGCATTATCAGGCTGCCTCTGTGCCATGCAATAACCTGAGTCTGTAATAATCTGAAGCCTGGGGTCTGGGTAGGGAATTTTTTTTTTCTTTTACAACTCCATTTGCTTTTTAATTAGTGGAGATTCCTCCAAGGTTTTCGCATTAATTGCTCATCAATCTCAGTTTTCGGTGCTGTGGATGTCTGTCTCTGTGAATGTGAGAGTAGGGAGAGGGTTCAGAGCTGTATATGCCCCCGCACAGGCCACCGTGGGCCAGGTACTATTTTACATCTTCCCATTGATCACCAGGTCCCCATGACGTAGTTTTGTCCCCTGATTTTGCGTGTTAGGGACAGAAACTCATTGATTTCAAAGTCTGAATCTTCCCCACTACCTGGCATGCTAAGTCTCAGAACCATTCAGAAAAGAGTTGAACAACCACGAGTGGCACAAGATTGGTCTCCCTGGAGGTGGGGTCTGGGCCAGGGCCATGGCGTGCCTGATGGTGCTTGGACTCAATGGCGCCCCAGCCCCACCCCTCGGGTGCCACTGCATGTGCTTCTTGCAGGTGAATCCCAGGCTCTTCTCCTTGTGTCTCCCCAGCTGCTCAGAGGCCAGAGGCGGAGCAGCAGGGCAAGCAGGCGGGCTGAACCGCTTCCTGCTTTCAGTCATTTTTAAGCCAATATTTATTTTAAGCAAAGAAACACAGACACATAGTTTAGAAAGTAAGCTGTATGTGTTGGGGGAAACAGTACTTCTCCACTCCTGGCACTACCTGTGGGGGTATCTGGGGCCTTTCCCGGGCTTGGGCCATGCTGGTCTGCTCCTCTCCGAAGGGACGATAGATTATCTTAATGATGAGTTGAGATGAGGCTGGAGTCGACGTGCCTCCACCCTGCCCTCCTTTTCCCCCCTGGGAGCCAGTCTCCTACAGGAAGCACGCATTCTGGTTGGTATCCCCGTGCCGTAAGTCCTGCAGGGGCCGGTGAGGGGAGGCCTGGGGGCTGGCTCGTGTTTGGGTCTGGGGCTCAGCCTCAGAGGCCCATCGCTGCTGCTTCCCCATCCTCTCCCCCAGCCTGCTGCGTGTCTGCCTGGCTCCCCGTTGGTTCTGGAGCTCCTGCGGAAGGAGAGGTGCTGATTTTCAGGATTCCTAAAGCAGCCTCCGCCCGTGCCAGGGGATTCCCATGCCCTGTGCCACGTGTCCCAGCCTCTGGTGCCATGCCTCACAATCAACCACTTGCAACTCTTTTAGGCTTTTTTCTTTGTATTTATCTTTATGTTCCTAATAATATGCTGTTGTAATTAGCCCTTATCAATGAGCTATGATCTCCGGACTCACCACATGGCAGCTCAGGCTTCGCTCTTCACAGTCCTCCTTGCTCTCTTCGCCCTAGCGATGCAGCGATACGCGGTTAAGTGAAGACATTGTCAAGTGCCTGTGGCTGCCCCTGCCTCCTGGTGACATCTGTTCCCTTGTGAGCAGCGGAGCTCTCGGGGCGCGTTCCCTTCCTGCACGGCGCCCTACTAGGCTGTGCTGTGGATGGATTGACTTTACTGGAGGTGGGTCTGCTGGTGAGTTGGTGGTCTTGGGGGACACTTGAGAACATCTGATTTGTCCAAGATGGACCCCTCCTGCCCTTGGCTGATGGAGTGGAGCCTCCACTTCTGGTTAGCTTTGGGAGGAGCCCGCGGGGGTTGCAGGACAGAAGGCTATTCAGTGTGCAGTTTGACCCGTTCCTGTCTTTTCCCGCCCGAGCCTCACACTAGCCATCCACTCTGTGTTTCAGAGGCCAGAACTCCTCCATCCCAGTTTCTTCAGAGTCTGCTGAAGGCTGCCTCTAAGCATGTGGTGTTGGCCAAGGGAGGTGTGAGGGGAGAAGCAGTTTTCAGGTTGAGCTGGAAGGACTTGAGGGGTCAAGTTTCCTGTTCTATCCTCACTATTTCTACTTCCTTATGTTCTTTTCTCAGTCCAACTCCTTAGGGCTTCTGGCCCCCGCTCTCCACCGAGGCTGATACTGTCACAGCCCTGCGTGCCTCTGTGCTGTCAGCCTCAGTGCCCATCTCTTGGCTCTGACCTGACAGTTCTACACCATCCCCTATTCATAAAACACACACACTCACATGCATGGACACATGCACACGCACACACGTGCGCACACACATGCACACATGTACATACATGCGCACACACGCAGACACACATGCACACAGATGCAGACGCAGACATACACACATGCAGATGCAGATACAGACATGCACTCACATGCATACACACATGCATGCACACAAGGCACACACATACACACACAGACACACAGACACACACACACTTTTAGTTGAACACTGTTATGGGCTGAATTGTATTTCCCCCAACTTCATATGTTGAAGTCATAATCCCAGTGTGACTGTATTTGAAGGAAGGTCTTTTAAGGAGGTGACTAAGGTTAAGTGAGGCCATAAGGGTGGGCCCTGATCCCATAGGACTCTTGTCCTCACAAGAAGAGGAGGAGATGCCAGAAGCGTGTGTTCAGGGAGGAAAGGCCACGTGAGGACACAGAAGAACCATCTGCAAGTCAGGAAAAGAGGCCTCGTCGCCAACCAGCTGACACCTTGATCTCAGACTTCCAGCCTGCAGAACTGTGAGAAAATTAATTTCTGCTGTGTAAGTTACCCAGTCTATGGTGTTTTGTTACAAGCAGACTGGAAGACGAGTACAGATTTTGGTACTGCAAGTGGAGTGCTACTCTAGCAAACACCTAAAAATGTACAGGTGGCCTTGGAACTGCATATAGGCTGGAAGAGTTTCACTTGCAGCTGGAAGAAACCTAGATTGCCCTAAGGGACTGTTGGTAGAAGTATGGATGTTAAAGGTAATTCCAGGGAAGCCTTTGAAAGGAGTCAGTAGAGCTGTAGAGAAATGTTCTGTTGTCTTAGAGGATATAGAAATATAAACAGGATGTTGACACAAACATGAATGTGAAAGGAGCTTCTGGTAAGGTCTCAGAAGGAAATACAGAACAGGTTATTGGACAAAGGCTATCCTTATTATAAAGTGCCAGAGAACTTGGCTGGATTGTGCTCTAGTGTCTCGTGGAAGGAAGAAATTGGGAGTTACAACCTTGGATATTTAGCAGAGGAGATTTCCAATCAAAACGTTGAAGGTATGGCCTGAGTTTTTACTGCTTATTGTTAAATGTGAGAGGAGAGAGATACATTGAAGGAATTGTTGAGCAAAAAAGAAACATAGACTGGATAAAGAAAGTGTGGTCTATATACACCATGGGATACTATGCAGCCATGAAAAAGAATGAGATCATGTCCTTTGCAGGGACCTGGATGGAGCTGGAGGCCATTATCCTTAGCAAAACTAACACAGGAACAGAGAACCAAATACCACATGTTCTCACTTAAAAGTGGGAGCTAAATAACAAGAACACATGGACCCAAAGAGGGGGACAACAGACACTGGGGGTCTACTTGACGGTGGAGGGTGGGAGGAGGGAGAGGATGAGAAAAAATGCTTGTTGGATACTATGTTTCGTGTCTGCATGATGAAATAATCTGTAAATTAAACCCCTGTGTCACGAGTTTACCTGTGTAACAAACCTGTACATGTACCCCTGAACCTAAAGCAAAAGTTAAAAGAAAAAAAAACCCTAAAACTTAAAGATTTGGGAAATTCTCAGCCTATCCATATTACAAAAAATGAGAAAACATGTTCTGAAGAGAACAATGAGTGTGGCTGGACAGTCACTCTGTATCAAGATTACTCATGGGTTTAGTCAGCCATCTCAGCAGAATCCAGGAACAGAGATGGGGTTGTGCTAGCAGAAACACTGTTCGTTTGAGTTAAAGAGAACAGAGAAGGTGGGATAGGATGAAAGAAGGCTGTCTGACTTCTGGGATGAGACAGTAGAACTCTTTAGCTTCAGTCAAGCCTTATCCTTCAAGAAAAGAGAATGACCTCAAAGACAATTCAGAGATCATCGGGGTGCCCCTCCCATCATGGGTGTGGGGGTAAGGCTGTTTCCTCCTCAGCTTCCACAACCAGAATGTCATTTCCCTAGGGGGAGGTCCCCTGCAGAGCCATGGGGTGGGGCCCTCACAGATACAAGGGGGTGAGTCCACCATCTAGGGTGATGGGGTGATGCCTCCAAGGGGCCCAGAGAGCAGAGCCAAAGAGGATTGTTCTGAGCCTTGCGGGCTGATGAAGTTTGCCTTGCAGGTTCTGGGCTTGCTTAAGACTCAGCACCAGTTTTTCCTTTCCTATTTCTCCCTTTTGGAATGAGCTTTTCTATCCTGTGCCTTCCCATCATTGTATTTTGGAAGCACATCACTTGCTGGTTTCCCAGGTTCACAGCTGGAGAGGATTTTTGCCTCAGAATGAATTGTGTCTTGAGTCTCACTCATACATAATTTAGATGATCTTTGTATACTTTTTAAAAGTTTTCACTTTTTTATGATAAGAACACTTAACATGAAATATACCCACTTGACAATTTTTTAAGTGTACAGCCGATTATTGTTCACTACAGGTACACTGTTTTATAGCAGACCTCAAGGGGAGACTCAGTTTGCTTGACTGAATCCTTGTGCCTGTTGATTTTTTACTCTCCATTTTCCCCTTCATTTTCTCCATTCTCCAGTCCCTGACAGCCACCATTTCTCTCTTTGCATCTATGAAATTGACTGTTTTAGATAGCCCATTTCAGTGGAACCATAGCGTTTGTCTTGCTGTGACTGTCTTATTTCACTTAACATCATCTCCTCAAAGTTTATCCACGTTGTCACATACTGCAGAATTTCCTTCTTTTAAGACTGACTAGTATTCGATTGCATGTATTTACCATATTTCTTTATCCATTCATCTGTCAATTGACATTTCAGTAGCTTCTACATCTCAGCTTTTGTGAATAGTATTATAATGAATATAGAAGTGCTAATATCTTTTTGAGATCCTGATTTCAATTCTTTTGGATGAATACTGAGAAATAGAATTGCTGAGTCATATAATAGTCCTATTTTTAGTTTTTTGAGGAATGTCCATACTGGTTTCCATAGTGGCTGCACCATTTTCACCATTTTGCATTCCTACCAATAGTGTGCAAGGGTTCTCTTTTCTCCATGTGCTTACTGACACTTGTTACCCATCCAGATAGGTATAGGGTGATATCTGGTTGTGGTTTTGATTTGCATTTCCCTGATCATTAGTGATGTTGAGCACTTTTTCATATACTTGTTGGTTGTTTGCATATCTTATTAGAGATATGTCTATTTATACCCTTAGCCAATTTTTATATCAGGTTATTAGATTTAAAAAATTATTGAATTGTAGGAGTTACATAAATATTTTTGAGAATAACCTATTACCAAATGCATGGTTTGCAAACATATTCTCCCTTTTCATAAGCTGACTTTTCACTCTATTGGT
The DNA here is from genome assembly GCF_000001405.40 of Homo sapiens. Classification (NCBI taxonomy): domain Eukaryota; kingdom Metazoa; phylum Chordata; class Mammalia; order Primates; family Hominidae; genus Homo; species Homo sapiens. The sequence goes on along the minus strand of NC_000002.12, from coordinate 2,821,915 downwards.
GATTTATTTTGTTGTGCAGAAGCTTTTTAATTTGAAGCTGTCCCATGTATTTATCTTTTTAGTTGTGTTATATCCATTTAATAATATTTAAGACCATTGTCATGAAGCCTTTCCCTAAGTTTTCTCCTTGAAAACATTTACATATGTTAAACAAATGGAGTTTTACAGTTTTAGGTCTCACATTTAAGTATTTAAACCATTTTGAGTTTACTTCTGTGTATGGTGTAAGATAAGGGTCTAATTTTGTTTATTTGCACGTAGATACTCATTTTTTTCCAAGACCATTTGTTGAAGAGACTGACCTTTTCCCATTGTATGCTCTTGGTACTCTTGTCAAAGGTCTGTTGACCATATATGTGCACATTTATTTCTAAGCTCTCTATCCAGTTTGATTTCTGCATATGTCTGTTTTTATGTCAACACCATACTGTTGTGATTAGTGTAGCTTTGTAGTAGATTCTAAAACCAGGAAGTATGATGTCTTCTACTTTGTTCTTTATCAAGATCGTTTTTACTGTTTGTGTTTTTTTTTCTATTTTTGAAAAAAATGCTATTGGGATTTTGATAGGGATTGCATTAACTCTGTAAATCACTTTCAGTAGTATGGAAATTTTGACAATATTAAGTTTTCTAATCACAAACACAGAAATTTTCCACTTATTTCTGTCCTGCTGAGTTTCCTTCATCAATGTTTTATAGTTTTCAGTAGACAAGTCTTTTACCTCCTGAAGTTATGTTTTTATGTAAGTATTTCATTTTTATGATGCTTTTGTAAATAAAATATTTTCCTAATTTTCTACTCAGATATTTTGTTGTTAGTGTATACCGATTTTTGTGTGTTGATTTTGTATCCTGCAACTTTATTGACTTGGTTTCTTAGTTCTAACAGAGTGTTTAGGTGTTTCTGTCTGTGGGATCACGTTTTCTGCAAACAGGAACAATTTTACTTCATTCTGATTTGGATACCTTTATTTATTTATTGCTTAATTATCTGGTAAAACTTTCATATTATCTTGAATTGAAGTGATGAGAGTGAATACTATTGCCTTGCTTCTGATCTTTGAGGAAAAACTTGCATTTTTCACTACTGAGGATGAGGTTAGCTGTGGGATTTTTATATATAGCCTTTATTATGTTGAGATAATTTTCTTCCATTTCTAGTTTGTTGAGAGTTTTTATCATGAAAGAGTATTGAATTTTTACTTTTCTGCATCTGTTGAGATGATTGTGTAATTTTTATCCTTTAATTAATGTGATGTAGCTCAGTAATTGATTTTCATATGGTTAACAATTTTTGCATCTCAAAGATCAATCCCACCTGCTCACCGTCTGTAGTCCTTTTAGTGTGCACTCAGATTGAGTTTGCTAGCATTTTCTGAGAATTTTTTTCATCTATCTTCATCAGGGATATTGGCTTGTAGTTGTTTCTTCTTCTTCTTCTTCTTCCTCTTCTTCTTCTTGTTCCTCCCCCTTCCCTTCCCTTCCCTTCCCTTCCTTCCTTCCTTCCTTCCTCCATTCTTCTTCCTTCTTCTTTCCTCTTTCTGTTTTTTTTAATTGAAACAGGGTCTCACTCCTTCACCCAGACTGGAATGCAATGGTGTGATCATAGCTCACTGCAACCTCAAACTCTCAGGCTCAAGGAATCCACCTCTGGGTGCCATGTTGCCCAGACTGGTCTTGAACTTCTGGCCTCAAGTGATCCTCCTGCCTTGGCCTCCCAAAGTGTAGGGATTATAGGTGTTAGCCAGGGTACTGGGCCTGCAGTTTTCTTATCTGTGGTATCTTTGGCCTCATAAAATGGGTTTGGAAGTATTTCCTTCCTTGACTTTTTTTTGTAAGAGTTTGGGAAAGATTCATGTTAATTCTGTAAATGTTTGGTGGAATTCACCAGAGACTCCATCTGGTCCTGGGTTTTTCTTGTTGGAAAGTCTTTGATTATTTATTCAATCTCCATACTAGTTATGGATCTGATTTTCTATTTCTTCATGATTTAGTCTTCATAGGTTGCATGTTTCTAGGAATTTATCAATTTCTTCTAGACTATCCAGTTTGTTGTTGTATAATTATTCATAGTAGTCTCATATGATACCTTTTAATTCTGTGGTATCAGTTGTAATGTCTGTTTCTGCTTTTATTTATCTGAGTCCTCCCTCTTTTTTCTGTAATCTAGCTAAAGTTTTGTCGATTTTATTTTTCTAAAAAAACCTTTCTTAGTTTTATCTATTTTTTCTATTGTTTTATTTTACTATTTCAATTATTATTCTAATCTTCATTATTTTTTTTCCTCCTGTGAACTTTGGGGTCAGTTTGTTCTTTTTCTGATGTTTTGAGATGTAAAGGTGAGTTGTTTATTTGAGATCTTTGTTCTTTCTCAATGCAGTTATTTATCACTATTAACTTCTCTCTTAGTACTGCTTTTGCTGCATTCCATAAGTTTTGATGTGTTGTGTTTTCATTTTCATTTGGCTCAATACATTTTGATTTCCCTTTGATTTTTTTAACTCAATGGTCATTCACAAATGTGTTGTTTAATTTCTACATATTTGTAAGTTTTCAAAGTTTTCTTCTGCTACTGATTTCTAGTCTCACTCCATTGTAGAAAAAAAATATTTGGCATGGTTACAACCTTCTTAAGTTTGTTAAGACTTGTTTTGTGACCTAACCTGTAATCTATCCTGGAGATAGGTCCATGTACAGTTGAGAAGAATGTGCACTCTGCTGCTGTTGGATGGAAGGTTCTGCCAAAGTTTGGTAGTTCCTTTTGGTCTATAGTGTTATTCAAGTCCTCTATTGCTTTATTGATCTTCTGTCTGAATGTTCAGTCCACTATTGAAAGTAGGGCATAAAAGTCTCAGTATTGTTGTATTTTTGTCAATGTGTCCCTTCAGTTTTGTTAAGTTTTGCTTTATATATTTAGGTGTTCTGGTGTTGGGTGCGTACATATTTGTGATTGTTTTATGTTTCTGGTGGATTGACCCTTTTATTATTATACAATGTCATTCTTTTTCTCTTGTCACAAGTTTTGATTTAAAGTTGATTTTTTTCTGATATACATATAGCCATCTGTGCTCTCTTTTGGTTAGCATTTGAATGAAACATACTTTTCCATTCCTTCACTTTCATTTTCTGTGTGTCCTTAAATCTAAAGTGAGTTTGTTGTAAATAGCATACAGTTGGTTCTTCTTTTTTAAAAAATTATTCAGCCACTCTGTCTTTTATTTATTGTCTTTTAAAAATCCATTCAGCCATTGTATGTTTAATCCATTGTAATTTAAAGTAATTATTGATAGGAAAGGATTTACAATTGCCCCTCTGTTATTTGTTTTCTGTTAGCCTTATAGTTATTTTGTCTGTCTTTTCTTCTTTTGGAGTCTTCCTATATATTTTGTTGATTTTTGTATTATGTGCTTTGATTTCTTTCTCTTTCTCTTTTGGGTATCTTCTATAGGTATTTTTTTTTGGTGTGGTCAACTTGGAGCTGACATAAAATATCCTATAATTATAGAAGTCCATTTAAGCTGATAATAACTTAAGTTCAGTTGCACACAAAATCTCTCCATTTTAACTTCTTCCCACCTCCACACTTTCTGTTATTATCAAAATTTACGTCTATTGTTTCTTTTAACATATTTTAAAGTTATAATTATTTTTAATATACTTGTCTTTTAACTTTTATATTACTATTAACAGTGATTTACTCACCACCATTACAGAAGTATACTGCTGTGTGTGTGTGTGTGTGTGCATATATGTATACCTTTATTAATGAGTTTCATACTTTTTTATGTTATCATGTTACTGTTTAGCATTCTTTTGTTCCAGTGAATAATTCCCTTTAAGTCAGATCTAATGGTGATTAATTCCCTCAGCTTTTGTTTATCTGATAAATCTATAGCACTAAATGCCCACAAGAGAAAGCAGGAAAGACCTAAAATTGACACCCTAACATCACAATTAAAAGAACTAGAGAAGCAAGAGCAAACACATTCAAAAGCTAGCAGAAGGCAAGAACTAGAACTAAGATCAGAGCAGAACTGAAGGAGATAGAGACACAAAAAACCCTTCAAAAAATCACTGAATCCAGGAGCTGCTTTTTTGAAAAGATCAACAAAATTGATAGACTGCTAGCAAGACTAATAAAGAAGAAAAGAGAGAAGAATCAAATAGACGCAATAAAAAATGATAAAGGGGATATCACCACCGATCCCACAGAAATACAAACTACCATCAGAGAATGCTATAAACTCCTCTACGCAAATAAACTGGAAAATCTAGAAGAAATGGATAAATTCCTGGACACATACACCCTTCTAAGACTAAACCAGGAAGAAGTTGAATCCCTGAATAGACCAATAACAGGCTCTGAAATTGAGGCAATAATTAATAGCCTACCAACCAAAAAAAGTCCAGGACCAGACAGATTCACAGCTGAATTCTACCAGAGGTACAAGGAGGAGCTGGTACCATTCCTTCTGAAACTATTCCAATCAATAGAAAAAGATGGAATCCTCCCTACTCATTTTATGAGGCCAGCATCATCCTGATACCAAAGCCTGGCAGAGACACAACCAAAAAAGAGAATTTTAGACCAATAGCCCTGATGAACATCAATGCAAAAATCCTAAATGAAATACTGGCAAACCGAATCCAGCAGCACATCAAAAAGTTTATCCACCATGATCAAGTGGGCTTCATCTCTGGGATGCAAGGCTGGTTCAACATATGAAAATCAATAAATGTAATCCAGCATATAAACAGAACCAAAGACAAAAAACACATGATTATCTCAATAGATGCAGAAAAGGCCTTTGACAAAATTCAACAACACTTCATGCTAAAAACTCTCAATAAATTAGGTATTGATGGGATGTATCTCAAAATAATAAGAGCTATCTATGACAAACCCACAGCCAACATCATACTGAATGGGCAACAACTGGAAGCATTCCCTTTGAAGACTGGCACAAGAGAGGGATGCCCTCTCTCACCACTCCTGTTCAACATAGTGTTGGAAGTTCTGGCCAGGACAATCAGGCAGGAGAAAGAAATAAAGGGTATTCAATTAGGAAAAGAGGAAGTCAAATTGTCCCTGTTTGCAGATGACATGATTGTATATCTAGAAAACCCCATCATCTCAGCCCAAAATCTCCTTAAGCTGATAAGCAACTTCAGCAAAGTCTCAGGATACAGAATCAATGTACAGAAATCACAAGCATTCTTATACACCAATAACAGACAAACAGAGAGCCAAATCATGAGTGAAATCCCATTCACAGTTGCTTCAAAGAGAATAAAATACCTAGGAATCCAACTTACAAGGGTTGCGAAGGACCTCTTCAAGGAGAACTACAATCCACTGCTCAATGAAATAAAAGAGGACACAAACAAATGGAAGAACATTCCATGCTTATGGATAGGAAGATTGAATATCGTGAAAATGGCCATACTGCCCAAGGTAATTTATAGATTTAATGCCATCCCCATCAAGTTACCAATGACTTTCTTCACAGAATTGGAAAAAACTACTTTAAAGTTCATATGGAGACAAAAAAGAGCCCACATTGCCAAGACAATCTTAAGCCAAAAGAACAAAGCTGGAGGCATCACACTACCTGACTTCAAACTATACTACAAGGCTACAGTAACAAAAACAGCATGGTACTGGTAGCAAAACAGAGATATAGATCAATGGAACAGAACAGAGCCCTCAGAAATAATACCACACATCTACAAGCATCTGATCTTTGACAAACCTGACAAAAACAAGAAATGGGGAAAGGATTCCCTATTTAATAAATGGTGATGGGAAAACTGGCTGGCTATATGTAGAAAGCTGAAACTGGATCCTTTCCTTACACCTTATACAAAAATTAATTCAAGATGGATTAAAGACTTAAATGTTAGACATAAAACCATAAGAACCCTAGAAGAAAACCTAGGCAATACCATTCAGGACATAGGCATGGGCAAGGACTTCCTGTCTAAAACACCAAAAGCAATGGCAACAAAAGCCAAAATTGACAAATGGGATCTAATTAAACTAAAGAGCTTCTGTACAGCAAAAGAAACTACCATCAGAGTGAACAGGCAACCTAAAGAATGGGAGAAAATTTTTGCAATCTACTCATCTGACAAACGGCTAAACACCAGAATCTACAAAGAACTCAAACAAATTTAGAAGAAAAAAACAAACAACCCCATCAAAAAGTGGGTGAAGGATATGAACAGACACTTCTCAAAAGTAGACATTTATGCAGCCAACAAACACATGAAAAAATGCTCGTCATCACTGGCCATCAGAGAAATGCAAATCAAAACCACAGTGAGATACCATCTCACACCAGTTAGAATGGCTATCATTAAAAAGTCAGGAAACAACAGGTGCTGGAGAGGATGTGGAGAAATAGGAACACTTTTACACTGTTGGTGGGACTGTAAACTGGTTCAACCATTGTGGAAGACAGTGTGGCGATTCCTCAAAGATCTAGAACTGGAAATACCATTTGACCCAACCATCCCATTACTGGGTATATACCCAAAGGATTATAAATCATGCTGCTATAAAGACACATGCACATGTATGTTTATTGTGGCACTATTCACAATAGCAAAGACTTGGAACCAACCCAAATGTCCATCAATGATAGACTGGATTAAGAAAATGTAGCACATATACACCCTGGAATACTATGTAGCCATAAAAAAGGATGAGCTCCTGTCCTTTGTAGGGACATGGATGAAGCTGGAAACCATCATTCTCAGCAAACTATTGCAAGGACAAAACACCAAATACCGCATGTTCTCACTCATAGGTGGGAATTGAACAATGAGAACACATGGACACAGGAAGGGGAACATCACACACTGGGGCCTGTCATGGGGTAGGGGGAAGGGGGAGGGATATTATTAGGAGATATACCTAATGTAAATGATGAGTTAATGGGTGCAGCACACCAACATGGCACATGTATACATATGTAACAAACCTGCATGTTGTGCACATGTACCCTAGAACTTAAAGTAAAATAAAAAAAAAGTCATTATCTGTCCTGCATTTTTAAAGAAGAGTTTTGCTGTATACAGTATTCTAAGTTGCCAGTTTTTTCTTTCAGCACTTTCCCTATGTCATCCCACCCCTTCTGGCCTACAAAATTTCTACTGAAAAATCCTCTGATGCTCTTGTGGAGGTTCCTTTGTATGTGACAAGGTGGTTTTCTTTTGCTGTTTTCAAATTTCTCTCTTTGTCTTTTGACATTTTGGTAATAGTATGTCTCAATGTGTATTTCATTGGATTTATCTAATTTGGTTTTTTTGGAGGGGGCTGGTGGGAGCTTCTTGGATCTGGATATCCATTTCCTTCCCCAGATTTGAAAAGTCATCAGTTATTATTTCTTTGAATAAGCTTTTTGGCTCTCTCCTCCTTGTCGAGCTTCCATAATGCACATACGTATCCCCTTCATGATATTCCATACGTTCCTTAAGTTTTCTTCACTCTATTTTTTTTCTTTTTTACACTTCTGACAGACATGAGCCCCCTCGTAGGACCCTGCCTCACACCCCAGAGACTAAGCATGACAGTGAAGGTAGAACAAGGGTCCCCTCAGTCAGAGGCATTGCTCTGTACCTCAGAGCAGGATGAAGGGTGAGGGAGAGGGACCCTTCCTGCTGTGGGTGGTGGGAGCAGCAAAGTGGAGCTCTAGAGGCACAGCCAGTCTGGTGTCCAGCTGGGTGTGTCAGGAATTCTACTCAACCAGGCCCGGGCATGATTGGCAGTATCATTCTGGGTTTTGTTGCTTCTGAGTCTTTATTTTTCTTTTTCAACACTTATTTTAGGTTCAGAGGGCACATATGCTTGAGGCCTCCAGGTAATAATTAGCTACCATTATCCTTTCAGTGAATACTTTGTCAGATTGCAGTAGCTGGAGTTGTCCGAGGTTGTTTGCCATGGGGAACCCTGAGTGATCCTGGTGCTTTTTGTTTGCACTCTTATGCCTAACACTCCATTCTTAGATGACAGTCAAAGGGATCTGTCCAGAACATACTGAGAATTCATCATCGCCATTTTCCTCTCCCATTTAGAGTAAACTTTAGCCTACTTACTTTGGCTTACAGCCCTGCATGGCCTGGTCTCACCCACAGCACTGAAGCCACACGTGCCTCCTTGAAAACTCTTGAAAGTTATTTCTGGCCGGGCGCAGTGGCTCACGCCTGTAATCCCAGCACTTTGGGAGGCCGAGGTGGGTGGAACACGAGGTCAGGAGATCGAGACCATCCTGGCTAACACGGTGAAACCCTGTCTCTACTAAAAATACAAAAAATTAGCCGGGCGTGGTGGCGGGCACCTGTAGTCCCAGCTACTTGGGAGGCTGAGGCAGGAGAATGGCATGAATCTGGGAGGCGGAGCTTTCAGTGAGCCGAGAATGCACCACTGCACTCCAGCCTGGAGGACAGAGCGAGACTCCATCTCAAAAAAAAAAAAAAACAAAAAAAGAAAGTTATTTCTTCACTTTAACAAAAATATGTTGAGATCCTAGTGGGTGCTGGGCCCTGCATCAGGCCCCTCAAATACACTGAGCACATCCTCACTTTTGGGTCTTTGCTTTATAAATACCAGCTCCTTGCATTGTTATTCTCCCTGACTTCCACACAGCTGGCTTCTTCCTTCCAGCAGACACTGGCCTAAACATCACCTCTTCCAAGAAAGCTTTCTTTACCACTGACCTAACATAAGCACTTCAAGCACCAAGGTGCTCTCATTAAGACCTGAGGCCCAGTCCTGCTCGGCCTCTAAACCTCTGGTTTCCACTCAAAGCCCTCTCTTTAAATTCTTTACTCAGCACTTTAGCACAATCTATGGTTTTCCTAGTCTTAGTTCTGTATTTATTTCCTTGTTTATTGTCTAATTTTCCACCTTGGGTATAAGCTTGATGATCACAGGGAAGTTTCTGTGTTTGCCATGGCATTGTCAGTTGAGAGAACATCTCCTGGAGGAGAGCAGATGTGGCTTCCGCAGCAATGCCTCCACTTTCAGCCTGTGCCTCATGCCTGCTGTGTTTGCACCTCATGCCTCAAAGAGCTCAACTCCCGTGGCCTTCCTGGGGGCAGATAGGCATGTGACTCACTTTGCATGTCTACCTGTCTAGAGATGCTCAATGTTCTGTCTCCTAATCCTCCTCCACTTCTGTGTGTCTTCCAGAAATTCCTTGAAGTCTCTCATCCACTGATGTGTCTCTCTTCCTCCCTTACCTTTGTGTTATAGTTTTCTACTTTTTAAAAACTATCTTTATGGGTTCAGTGGGGGTATGAGAAAGAGAGGAGATAAAAGCGCATGGCCCTGTTTCTTGTCGAACCAGAATCCTAACCGTTTTGTTTCATGCAGCAGAAAACAGAGGTTTAGAGGTATAAAGTGAAGACCCCAAAGTCACATGGCCAGAGCAGGATGAGTCTCAGGTCCCTAATCCCAGACTTATCCCTGAGCACTGTGCTGTGCTCCGACCATACGGGCAGATCCTGTTCTAGAGACTCCTGTGCCACACACACTGCTGGAGGCTGTGGACATCATGGAATTCATTGCCCAGTACAGCCAGTAATGCCTGCCTCCAAGGGAAGCTGTTACCCTTGGTGGCCGTGTAGTGATGTGGTGGACCCTGGGAGGGTGGCAGGGCAGCCCATGGGGCATCCAGCAGCAACCCTTCCCATGCCCCTTCTCACACTCTCAAGTCATGGCTCTCCCACTCACTTACTTTGTGAAAGTGAGCACTGAGGTCAGATGTGCTTAGAAGATATTGAAGCATCATTGTAACAATTCAACTATAAACTGTGCATGCAGGCTTTAGGGAAGTATTGGAAGAGAGAGTTTTCACTCCCAAAGACTCTGTTTTGGAAATCTAGTATCAGACTATGTATTACCCCGATTGTCCAGAAATGTAGTGGGGTGCACCGGCACTAGGGACATGGGCCAGCCGGCCAACCGATTGCTGGATGACTCTTCCAATGCTCCCCAGTTACCTTGCTTTAGAATCTGGAGTGTTGGACATTTGGGTTGGTTCCAAGTCTTTGCTATTGTGAATAATGCCACAATAAACATACGTGTGCATGTGTCTTTATAGCAGCATGATTTATAGTCATTTGGGTATATACCCAGTAATGGGATGGCTGGGTCAAATGGTATTTCTAGTTCTAGATCTCTGAGGAATCGCCACACTGACTTCCACAATGGTTGAACTAGTTTACAGTCCCACCAACAGTGTAAAAGTGTTCCTATTTCTCCACATCCTCTCCAGCACCTGTTGTTTCCTGACTTTTTAATGATTGCCATTCTAACTGGTGTGAGATGGTATCTCATAGTGGTTTTGATTTGCATTTCTCTGATGGCCAGTGATGATGAGCATTTTTTCATGTGTGTTTTGGCTGCATAAATGTCTTCTTTTGAGAAGTGTCTGTTCATGTCCTTCGCCCACTTTTTGATGGGGTTGTTTGTTTTTTTCTTGTAAATTTGTTTGAGTTCAACAATGATAGACTGGATTAAGAAAATGTGGCACATATACACCATGGAATACTATGCAGCCATAAAAAATGATGAGTTCATGTCCTTTGTAGGGACATGGATAAAATTGGAAATCATCATTCTCAGTAAACTATTGCAAGAACAAAAAACCAAACACCGCATATTCTCACTCATAGGTGGGAATTGAACAATGAGATCACATGCACACAGGAAGGGGAATATCACACTCTGGGGACTGTGGTGGGGTGGGGGGAGGGGGGAGGGATAGCATTGGGAGATATACCTAATGCTAGATGACGAGTTAGTGGGTGCAGCGCACCAGCATGGCACATGTATACATATGTAACTAACCTGCACAATGTGCACATGTACCCTAAAACTCAAAGTATAATAAAAATAAATAAATAAATAAATAAATACATAAATGTTAAAAAAAACAAAAGAAGCTTTATTCATAATAGCCAAAAAAAAAAAAAAAAAATCTGGAGTGTTGGGAGGCTTTGCCTGGGACTCCTGAGGAGGAGCTCTCTCCCATTCTCTACTCACCGATGCAGCTGGCTCTCAGTTCTGTCTTAGAGAGGGCCCACACCTTTGTTCTTCATGTTCTTTCCAAGCAGGTTGCTCACAGGAGGGAGGCAGCACAGCCAGCACGTTGCTTCCGAAGGCCCCCAGGAAGATCACAGGTGCAGCAGGAGCAAGGCCAGGCTGGTGAGAGTGCAGCGTCGCTACTGCCCTCTACAGAGCTCTGTGCATGCTCATCCCCCACCTTGACATAGGGTTGTGGTTGGACTAGGAATCTACATCAAATGGAACTTTGCTGACAGCTAACATGAAAAGGATCGAGAAGCCAGTCTGCCACCATGCTGAGCTCTGCATGGTGAGTGATCTTGCTCCTATAGCTTGGGAAGGTGTCAATCCGTTTGGGTCTCCTGAGTACCCTTCACTTGGCTTAGAACTTAGATCTGAAGTTGGCTCAATTCTTACTTGGATGGAAAAGAGAAGGACATTTGTTTTCAAGGTTAATCGTATGATCATAGATGAAATATCAAGTCTCCTTAGGTATAAAATTCAATGCACAATTGAAATTGAGTGTAACAAAAGGACATTTGAAGACCTGGGACAGGTAAATTTCACTATCTGTGAAAGCAGCAGTATCCAAATCTTCCATTAGACCAAGATGGTTCAGTTAGATGAGCTGAAGAATTACTAAAACAGACTTCAGTTCTTCATTGGGGTGTGCAGCTCCATTTCTGATGTTTACATTAGTCAAAGCATTGGAAAGAAAGATGTTTCATGTGAAGATTAGACACACCCTGAGGTCCTGGATGTAGTCTCTCGAAGACCACCTGAGGAAGGGAGCACGGCTCTTTGGCATCTTCCCGGGGATGGCTGAGGCCAGTGGGGTTGCATGGGGAGGCTGGTGGCCCAGTGGGAAGGACAATTTAGCTGCCAGGGCTGCTGGCAGGAGTGGGCAGTCCCCGGGGTATGTGGCTGGGAGTTGAAGGCTGCCCTTCAAGCCACTGCAGCAGCAGTGAATTTCGGCATGGACGTTTGGCCGGGCATTTTCCAGCATCCCTTGTAACCTTGAAATGTGTACAGACAGAACCCCTTGAAATTCTGCTCTAAATCAAATGCATGGTATTCCTAGTTCCCTTGGTTATCTCTGAGGGCAGGGTCAAGAGAATACAGGTCTCTCCATTCACAGTTTTTCAAAGGTTAAGTAGTTAATAACATTGTTTAGGTCTCTCATCCTCAAATTTATCAAAACCATTGAAAACAGAAGTTTATCTTATTTTTTTTTATTTTTGGGCTGTATAATCTGTGTGAGTGTTGCGTGCTAAAATGGGAATATGAGGTGAGCTGGGATTTATCGATCATTTCTAGGTCTTAGAGACCATGGAACATCTTTGTCATTCTGATCATTTTGAGATCTTGGAGGACAGAGATAGTGTATGTCTGTCTTTATATCCCCAACTCCTAATAGAGGATCTGTCATTAGGGGTTATCAGTAAATATTTCTTCAATATTGGCTGAAGCAATTATTACTATAACTGAGGTTCTGCATTTTACAGATGTCTCTAAAAGCTCAGAGAATTTGAATAAGCACCTTTCACAGGGCCACAATGCCTGTGTATGAAAGGACTTGGATCTGAACCCAGAAATGTTTAATCCTAGGTTATATTTTCACTACATCGTGCTGTTCTAGGTATAATTGGAACCTGGTTTTGTTTGTCCTGAAACAGTCTCTTTTGGGTTTCCAAGACACTTTGGCATTCCTGTGTCTCTGTGGTCCTGGTAGTTTAGTCAACTTGAACACATTCCCTCTCACTCTGTCTGCAGAGTAATCTTGAGACCCTCACGTAAGGAATGGATTCCATCTATTTAATTCTGTTCACTTTAGCAATTGAGCACCGTATGGACAGGGATCCAGCACGGCCCAGCTGTGTTCTCTGGATCAGGGTCCCATAGGCTGCAGTTGGGGTGCAGCCATCTCAGGGACCCTCTAGAGGTGTCCTTGCCTTTTTGTGGCTTAATCTTAGAAGTGCCATGCAGCCACTTTTGTTGTGTTCCATGTGTTAGAGAAGAGTCCCGAGGCCCAGGCTGCGGTCCAGGCGAGGGGATTCTGCAGGATGTGAATGCCAGCAACGTGCAGCAGCCCCAAGCCCCTGCTCCATGCCAGGCCCTGTGCTGGCAGCCATGGCTACAAAGATGAGCAGGGCCTGTGTCCAGCCTCAAGGAATTTAGTGATATTTATTATCAGGAGCAGACAGAGCAACACATAACTTTGGGTACAGTATTTATTATAACTTCAATACTAAAGATATTTTAAAAGTCTCATACTAGCTAGGAGAAAGAATGACTCAACTCTGTTGCCAAAGAGTGGGAAAGAGAAGCCGGGGAAGCTTCCTGGAGGAGGTGAAATATGAACTGACGTTTGAAAAATAAGTAACCTAGTCCCAGTCCCGGAAGGAGGCTGCTGGCATCAAACTGTGCACAGAATCAACTCAGCTGACAGCTCCAGAGTTTATGGTCTCCTTTCCTTCAAGGAAATGCCTGCATTTCTCATCAAAATGCCCCAGAGAAATGGCTGGGGGTCGGCTGGGGATGGATTGTCTGGGGATGGGCACACCGAGTGCCGCGGCTCTGCTCCAGTAGTGATATTCGTGTGGAAAATAAACAAGAGCATCGTGTCAGCACCACACCCCAGTCAGCCTGTGTCCTCCTCCTGCCAAAATAGCCTGGAAATATCACATTTTGAAAAAGCGAAGGAAATTATGTTAATCATATTCCTAAGAGCACTCAAGCAAAAGGGCTGTTTATTGAAAATATTGACATGATGGAAAAAAAAGCCGCTAGAGTGATCATTCCTCCGGGATTTTCTGGGGTGTCACCGAGGGAGTTTGAAGAGTCTCCCATTTGACATTGGGGTATGTTGATAGATTGAGGACTCCAGTAGCATCTGGCTGGGACAAGAGGTGAAGGGCATGCAGTGAGGCCTTGATTCGCAGCCTTTGGAAGGAAAACACCCTCACAAGGCCGGTTAGCATACCCGTGGGCTGATGGGTGTTTCCCTGGACCCAGGGTGTGGGTGAGCAGCGGCACAAATTGTGAAGGAAGGGGCGACTCAGTTACCTGGCGGTGGGCAGTCAGAAGGGTGGGCTTTAAGGGTTCATAGGATAAGTTGGGGGGCACTTCAGCCTCCACTGTTTGTCCCCTGGACTTCCCAACTCCAGCCCCGACTCCCAGCGCCTTACATTGCAAGTGCGTACAGGCACGGCCATCTCCCAGGCTTGCTCTCCGGGGCAGAGTTTGCCTAATTTTATCTCTAATTATCTGAGTTTAGAAGGGTGCCTGGCACAGAGTTGTTCCTCTGAAACTTTTGGTTGGGCAGAGAATCTGCAACCTTTCCAACTCTAGAAAAGGGAGAAGAATGGGAATAGTTCAGAATGAAGGTGTCTTCCCATACCCTCCCTCTGCAGGATCACTGCTGTCTCAGCAGTTGAGGGCACAGCTTTGAGGACTGGCTCTAGGATAGGATGGTTGGGGTTTGAATCCCAAACCAGCCACTTTCCAGATTTTTGATCCTAGGCAAGTGCGTTCATTGAGCTTGGACTTGGGTTTCTCATGTGTGGAGAAATGGAGAAAACAGAACACACATAACATGGCTGTCAGGGTTCCTGGTGCTGCACGTAGAGCTTAGATGAGTGGTGAGCACAGAGAAGTTCTCAATGATGGTCAGCTGGCATCACAGAGCTGAACATACTGCCCAGTGCATAAATTAACCTTCCCTCGGCTCGGAATAATCTTAAGAAAAGCCAACTCTAGTTGATGTCAGTGTGAACGAGGTTCCCCAGGGGCAGCAAATACTGGGCTGGACCTGGAATGGCTCCAGGAGGCCTGGGCCTGGCCTTCCAGCTGCACTGCCCTCAAGTCCTACCTCTCTTGGTGCCTGCATGGTCCCTCTCGGGAGCCTGGCTCTCTCTGGTGCTCTGCGTGCAATGGCAGGAGAAGGCTTTCCCCCACCCCGAAGGCTCTAGGCCCCTGTAAAAGCCACGTTAGAGACAGAGAGTCTGATGTGCTCGCTCTTGGGTCAGTTGCATCCTGCTCAGGTCCAGAGAGCAAGGCTGGGGCCGTGAGTCCCCAGAACAGAAATCCATGGAGAGGCATCCCTCCACAAGGGGAAGAGCAGCTCTTGTGAACAGGTCACCTTGTGAGCCAGGTCCACACCCCACACAAAGTGCGCTAACGACATTCACTGTGACTCCAACCACAACCCTCGTCACCTACACTATTCCCATGTTGAGTGAGGGAAACTGGGACTCAGAAAAGCATATTATTATTTTGAGATGTTGATGTCATGGGTAATTTGTGTTTTCTTCTTTATACTTTTTTCTTCATTTCCTGACTTTTCTGCCATGGGAAACATGGCTTTTATAAAAATAGGACTTTATCAAGGCACTTCTGCAGATCTAGCTTCCTTCTGTGACACCTCCTTGAGGAGTTTCAGGAGCTGATGCTTTGGAGACACCAACACCAGACCCGTAACCTTCACAGGTCCTGTGGGAGGTACCGGGGGGTGGCCCGGCCGTGTGCGGAGGGGTGGGGGCCTGTTGCCACCATCAGGCTCCATCTCGGCTGCAGCACCCAGCTGAGGCATCTGTATGGGAAAGGCATTAAGACTTGTTTAAAAATACTCCATTCCAACCCATGAAATGACCGGTATTCACATTTGGTTAAAAATAGCTTCTTTATTAAAAAAGAACTTCAAAAGATCTCTGAAACTTTTAAGAAATATGTGAAAGGAAGACACCTGCAAAAGCGGTTAATTATATACTTCCGCAAAGCTGTCGGGACATGTTTATTATTTTGTTTTTGGAATTAGATGTTAAATTATCGATTGAGAACAATGGCGCTTAACAAAACCGTCAGGAAAGAAGTCAGCACAAATTGAGAGAGAAGAACTTTTTTAAAAGAGACGATTGTGCAGAAGAGAGAGGTGACAATACCCCTGGGGTCCTGGGACTGGGTCTGGGCAAGTGTTGTTGGAGGGTTTCTGGGAGAGGATGTGACTTGATTGTGGGATATCAGTGTTGTCTGTGGCCTCGGTGTCTCTGGCTCTAACCTCATCTCTTGGATAGGAACTCTGTTCCATACAAAATTTCCCCTGTACATTTTGTTTTATTTTTATTTTTGGAGTTCCCAGGAGTGTCTCAGCTGAGATAAAAGGTCTTCCAGGAAACACATGTTGGCAACTGTCTCCTTTCCCACCTCCTCTGACCCTGCGGTGTCAGCCCTACCCTCAGGAGCACCCTCCAGTTATCCTGGTTACTCCCAGACATCTGCACCTTTCCTGGCCACACCTGCTCCTTCTCCTTGATTCTACTGGACCCGCCAGGCACCTGCCCGCTGAGTGCTGCTGCAGGGCTGGCTGGTGCCTGCTGATGCTAGGGGCTCTGTGCTACGAGAACAGGGGTGCTTGGGGATGACCTCGGGGCAGGGGCTTTCATCTAGATCTTACAGAGATGTTAGCAGCATCACTTTTTGTAATTGTTGCTGATATTTTCTCTTCCCACCATAGGACTCATATTTTGGTTGGTGAGCCTCTGTCCCTGGAGATCAGTTTAAGCAACAGCATCATATAAGGTGTCTGCCCAAGCTCCCTCTTCCCCTAGCATGAATCCTCATTCTCCCCCAGGAGGCTGCTCAGCCCTTCATGCAGATAGAGTTAGTCAGGCCCACCCTGCCTGGTCACTAAACATGCCCAGGTGTGTCTAAATCCCAGGGGCCAAAGTGACTTCCATGCACCCTGGCACTGCATGGTGTGCGTGTGGTCTCTGACCATGGGGTCGACATGAGTCCGGGTATGGCCTGCTCTTCTGTGAGCCACGTGTAGCATTCAAACCCAAGGTCAACTAGAGCTTCATGGAGCAACGGCTCTGTGGTTTCCTCATGTTTATATCTTCTATCTCAACCTTATTCTCACGAGAGCGTCTATATTTTTTATCTTGGGGGAAACAGGATTCTGAGTGATTAATAAGTCATCGCATTTATAGACTGAGGAGCAAATCCCGTGACATGGACAGATCATAAGGCTCAGAGGACGACACGCCGGGTGCACCGTCAGCACAGCATCCATCTCAGCCAGCGGCCCTGCCGGCTTCCCAGTTTCCGCAACCGAAGGTGCGGTATCCCCCTCGGTTCCATGCCTACCCCATCAAGGCTGCAGTAGAGCCCACTGTGGCCCCACCTCCAGATTCCTTGAGTGCACCCAACTCCTTTCTGCTTCCAGTCTCAGCCTCATCAACTCTGGATCAGTCCTTGCCCCAGCCGCTGCTGTAGTCTTAGAAGTCTTTCTGCTTCTATGTGTCACAGTGATCCTGTAATACCATAAAGGAGATCGTGTCCCATCTCTCCCTAAAATTAAAAAATGGTGAGATTGAAGAAAGGATGCAGGGCTGGCAGAGTCTGGATCCTACCCACCAGTGCCCTGCGTATGTTCTCCAGGACACACAGTCATCTGTATCTTTCCCCTTGTGTGTGCATGGGACTCTCCACTGCTCTGGATCACGGATGAGCTCTTAAACCTGCGTTGTCTGGCTCCCCCGACTCAAGTCTCTTTCACCCCCACCAGCCTGTTTGCTTCGCCTCCTCAGGGTGCCAAGCTGTTTCCCAAGTGTCCCCAGCTTTCTCTCAGCTTTCACCTTTGCCTCTGTTGCTCCTTCCTGGGATTTTCTTTTACCAGTTAGTCGCAGGACTATTTCATTATTTATTATCTTTATGCCTCAGCACCAGTGTCACTCCCCAGAGATGTCACCTCCCTGAGCCCACATCACCCCCGTGGCCTTCCCTGACCACGTTATTCTCGACTATCTCAGCTGCCTGCCCTTCCCCTCTCCCCCTTCCCCTCTGTCTTACAAATTACAAGCTCACAACTTGATGTAGCTTGAGGCAAATGGGGATTCACTGGCTGCTGTGATTGGGGAGTTGGAGTGGACTGTACCAAAGATGGCCGGGTACTGAGACTCAAGTGTGGCCCTAGGAAGCTCCCTTCCCCATGTCCCAGAAGTCCCCTTGCACTGGCGTATATTTCCTTCTCCTTGGGCTTCCATATTCCCTGAGACACAGCAATATTTAACTCAGGCCCATTACAACCCTGTAATGGCCTCTAGGTGTTCAAGTGAAAGGAAGAGTTTCACATTTCTCACTTTAAATCAGAAATTAGGAATGATTGAGCTTAGTGAGAAAGTCATGTCAAAAGCTGAGATAGGCTGAAAGCCAGGCCTCTTATACCAAAGAGTTGATCAGCTTGTGAATGCAAAGGAAAAGTTCTTGAAGGAATTAAAAGTGCTAGTCCAGTGAATACATAAATGATAAAAAAAAAAGTGAAACAGCCTTATTGCTGTTATTGAGAAAGTTTGAGTGGTCTGGATAGAAGGTCAAAACAGCCACAACATTCCTTTAAGCTAAAACCTAATCCAGAGCAAGGCCTCTAATTCTTTTCAATTCTATGAAGGCTGAGAGAGGTGAGGAAGCTGCATAAGAAAAGTATGAAACTGGCAGTGGTTTGTTCATGAGGTTTAAGGAAAGAAACCATCTCTATAACATAGAAGTTCAAGGTGAAGCAGCAAGTGGTGATGAGAAGCTGCAGCAACTTATCCACAAGATCCAGCTAAGATCATTGATTAAGGTGGCTACACTAAACAACAGATTTTCCATGCAGATGAAACAGCCTTCTATTGGAAGAAGATGCCATCTAGGACTTTCAGAGCTAGAGAGGAAACTCAATGCCTGTCTTCAAAGCATCAAAGGACAGGCTGACCCTCTTGTTAAAGGCTAAGGCAGCTGGTGACTTTAAGTCAAGGCCAGTGCTCATCAACCATTATGAAAATCGTAGGACCCTTAAGAATTATGCTAATTCTACTTTACCTGTGCACTATAAATAGAATAACAATTCCTGGGTGTCAGCACGTCTGTTTACAGCATGGTTTACTGAATATTTTAAGCCCACTGTTGAGACCTACTGCTCAGAAAACAAAAGATTCTCTTCAAAATATTACTGCTCATTGACAATACATCTAGTCACTCAAGAGCTCTGATGGGGATATACAAGGAGATGAATATTGCTTTCATTACTGCTAACACAACATCCATTCTACTGCCCATGGATCAAGGAGTATTTTTGACTTTCAAGTCTTATTTAAGAAATATATTTCATAAGGCATTAGTTGCCACAGATACTGATTCCTCTGATGGATCTGGGCAAAGTCAATTGAAAACCTTCTGGAAAAAATGTATCATTTTAGATGGCATTAAGAACATTTGTGATTCATGGAAGGAAGGAGGTCAAAATATCAACATGAGCAAGAGTTTGGAAGAAGTTGATTCCAGTCCTCCTGGATGATTTTGAAGAGTTCAAAACTCCAGTGGAGGAAATCACTGCAGATGTGGTAGGGATAGAAAGAGAATTAGATTAGAAGAGAAGAGTGAAGATGGGACTGAGTTGCTGCAGTCTCATGATAAAACCTGAATGGATGAGAAGTTGCTTCTTATGAATGGGCAAAGCAAGTGGTTTCTTGAGATGGAATCTACTGCTGTTAAAGATGCTGTGAACATTGTTACATTGCAACAAAGGATTTAGAATATTCCATAAACTTAGTTGATAAAACTGTGACAGGGTTTGAGAGTACTGACTCCAATTTTGAAAGAAATTTTACTGTGGGTAAAATGCTATCAAACAGCATCACTGTTACAGATAAATCTCTTGGGAAAGGAAGACTCAGTCGATGTAACAAACTTAATTGTCTTATTTTCAGACATTGCCACAGCCACCCCATCCTTCAGCAACCACCACCCTGATCCATCAGCAGTCATAAGCATTGAGGCAAAACCCTCCACCAGCAAAAAGATGATGACTTGTTGAAGGCTCAGATGATTGTTAGTATTTTTTTAGCAATGACATATTTTCTACTTAAGTACATTTTTTAGACATAATGCTATTACACACTTAATAGACTTCAATGTATTGTAAACATAACTTTTATATGCACTGGGAAATCAAAATTTTTGTGACTCACTTCATGTTGATATTCGGGATTGACTGAACCTGCAATGCCTCTGAGGTCTGCCTGTACCGGCATTCACGTGCACTTGGGCTTGCTGTTGGGCTGCCAGCCAATATCAACCAAGCTCTTCTCCACTTCCAGTTGGTTCTCTCTGTCCTTATCATGTAGAACAGTGCTAAACACAGAAGATGCTAGTCCTTAATTAAATGAGTAAGGAAATGAATTAAATCTGGAGCTTTTCATCTCACTGCTTTCTGTAGCAGTGCCACCATGTGTTGTAGAGCTCCCACAATTATTTATTGAAAGTCTCCATTTTACCACTGGCAAAATACTAGTATCAATTTACCTGTCTCATAAGGCTGTTTGAATGTTCATCAATTTTTTCTCCACATCATGAAAATGTTTCATTTGCCACTCGTATTAATCTGTTCTCACACTGCGAATAAAGACATACCTGAAACTGGGCAATTTATGAAGAAAAAGAGGTTTGATGGACTCACAGTTCCACATGGCTGGGGAGGCCTCACAATCATGGTGGAAGGCAAAGGAGGAGAAAGGCACATCTTACATGGCGGCATGCTAGACAGGGTTTGTGCAGGGAAACTCCCCATTATAAAATCATCAGATCCCATGAGACTTATTTACTATCATGAGAACAGCATGGGAAAGACTTGCCCTCATGATTCAGTTACCTCTCACTGGGTCCCTCTCATGACGTGGGAATTATGAGAGCTAACATTTGAGATTTGGGTGGGGACACAGCCAAACCATATCACCACCTGTGATTAAAGGAGGACTTCTGTCTCTCCTGTTGGGCTGAGCAACAGGCAGAGATTTCTGGCTGTTCACTCCAATTCATGATTTCTTCTTCTAGGACCCACAACTAAACAGTGTTCCAGCCTCCTATGCAATGAGGTGGGACTGTGTGGCTTCGTGCTGGCTCATGGAAAATGCACACATGCACCATGGGCCACATCTGGGAATGTCCCATCCTGTCCCCCACCCTCCCGCTGAACTGAGACAGGCCCTGGACCACATCCGAAGCCCCTTGTTGAAGGTAGCAGATTTTCCTCAGCCTGAGTTCTGGAGGGGCTGTGCCCTACTGGCCTGTTGAGCCTCCAGGTTCTGTTACATGGGTGAGGAAAATCCATCCACTGTGCTTGAGCCATTATCCTTCTGGTGATTTATTTGTTAAAACAACAAGCATGCCTTCCCTACATCATACAGTAAATTCGCCAAGTATTTGTTGTTATCCCTGTATTACGCTGTAGTCATTTTTACTTGATTTTTATATAATGTCTATAAGAACCTGACTGGCTGAATTTACTGTTTCCTTATATCTTTCCTTTGTACTGTGTAGCTCTTCCTCTTGGTGCGGAATAGATAAAGTGGCTTTTCCCTGATCACAGTGACCTTTCCTGCCACATCACAGTGAGGGGAGCCACACAAGGACTCAGCTGGACCTCAGAAGAGTCACTCTCTGTCAGCAAAGAACACCATGTCGTTCATCACTCTCTTCCTTCTCCCCTTCCTCCCTCCCTCCATCCCTCCTTCTCTCCTTCCCTTCCTTCTTTCTTTCCTTCCTTCCTTCCTCCCTCCCTTCCCTTCCCTTCCTTTCCCTTCCCTTCCTTTCCCTTCCTCCTTCCCTTCCCTTCCTCCTTCCCTTCCTCTTTCCCTTCCTCCATCCCTTCCTCCTTCCTTCCCCCTTCCCTCCTTCTGCTGTTCCTACCTTTCTCTTTTTCCCTTCTTCTCTCCTTCATTCTCTCCCTCCTTTCTCCCTCCCTACTTTCCTTCCAACTTCACTGAGTGCCTAATGGATGTGAGATAGGGCATCAGACCTTGTAGAAGCAGAGATAAAGCACTGTATTGGAGCATAGGAAAATACCACATTCATAGGTTTAAAGAATGGTCACATATTGACAGTTTAATATCATTCATCTTCAAATGAGTTTGTGTATTGATATTACCTCTGGCTTTTAATTTTCTTACCTTTTTCTTCACTTAAATTTACTCAGAGAATTCTCAGCTGTGAGGAGACCTGCAAGTCACCTTAAATAATTGTGGGATGAGGAGGACATATATAATTAATACAATGCATAGCTGTTGTCCTCAAGTAACTCATAGTGTTCTGCTGGGAGAAATAGCAAGTGAGACTAAGAACCTCCACAGCAGGCAGTAAGGCAGGTGCAGAGGGCACCGTGAACACAGAGAAAGGACTCCTAGCCCAGGATTTGGGGTTTGCACGTGGGTTTTTGAGATTT
Organism: Homo sapiens; assembly: GCF_000001405.40. Classification (NCBI taxonomy): domain Eukaryota; kingdom Metazoa; phylum Chordata; class Mammalia; order Primates; family Hominidae; genus Homo; species Homo sapiens. Next base: position 2,799,584 of record NC_000002.12, on the reverse strand, counting down.
GGATCTGGGGTTTCTCCTCCATGGGGAAACCTACTTGGGCTTTGCTTGTCTCCTGTTGGGACAGCCACTCATTAGGCCCGCTTTGTCCCTGTTGCCGAGGCAATGACCAGTAGCCACCTGCCCTGTCACATGTGTGACTGGCATAATAACTGACTGAGGTGCCTACCTGGGGCCCAGTCTCAGCCTCAGTCTAACTGCACTTCTCCCCTGCACAGAACCCTCTGTCCTGCAGCCTGGCCTGGCCGGTGCTGGGCGCTGGAGATGGGCACGAACAATCCTCCTGTCCACCACCACCGTGTTCATGGTGATGGCCATGACTGCCAGCCATTTGCAATAAAAGAGGACTTGGTGTGAACACGAATGTCACAACCATGATGTGAAAGTGGCCACCTTGTCCAGTTAAGTAGTTCCTGTCTTCATGCCGTGATGCCAACAGGTTGCTGAAGGAGACCCCACGGAAACCCCAACCTTATGATTTCTGGTAAAGATAAAGTGACAAAATGGTCACACTCTCATGTATATTTGTCAATAGTGCTTAGAGGCCAAATGAATGAACAGAAATGCAGAAACGTGCATCAATGGCTGTTTCTAGATGCTAACTGGGAATATGACGATACCATGTAGGATGTCTCTCCATTTGCTTGTGTGTATAGATCTATACTGCTGGCATGCATAGATGTGAAACATTACACAATATTCCAGCCCATTTCCAGATGCTGAAGTCTCTGTGATGATTCTGTTATCAAACAGCATCATACTTCAAAAACTAGCACCTTATTCTTTGAAGCTCACGCTCTGCATTTTCCAACACAATTAATTGGAATAACAGCATAAAGATGATGACTTTTTTTAAGTGGTAAGTGTTAATATGATAATTGAACTCACTCATTAAGAATGTTCAGGGACTGGAGTTTCAGTTCCTTGTCCCTGGGAAAGATGGAAAAGGGGATGTGAGGGGCCTGGTGTCCTTGTTATTCAGTCACATGGGGATGGCCAGGAGCCTGCCCCCCATGGTACATGGTGCAAAGATCTGTGTGGGTTCCTGCCCTGTGGCTGGGATGGCCAGGTGTCTCCTTTGGCTGCCTGTGTACTAGCAGACCTAAAAGAGACAAGCCCATGGCTACATCCAGGTATCCTGAATTATTCCTGTGAATGGAAATGAACGGTGTGGTAAACTTAGACAGGGTCAGCTTTTCCACTAAGGGGCTAGATCGTAAATATTCTAGGCTTGTGCAGCACATGGTCCATTTTAGTTGCTCAAGTCTTCATGAAAACTGCAATCGACAACAAGTAAATGAATGAGAAAACTGTCTTCCAATAAAACTTTATTTATATGAATAGATGGGGTTGCAGTTTCCTGACTCCTGATCTAAAGGAGTGGCTGATATTAATTGAGAACTTAGACTGTGTTGTAAATACGGCCCATGCATACATTTACTTAATGCTTTCACAATCCTCTGAGAAAATTCAGGCACAGGCATAGTTAAGTAAACTGCCCAGGGTTTTCAGCTAGTTAGTGGTAGAACTAGTGCTGGAACCTGGGCGTGATGCTTCTGTCATCTGCACTCTCTGAGATGTGCCAGTGCATCTGAGCTGCTCGTTCTGACACAGGTGGTTTGGGGGAATCTCCTTCCAGTGCAGGACCTGGGAGGCCCCTTCATTTTTGCTGATGCCCTGGTTATGGACTGCTGGAGGGCTCAGGTTGCTATCGGTATGCAGAAGACCATTTTCTTCTTTGGGGCTCTAAAGCAACGGATATAGTCACTTTATTTCTGTAAGGAATGCTCCTCATTTGGCATGGGGAAGAGTATTGATAATTACTGTGTGAGCCAGAATGTTCCAGTCACAGCTACCCTACCTTTACTGAATCCTTAGTGCTCACCCACCTCTCCAGATGTCCCTAACCCCATTTTTTCAGGCAGGAAGCAGGCTCAGAGTGGTCAAATGATACTTCCCAAGTCGCGTTCTTCATGAGAGATGCAGGTAGACGGCCAGCCTGAAGCTCGGCTTCTCTGGGGTGAGAGTTTTCTCTGGGCTGCCTCTCTGCAGAGCATGCCCACTTGTTAAAACTGATCAGAGCTGGAGGGGAGTTTTAATTGTACATCACTGGTGTTCATGTTGACAATAGCTACTCACATCTTAAATCAATGACCTTGCTCATCTTTATGATGTTTATTTTTGCCAATATCATTCGGAAGTTGGTTACTTCCAGTGGAGTTATCCACTGCGACATCAGAAAGCATTGCCACGAATGCCACAGCTTGAAGATGAGTCACATCTCCATTTTGGATCTCATTCATTGACAGGAAAAATTTTTTAAAACTGGATAGGATGCTCTTGAGATTTTTTTTTCGAAACCTACTTAGCCTTAGAGATAATGCATTGAGCAAATGCAAAAAAGAAAAAAATATCTCTGACATTTGATCTCCTCAAAAGTGTCAAAGAGCGGGATGCTAAAAAATAACTCTCAACATAATTGTTCTTCTGGTCACATGTGATTTGAGCCAATTCTGTGAATGACAGATGCTGGTCACCACGCAAAAATGTGATTGCATCCTCCACAATGGATGAAGAACATGGCAGAAAAGAAAGCCCTGTGCATGGTTCAGGTGAGGTGAACCTGCAGGGCACAGCAAGGCTCCCGGGGGGACAGGCTCTGCCGTCAGGCAGCATGGTTCCACATCTCCTGGCACCATTAATGAGTGGAGATCTGCCCAGAGCTTCGTGGTGCAAACTAGGAGCTCATTTTGCCTCACAGCCAACCCCACATCAGTGTATCTGACACAGAGGGAAATTGCGGTACTGAGAAAAAATTGAGTCGCATGCATTCAAGCAGCCCTTAAATTCTCAGCCCAGGATTTGAGCCTAAGTGTTGGAACAGCAAATTTCTCACTTTTAACCCTGTCAGACCTGGCTACCGTCCATGTAAAATTGTCATCAATGTCAACGGAAGGTTGAAACCAGAGGACTGCAGTGAGCGGGAAGGTGAATCAGGAGCTGTGCGTGGGATTCCAGCTGTGGTTGTATTGTGTGTGTTCTCTGTGCAAGGGGGGTCTCGGCCAGGGGTGGGTGAGGCTGGTGCCCTTCCAGGCTCCCCTCAGCCACAGGCAGCAGGTGCCATGGGAGCCCTGCCGGCACCCCCTTCCTCCGCCAGGGTCCTGGTTCATCTGATGGCGCAGCTCCCCTCTAAGGTGTGCACCGGCGCAGACACTGTGCAGGAAGCCAGGCTGATGCAGACGGTTCTCAAGTCGGGAAACCACTCAGGTCCCTTTTGGGGCCCTCAAAATGGGAAAGGCCTCCAGGAACTTAGCAATCTCTTCTCCAGCGAGGCCCTGAAGCCCCACCCGTCCCTGCGCCTCCCCACCGTGGGGACACTCACCACCACTCCAGACACACAGCTGCATGGGGACAGCTGGAATTGTGGAAGAGCTTTGCCGTTTTTAATGAGCTATTGAACACAAATCTGCTTCCTTGACGTTCTCACTTAACTGCTATCTCACTTTCCTTGAAGCTTTCACAACTCGCTGATTCTAGATATTTTCTCCAGAGTGATACAAAATGCCAGCTCTCTCTCTGCTAGGGCTCCAAGGCAAGACAGATCAGCAGAGGGAGGGAGGGTGCAGTCGCTGCCTGAGGCCAGGGCACTGCCAGACCCGCCTGGTGGGAGGCTGCCCACGCGCACTCCCTGCTGACCCCACGCCAGCGTCCTCCTTAATGCGCTGAGTCTTTGGCTACTCTCGCGCGTACACTGATCAGTTTTAAATGTCTTCTGGTGCAGAGCCCACAGAAACAGAGCTTCCCTGAGCCCCTCTCCTTCAGACCCTACCAACTGGAGGAGCCAAGTGCTCCTGGGAGGCCACTGCGCTGCCCGGCTCCCCCCGCTCCCCACAGCAGGCCTCTGCTTTCGCTGTAGCCATTAAGTCCTCGAGAGGAAAAGAGGGAGTGCAGGAGCTGCCCACACCATCCCAGGGTGTCAGGAGCCGCCCGCACCATCCCGGGGTGTCAGGAGCCGCCCGCACCATCCCGGGGTGTCAGGAGCCGCCTGCACCATCCCGGGGTGTCAGGAGCCGCCCGCACCATCACGGGTTGTCAGGAGCTGCCCGCACCATCGTGGGGCATCAGGTGATGTAGGAGGACCTCTGGGTATCCTCCACGCACACCTGCACCACGGACTGTGTCTCCATTGCCCGTGGAAGAGGCTGTGATTCCATGGCTGGAGCCCTTGCCTGCCCAAGTGGGAGCGCTCATCAGATGGCTCCCATGTTAAATGGCATCTGGCATCTCCTGTGTGCCAGGAATGCAGCTAGCCCTATGCCAAAGTTAAGGGGGCAACTCCACAAACACTGCATGTCATTTCTGCACCAGGTGTGACAAGAGGGGTGAGACCAGGTACTGTGGGGCTCAAGGGAGAGGTCTAGGGAGGCAGAGATGCCTTCATGTGCTGGGAGGTGCAGATGGGCTCAGAAAAACCTCAGGACATGAGTCCTAGTGGCAGGTGGGAAGGGCACTTAGACGGGATCGCAAGGCAGCCCTTCCGGTCACTGAGGGAGCACAAGGCAGCCCTTCCGGTCACTCAAGGGAGGGCAAGGCAGCCCTCTGGTCACTCTAGGGAATCCAAGGCAGCCCTTCCAGCCACTCAAGAGAGTCCAAGGCAGCCCTTCCGGTCACTGAGGGAGTGCAAAACAGCCATTCATGTCACTCGAGGGAGTGCAAGGCAGCCCTTCTGGTCAGTCTAGGGAATCCAAGGCGCACTTCTAGTCAGTCTAGGGAATCCAAGGCAGCACTTCTGGTCATCTTGGGAGTCTAAGGCAGCTGTTCCTGTCACTCGAGGAGGCTCTGTTCTGTAAAGTCGCCACAAACACTGTATTAGTGAATTCTGAACCATTGCTCTCAGGGGAAATACAGGAAGTTTATCAGTCAGCATTCTCCAGAGAAGCAGAAACAAAGGGGTGTGTGTGTGTGTGTGTGTGTGTGTGTGTGTGTGTGTACAGACAGTGAGAGATTTTAAGAAATTGGCTTATGTGATTATGGGGGCTGGCAAGTCCAAAGTGCCCAGGGTGGGCTGGTGGAAGAGCTGGTGCTTTGGTTCAGGGCAGAGAGCATCTGCAGGGAAACCCCCAGCTCCGGGGCCTCTGTCCTTGTTCTTTTAGGCCTTCAGCAGCCTGGATGAGGCCCACGCATGGCAGGGAGGGGTCTGCTTTTACTCAGAGTCTGCTGACTTAAATGTTAATTGCATCCGGGAACACCCTCAAAGAAACACTCAGAGTCATGTTTGACCAAATATCTGGGTGCCGTGGCTCAGCCAACTTGACACAGAAAATTAACCCTCACAGTTAGATTCCTGCAAGATTCTGGTCACAACAATTTCATCAATGACCAGCACCTGGCATCGTGTGATGTGTGTTTCTGTGTAAAGACACCTACATAATACGTGTTCTTCACTCATCAGTGGGGCAGCCCTGGCCGGCAGCACCGTGTCTCATGCCTGCACATGGTTTCTCTAACCATATTTTCTGCATGAGGCACGTCATGGCTCATGGCCTCTTGCCCTCAGGATCCCTAGACAGCACTAGAGACCACACCTGGGGGCCATTTTAAACTGTGAAATCACCCACAGAAATGCGAAAGAAACACAACATTAACTGTACCTCGAAAAGAACCCTTGTTTACAGTCTGAGAGCTGAAGTAAGGATGAGCGCAGAAACTGTGCCTCGGGCGACTCAAGTATTAATCCTGCTCTGTTCGCGTCCACAGATGGCTGCAAGTGCACCTCATGTGGAGGCTACAAGTGGATTTTAGCAAGTAGGTAGATTCGTAGGAACAAAATCTGCCGATCACGGGGATGGCTGTGTATGAGGTGTGCTTCAGTGAGCGGCCAGGAGTTGGTCCTAGTGACAAGAACCGAGGCCTTCAAGCCGGGGAGAGGCGCAAAGCCAGGGGGCTTCCACGGTGAGCCTGGCTGGGAATCTGCCGTATTTATGAAAGAAAATGGGAAGTTACTGAAGAGTGTTTAAAGCGAGCGGTGATCAGATTTGCACTCTGGATGAGTGGCAGTGACACAGCGGGACTGAGGGAGGAGATGCTGGAGCTGGGAGCTGTCCGAGGGCTGTCATGGTTTTGCAGGCAGGAGGTGGTGCCGTTCTAAGCACAGCAGCCATGGGAGGACGGATAGAGGTCGCAGGTGCTACGGGTGCCAGGAGGGCAGCAGGAACACGGCTGAGCGAGGACAGGGAGGAGGAAAGGTTTTTGTGTGCCTTCCAGGTTTTTGAGTGCATTCCCTGAAACAAGCTCTGTCTTCCACCTTCCAACCATTGTTCCCCATGCCCGAGGCAACAGCCATGTTTCCCTCCTCCTCCCAGACTTCTCTGGGCACCCCCTGATCCCTGACGCTCCCCCCTGTGGAGGGTGGCCTGCATCCTCCTGCCTGAGTGGCTGCTGATCCCTGAGGCTCTCCCCCATGGAGGGTGGCCTGCATCCTCCTGCCTGAGTGGGTGCTGATCCGTGAGGCTCTCCCCCATGGAGGGTGGCCTGCATCCTTCGGCCTGAGTGGCTGCTGATCCCTGAGGCTCTTCCCCATGGAGGGTGGCCTGCATCCTTCGGCCTGAGTGGCTGCTGATCCCTGAGGCTCTTCCCCATGGAGGGTGGCCTGCATCCTCCTGCCTGAGTGGCTGCTGATCCCTGAGGCTCTTCCCCATGGAGGGTGGCCTGCATCCTTCGGCCTGAGTGGCTGCTGATCCCTGAGGCTCTTCCCCATGGAGGGTGGCCTGCATCCTTCGGCCTGAGTGGCTGCTGATCCCTGAGGCTCTTCCCCATGGAGGGTGGCCTGCATCCTCCTGCCTGAGTGGGTGCTGATCCCTGAGGCTCTTCCCCATGGAGGGTGGCCTGCGTCCTCCTGTTGAGTGGATGCAGGTTTCCTTCCTCCGCCCCTGTCAGTTCCGCTCTCCATGTCCAGCCAGGCCCTATCCTTCCAGCCACTGTGCTCTTCCTTCCAGGCCAGCCACTCCTGCATTAGTAAATTAGATTCCTCTGCATGGAATATGAGGATGCTCAGCCCCGTTTCTGCCCCAGCTCCTCAAGCAGGGGCAGGGAGGATGGAGGTCCTGGGAGAAGCCTCCCTTCCAGGGACTCGGCATGAGGAGAGGTCTCCAGGGGCATCCTGGCAACTGTGTCCTGACCCGCTGCTCCCCTCTGGGTCCTGGACCCTGCGATATCTCAGAATGAATAACACCCAGGAGGGTGACGGGCATGGGAGGCTGTGCCCACCCCTGCTTCCTTTTTGTCATTGTCAGGCAGCACCCAGGGCAATGCCACCTTCACTACATTGGGTTCAGCTTGGAGTCTGCAGGCTTTTAGGATCCTGAGCCTAGCAGAGCCCCAGCCATGCTGGATACTGTAAGTAATGAATTATCCATGATTAATTACAATTAACCAGGTCTCTTTCTTCCCCAGGCACTCAATGTAAATATTTAGAAGGAATTCTGATCATACGCTCACTGTCCAAATTAATATTATTTCATTTAAAAATACAAGAGTGTTTCCATTCCAAATTGGCTGTTGTTTGGAGTCCAATCAGCACATCGTGTGTCAAAGCGTAACAGAGAAAGATGCTGCGTGGTGGCGTCTAACGTGGCTGGCCAGCCTCAGCGAGGCTGGTCACACCCTGGCCTCACGGGGTGTATCTGAGAGTCCGAGGCTGCTGGCCTCTGGAGCCCCCTCCCATACCACCTGTCCACTCCTGGGGATGGACTCAGGAGCCCCGCCGAGTGTGAGCCTGATGCTGAGGGTGTGTCCCCCCCCCTGTGTTCCTCACCTGGAGGGGGAGCGCTCTGCAAAGTGCAGCGGGATGACTAGGTCCTGCTGCTCACAGCCCTTGCAGGAGAAGGGAAGAGAAGAGTGGGGCAGACAGACTCGGCCACCTACACGGGGCCTGAGAATGGCGTCTCTGACTGCACCGTCTTCTGGAAGCATGAAGGGGCCAGTTGGTCTAATGGTCAGAGACAGGGCTCTCAGATGAATAGATCCTGGTCTTTGAGATGAGTTACTTATCTTGGATCCTGTTTGGTAAAACACATGAACTTAATTGTCAGCATTTACTCTCGCCGTTGCAAAGATGATTGCTTGCACCTAGGTCTGCAGTGTCCACACGGCTGCGCTTCTGGGAGGTTCCGCAGCCAGGGGCATTACTGCAAGTCAGTGAGCCACAGCATGCCTGCCCCTCGATGCGATGCCTTATGTCTGCTCTGCAGGCCTCCTCCGGATTCACTGCCTTATCCCAAACATGAGATCTCCCTGTGCCCTGCTCCATCGTGGTGACGCTCACACCTGGGAGCTGCCCAACACGGATCCAAACATGAGCTCTCCCTGTGCCCTGCTCCATCGTGGTGATGCTCACACCTGGAGCTGCCCAACACGGATCTAGCACCATTTGGGGTTTGTGCAGGTTCTGGCGCCTCTGCTCTGGACTGGGGTCAGTCCCGTGTGTGTTTTCCATGGGGGAGCACTGGACAAGAGGCTCAGCCACACCACTGCTGGGATGTGGTCTGGAGTGTATTCACTTCGGTCCCATCTGCCCAAGCACAGCCACTGCTGAGCTCAGGATCCCCGGTGCGGGGAAGTGTTCCTCTGTCATAGGCAGAGCAAGGCAGTGTGGAACTGGCTACGTGGTAATGCGGTCCACCCCTCCATCTCCTCTTAATCTTATCTTTTAGGTAGAAAATGTCAGAGACTTTAAGTGGTGTCCATGGCCATATAGAAAAACTTTGGGACTTTGTGAGTTTGGAGAAAATCTTCATGACTGTTGAGAGATGAGTGTTCTTCTGGTCGCCGTGACTCCAACAAACCACATGCTGACGACTCGATCTCATTTGGGTTTATGAAACACCAGGTTTGTGGGATGGGCTCGGCTCACGGTTGTGTGTTTCTTAGAGAAGCCCTGTGGGAGGCATGGCTCTTCCCTCACAGGCCTGAGCTGCAGGTACTTCCTGCTCATGGATCCTGCTGTGAACCTCAGATGGTGCATTTCAGTCCCCCGTAACACACAGGGCTTCTAACTAAGTTGTGTGGATCGTGACTTGCTTCTTAAATGCAAAGCCTCTTCCATCTGCATGGGGGCGTTAACATTTACTGAGCATCTATTGTGTGTCAGGCACCTGCTGGACCACAGGGCAGCCCCCAGAGAACAGGACAAGCTCCCTGTGCTCCAGGAGATGCATACATGTGGGTCACGTTATGTTGTGACTCATGGTGTGAGATGCAACATAGGAGAGCCGAGCTGCAGAATCCAGGAAGGGGGAAGGATGGGGCACTGTGCTGCCGGGTAGGGGCTGGGAGTCTTATCAGGAGATGATGTTCCAGCTGGTCTGGAAGCCTGAATCAGACAGGAAGCATAGAACATCTCTCAATGGCATGAGGCAGAGGTGGCTGCACCTGCAGGTACAGCCAGAAAGGCAGGGCTTGAGTGTTCCAGGTTCTGGGCAGAGCAAATCCTGCGGGCTGCTTTTGCCAGCAAAGTCTTCAGGAGCAGGCGAGTTTGGCTAGAAATTCATGGTCGGGTCATGCTTGGTCACAGTGAGAAGAGAGAGGAAAGACAGGGCTCTTCGAGGGAGCCCCAGGGGTGGCGGCTGGGCACCCACAGGGTGAAGAGGAGGCCTGCTGCGAGCATGTGGAGGAGAGGAGTTGGGGCTTAGAAGATGGTTCCTCTAGGCAAGGAGGAGCCTCTTTGTACCCAAACCCGGGAAAGGGAAAGGCTCCTGCCAGCTGTGCTCTGGGTGGAAATGATCCATGTCCTTCCCTGGGCCCATAAATGCCACAGAACAAATGCTTCCTCCTCTGGAAGCATGAGGAACCAGTGAGCCTCCTGAAAACCCATGCTCATGGTTCTTCCACACTGCACCTCTCTGGGTCATTTTCATTCCTCCCAAGTCGCTCTTAGGATACCTGTCCCAGTGCAGATCCCTTTCCCACCTGTGAGCACCAGCAGGAACTTGGCATAGTCTCGGTAACCCAGGCGCAAGGTCGTTATATTCAGACCAGAAGATCATTGTTTATTCTTTGCTTCCATGGGGGTGTGCTAGTTGTAGAACCTGGAACACTCAAGCCCTACCTTTCCGGCTGTACCTGCAGGTGCAGCCACCTCTGCCTCATGCCATTGAGAGATGTTCTATGCTTCCTGTCTGATTCAGGCTTCCAGACCAGCTGGAACATCACCTCCTGATAAGACTCCCAGCCCCTACCTTGCAGCACAGCACCCCATCGGGGTGAGCTAGTCCAAGAGCGTGACAATGTGGTGGCAGCCCGGAAACGAGTTGTTCGGTGAAAAGAGCATTTGTTTCCTATGGGGACCGTCAACAAGAAGCCTCGTGCATTTTCATGAGATTTGGGTTTCTGATGTGAGTTGTTTCCCAAGCACATTTTCTTTAGACATCTACAAATGTAAGGGCGTGTTCCTCATTAACTGGCCGGGGATCGACGAACTCTTCCAGAGGTGAAACTTTTAGTGAAATTCAGTTGAGTTCTCGTAATTCCAGAGGTCAGCTGTCATAAGGCCGTGAGTGCCTGCTGCGGGCCTGTCCTGATTCTCTGGTCAGGAATGAGATTTCTCATCCTCCTCTCAATTCAGGGTTGCGCTGGGCCTCTCAGCAGACCGTGGGAGTGCCCTGCCCTGCACCGTGTTGGTTCTGCCCTGAGTTTTCCTTTTCCTGTAGAGCACGAGCTCCTCCACACTCAGACGGCACTCAGGAGTCACTGTGCTTCCCGTGGAGTAGACGCTCAGTCACCACTTACAGGAATATCTTACAAGATCTTCCACTTTTCCATTTATTTCTGATCTAAAAAAAAAATGGGTGGAAAACTGGTTCATGGTGTAGTTGACAGAAAATATGCTATCTGTCATGTTCATATAGGCCATCCTCCAGTGATTTACGTTATAAGGTTCTATCACCTAAATAAGGTCACTCCTGTTGGGAGATTATGTGGGCAGTTCAGGTCAGCAGCGGGAGGCTGCTCCATAACCCTGGAGCTACCACAGGAGGATGAGAGGCTGATAAGTTACCCCCACAGGAAAGAGAGTTGCTCACTGGAACTCCCACAAATGGAATTTGGAAAACAGATTAAGGCACAGGTCATCATTTGGGGCCTCAGTGGGGACCTGTGAGCCACCTCCCTGTGGCTTCCTGCTTCACATGGAGACTCAGAAATCTGCCTGAGGGTGACAGCCTAGATGCTGATGCTGGCCTGCAAGTCTGAGTATTCTAGAGCCTCAGAGGCTGGGGCAATCGCCTTTCGTCTCAGATTACAAGCTTTGTCTTTCTAATTTAAAGGGTTAGGGTGGCAGCAGGAGGGCCTAGGCAGGCCTGTTCTCATTGCCACCTGCAGTGTGTCCCTAGGGCTCCCACTGGGGAATTAAGTGCTTGTGGAGTTTTTCTTTTCAGCCCTTGACAACTGCTCGGTAAGAGTCATGAGAGGAGAGATCTCACATTCACCCTGAGTGGACTTTTGATCCATTTTATTTTCAGCTTGGTCCTAGAGTCAGGCACACACCTTGGAGGCCTGTGTTCTTGTGTTCTGCACCTGAGGCGGCTGAGGAAAGCATATGGTTTCAAGGGCCCTTTGCATGCACTATTCAATTTGCTAAAGACTCTTAGGTTTTCAAAAACATCCTCTTAGAAAGGAAGTCTTCCCAGAACCTTGCTATTCTGTTTGAATTCTTTCTGCTGAGCATTCCCTGACTGTCAATTGATACTTATCAAACGTCCGGATGGCGCTGGCCTGGCCGAGCTGCCTGTCTCTTGCTGGAAGCCGGGCTCTGTGAGGGCGCTGCCACATCGTCTGGCACTGTGCCTGCCAGAGTGTGAGTTCCACAAATGGATGAAAGCTGAATGTGTCACACCAAAGAGAACTCCTTGCAGAGCCTGGCCGACCTCGCCGACTCAAGCCTCACCTCTGCCACATCCTGAATTCCGACTCTGCACAGGTCACCTAATTTAATCTCGGCTTCCTCATCTGCAAAACAGAGATCTTGGGCTGTGATAGGGATCAGCTTTGTGTCTCTGTAAATCCCGGTGGTGCATGGGGCCGGCCACGGGCCATCGTCAAGGCTGGCTCTTATCACTGTGACCAAGCTGTGCATCCTGGGACATCCTCCGTGTTCATGCTGAGCCGGGATTGGAACTCAGAGCTCATGTCTGCTGTGTACACCCACCATGCAGGCCCCCAAAGCACCCTCCTCATGAGGGGGCCTGCTTCTGCGGGATCCTGAAGTGAAACTGGGGTGCACAGAAGAATTTTGGTTGACTGCAATTCAATGAACATTCTGAGAAGCAGAATGTTTTGAAGGCCTAAGGGTTGCCAGTGAAAAAAAATGCATTTTTTGCTATTATTGAAAATTTTTATAAACTGCACATGACTACGGTAAACTGGCTCACATAAAGCAGTACTTGTCATCTGCTAGGCTGGATGTGATGGGCGCACTGTTGAATTTAGTCTTCATGGAATTTCTTCTTTTTATTTTTACAGGAAAACCAAGACCTGAAGAGGTTAAGTAACTTGTCTAATGTCATGTATGGTGGGTCCTAGAATTCAACCTAAATTTGTCTGATCCCTGAACTCTACCCTCTTACCTCACTCTCTATCTTATAGGCTGTTTAGGAAACACACGGAAACTACTGGCATTTTTATTTATTTATTTATTTATTTTGAGATGGAGCCTTGCTCTGTTGCCCAGGCTGGAGTGCAGTGGCATGATCTCGGCTCACTGCAGCCTCCTCCTCAGGCGTTCAAGCAATTCTCCTGCCTCAGCCTCCCAAGTAGCTGGAACTACAGATGCATGCCACCATGCCTGGCTAATTTTTATATTTTTAGTAGAGATGGGGTTTCGCCATGTTGGCCAGGCTGGTCTAGAACTGCTGACCTCAAGTGATCTGCCCTTCTTGGCCTCCCAAAGTGCTGGGATTACAGGCATGAGCCACTGCGCCCGGCCGTATTTTGTTTCTATATTTTTCTATTTAATTTATTGGAATTTAATTTTTGGTATGAAGTACAACTGTAATTTGGCTTTTTCCCATTTAGATATTCTCTCCATGCCATTTGCTGAATGAGTCCGTCTCCTCATGGTTTCATGGCTCTTTCCTCCCTGTCTTCTTAGCTGTTGAGTTCATCTGTCTCCTCATGGTTTCATGGCTCTTTCCTCCCTGTCTTCTTAGCTGTTGAGTTCATCTGTCTCCTCATGGTTTCATGGCTCTTTCCTCCCTGTCTTCTTAGCTGTTGAGTTCATCTGTCTCCTCATGGTTTCATGGCTCTTTCCTCCCTGTCTTCTTAGCTGTTGAGTTCCACTGCAATCCGTGCTTTCTTCCCCTTCCTGATGCCTCATTGCTTCTCATAGGAAGCTTCTCCTTAGTGGAGCCACGTCCTCCTTCTCATTCCAATCAAAGGTCTCTAGTGCAAGTCTTTGTGTAAAACATGATGAATCTAACCCACTTATGAAGCTTCAGCTCTGCCTCAATATCTCCACCCTATACTGCACTCGACTATTGAACTGTGATGTTTCAGGCACCGATGGTGATCTCATGGAAGAGGAGTGTCATCTCTGCGTGGGATGCACCACCCAGACACGGCCACCGAGCATCTGCGTGGGATGCACCACCCCAGAAAGGGCCACCGAGCATCTGCGTGGGATGCATCACCCCAGAAAGGGCCACTGAGCATCTGCATGGAATGCACCGCCCCAGAAAAGGCCACTGAGCGTCTGCATGGGATGCACCACCCAGACAGGGCCACCGAGTGAAGAGGAGTGTCATTTCTGCATGGGATGCACCACCCCAGACAGGACCACCGAGCACACACATTGGGCGGTTGCTCAGGGTCACCCACCGAGGGGCAGAATAGAGCCTGGAGCCGCTGTTTGCTCCCAGCCACAGACACCGGGCAATGCCGCCTCTCACACTGTCCTGAAAGTGGATGGGTGGCTGTCAGACTTCAGTGGATCTATCCTCCCACTCCCCGACATAAGCAAAACTTCCTCCCCTCCATGCTTCCTCAGCTCTAACAGTTCTCAGCATCCTCTCAGCTGTGCAAACTGAAAACTGCTTGTCATTCTCAGGTTAAAATGCATCCACCATTCCTGTGACACCTGCCGCCAATATTCTAGGTCATCGTCTCATCTTTTATCCATCTCCACAGCCACCCTTTGCCTAAACCACCATTGCCACTGTCTGACTGAGCCCTCTAGGGAGTGTCCACCGTCTGGCCGAGCCTTCCCCTGGACACTTCCTCTCTCTCTTCCTTCTCACTGTGTCTTGCCACAGCCCTTGTCCCTTAGTGCCTGGAAGCTGCTCAAAAGCACAAACCAGGCCATGTTGCTTTTCTGCTTAAAGCACTTGAAGGCTTTATTTTTACCTTAAATTAGACCTAAAGTTCTCTTCCTAACTTACAAAGCCCCAAGTCATTTTCTTGTTTCCTTTTTTTTATTTTTATATTTTTTCTTTTTTTAATTATACTTTAAGTTCTAGGGTACATGTGTACAATGTGCAGGTTAGTTACATATGTATACATGTGCCATGTTGGTGTGCTGCACCCATTAACCCATCATTTACAATAGGTATATCTCCTAATGCTATCCCCCCCCCTCCCCCCACCCCACAACAGGCCCCGGTGTGTGATGTTCCCCTTCCTGTGTCCATGTGTTCTCATTGTTCAATTCCCATCTATGAGTGGGAACATGCGGTGTTTGGTTTTTTGTCCTTGCGATAGTCTGCTGAGAATGATGGTTTCCAGCTTCATCCATGTCCCTACAAAGAACATGAACTCATCCTTTTATATGGCTGCATAGTATTCCATGGTGTATATGTGCCACATTTTCTTAATCCAGTCTATCATTGATGGACATTTGGGTTGGTTCCAAGTCTTTGCTACTGTGAATAATGCCACAATAAACATACGTGTGCATGTGTCTTTATAGCAGCATGATTTATAATCCTCTGGGTATATACCCAGTAATGGGATGGCTGGATCAAATGGTGTTTCTAGTTCTAGATCCTTGAGGAATCACCACACTGAACACCATGTACAGCCACAGACCCCTTCTGCCTGCTCCTGCCCCATTCCTGAGTCTGGGATGTGTGAGGTACCTTGGTGGAAGGCACAGAGGATTTAGAGAGAAGATGAGCACAACAATTGCATCCAAATATGATTTGTGACGTGGGAGAGGGTCAGACTGTGCTGACCTGGAAGGGGAGCAGATGAGTTTTAGTTGGGAAAGGCCGAGTTTAGGAAGGAGGCTGTATAGGGAGAGGGAATAGAAATAATTCAAAATTGAGGACAGAAAGAGTATGGCATGAGGGCAGGGCTGTCAGCACACCCAGGATTTGTCCAAGAAGCCATGAGCTGTCCAGTTGGGAAAGTCCACTTTGTATGGGAAGGGGATGGGGGCATAGGAGCCAAAGGTGACAGCAGAAAGCCTCAGAGGCTGCCTGTGAGAGCTGCTCTGTGTTTCTTTTTGGATGGGGGGAGGTGATGGCCATGATGGTGTCTGCTGAGTGTCTGCTCTTCTGAGTACTTTCCAGGGGTCACTCATCAAATGGCTCCTTCACAGGTGAGAGAACAGACGCAGATGCTAAGGCCCTTGCTCGAGGTCACATGGGGAATGAGGATGTGTCATTGGTTAGTAGTCTGTCTTCAGGGACTGCTCCCAATGAAAAGTGGCTCTGTTGCCTCTCCCTGTAGGGAGCTATAGAAGGCATTCGCCACAGGTGCAACACGATAGACTTGTCTATCCATTCCATCATCATTCATTCATTCATTCATTCATTCCCTCAAAACCCTGGTCACTCACTTACTCTATGCCAGATGCTGTGCTAAGGCCAACTTGAAGGTTGACTGGGGTGAGAAGATGAACCGAGGTTCTGAGTAGAGCAGCTGAGACAGGCAGGGCAGGGTGAAGGCACCCACCATGGTGCATGTCCCCCAGCTGCTACAGGGGCTGCAGGTCATTCTCAGAGGCCTTCTGGGGCTCCTGGGCCTGCTGCTTCTCCAGTGCAGAGCCGAGAACCCTTGGGAGCCCGTATCCCATGCCCTGGGAACACTGAGAGCAGTGGTCCTCCAAGTGCTTGTAGTTTAAATTTTCCTTCTGGCTTCTGGCTTTCAGACCTTCCTACAGAGGTACAGGAGCCCATCCCAGGCCTCAGAGGAACCGCATATGCCTGGCCTGCTAGGGTCTGGCTGGTTCAGCTGGAGCCACCCTCCGTGGGGCTCTGCCTCGGTCACCCTGCATTTGGCTTTCTCCACCTCCAACTGCGTCCTCTGCTGTCTCACAGACTTCCTCAGGAAGCACTTCCCTGGTGAACGCTTGCACACAGACCTCTGCTTCAGAAAACCTCCAGAGAACCCAGCCTAAAACATCTCCCATGGGCATATAGAAGTGGCTCAGGAAGTACCAGGTGGACAAATGAATGAATGAGATAACTTCTTTTTGTTGAAAGAACGCTCCATGGTGGAGGAGGATGCACCATCGTTGCTTATGTGTTGTGTCTCCCTCTGAACGTGAGTGGAGAGAGTTCAGTGCCGGATCCTGAGAGATGCCCAGAGCCGGTCCCACCAGCTGTCCTAAGGCAAAGGGAGAGGGGCTTCTGGAGACAGGCAGGTTTGCTCAGAACTGCACCCTGTACTCCCCTCTCAGGAAGTCCCAAATATTGAGACTTTGCATAGTAAAACTTTGATAAGCGTTACCCTAAATATATATATATATATATATATATATATATATATATATATATATATATACACACACACACACACACACACACACACACACATACACACACACATATATTTCATTTTAAAATTGAATCTCTCTCCAACCTACTTAGGCATGGCATCCTTTCTGCACATAGCTCATTTAATGTCCATCATAAGTGACTTTCCATATAAAATGCTCCACCAGCACTTGTTCAGGGATAGACTCCCCTGGTGGAGGAAGAAACTGGGTGTGGTGAGCGATGCCAGGCTGGACCCTTCACAGCTGGGAGACGTGGGAGCCTCAGGGCCATTGCAGGGACTGCAGGAATGCAATGCATTCTCTGGAGGTGAAGCCATTTTTCGCAAAAGAATTATGACAAATCTACTTTCCATTAAACAACTGAACTGTGTAATTGTTACAGATTATAATTTTTTTCTAACAGGACAGGGCATAGCTGGAAATTAAGCAGATTCTATGAACAACCAAACCTAATGAATCCTGCAAAGATTGAGCCATAAGTAGTAACGTCTGGAGTTGCAGCAGATTGTGTGTCAGTGAGTGAACTGTGTCAGATATTAATTATGTAATCATGGGTGGAATGCGGTGCAGAGAAGTTACCAGACCTCCATGTCAAACGTGGCTGTCACTCCTGAGCTGTGAGCATGGCACCTGCTGGGCTGTGATGGAGTTGGGGTGGGTTGAAGGTGGCGGCAATTAGAACCCTGAGGTCGCCGCTCGGGAAATGCCAGTGCCTGATCCAAGTCACCTGGGAGGGAGGCGGCATGAATGTCAATCCTGCTAATGGACCCAGGGCAGCTCCCACACCAAGTGTCACTGATGACGGAAGTGAATTCTCCTCTTGTCTGCATGAAGATGCAAAGAGAAAGGGCAACTTTGGGATGCACCCATCATTGTGGCTGTGACTCTGTGAGCATGCACGTGCGGGTGCTCTAGGCCAGGCACTGGAGGGGCCTGGAGGTGCAGAGATACGTAAGGCAGGTGTTGATCTCAGAGAGTTTCTACTCTGGGGAGGCGGGTATGTGATAACAGCCCCCAGAGCAGGCAGTGGTTTGTAGCAGCTATGTGGTGGAGTATAGCAGGCTCTGAATCAATGTCGCAAAATTAGTGACTGCCCTGTGGTGGGCTGCACTTATTGAGATTTGGCAACAGCTCTAGTTCTTGACCTTCTTTGAGTTCTTGTTTACTCCAGGCTGAGTTCAGCAAATCTTTGTGGGATGTTCATCATTTGTTCTTCGGTTTGCCAGGCACTGAAGATAAACAGATGGGTGTGGGTTTTGATGCAGCCTCTCCTAAGAGAGCACAGTCCTCAAAGAGAGCCCTGTGTTTCCTAAGGCGACAGGTGAGTTAGGCAGGTTCTACCTTGGAGATGGGCACAGATGTATGAGAGCTTGGCAGGACACCAGGCCCCCTGGTCCATTCAGGAAAAGCTTCCTGGGGCCAGGGAGGGTGCAGAGTGTGAAGCCTGGGAGGGTGCAGGGTGTGAAGCCTGGAAGGGTATAGGTGTGACACCTGGGATGGTGCCAGGTATGAAGCCTGGGAGAGTGCAGGGGGTAAAGTCTGGGAGGGTTCAGGGTATAAAGCCTGGGGAGGTGCTGGGTGTGAAGCCTGGGAGAGTGCATGTGTGAAACATGGGAGGGTGTCGGGTGTGAGGCCTGGGAGTGTGCAGAGTGTGAAGGTGGGGGAGGGTGCAGGGTGTGAAGCCTGGGAGGGTGTAGGGCATGAATCCCAGGAGGGTGTAGAGTGTAAAGCCTGGGAGGGCGCAGGGTGTGAATCTTGGGGAGGTGTTGGGTGTGAACTCTGAAGGTGCAGGGTGTGAAGCCCAGGAGGGTGTAGGACATGAATCCCGAGAGGGTGTAGAGTGTGAAGCCTAGGAGCGTGCAGTGTGTGAATCCTGAGGAGGTGGTGGGTGTGAACTCTGGGAAGGTGCAGGGTGTGAATCCTGGGAGGGTGTAGAGTGTGAATCCTGTGAGGTTGCAGGGAGTGAAACCTTGGAGTGTGTAGCGCATGAATCCTGGGAGGTCGTAGAGTGTGAAGCCTGTGAGGGTGCTGTGTATGAACTCTGGGAGTGTGCAGGGTGTCTAGCCTTGAGAGTCGGTGAGTGTGATCTCTGGGCAGTTGCAGGGTGTGAAGCCTGGGAGGTGTAGAGTGTGAATCCTGTGAGGGTGCAGGGTGTGAAGCCTGGGAGGTGTAGAGTGTGAATCCTGTGAGGGTGCAGGGTGTGAAACCTGGGAGGGTGTAGGGCATGAATCCTGGGAGTAGAGTGTGAAGCCTTGGAGGGTACAGGGTGTGAACTCTGGGAGGTGCAGGGTGTGAAGCCTGGGAGGTGCAGGGTGTGAAGCCTGGGAGGTGCAGGGTGTGAAGCCTGGGGAGGTGTTGGGAGTGAACTCAGGGAAGGTGCAGGGTGTGAAGCTTGGGAGGGTTCAGGGTGTGAAGCCTGGGAGGGTGCAGGGAATGAAGCCTGAGAGGGTGTAGATTGTGAAGCCTGGGAAGGTGCAGGGTGTGAAGCCTGGGAGGGTGTAGAGTGTGAATCCTGTGAGGGTGCAGGGTGTGAACTCTGGGATGGTGTGGGGTGTGAATTTTGGGAAGGTGCAGGGTGTGAAGTCTGGGAGAGTGCAGGGTGTGAAGCCTGGAGAGGTGTTGGGTATGAACTCTGGGAAGGTGCAGGGTGTGAAGCTTGGGAGGGTGCAGGATGTGAACTCTGGGAGAGTGCAGGGTGTAAAACCTGGGAGGTACAGGGTGTGAAGCCACCTGGGAGGTACAGGGTGTGAAGCCTGGGGAGGTGTTGGGTGTGAACTCTGGGAAGGTGCAGGGTGTGAAGCCTGGTAGGGTATAGAGTGTGAATCCTGGGAGGATGCACAGTGTGAAGCTTGGGAGGGTGCAGGGTGTGAAGCCTGGGAGGGTGCAAGGTGTGAAGCCTGCGATGGTGCAGGGTGTGAAGGTAGGGGAGGGCGTTGGGTGTGAAGCCTGGGAGGGTGCAGTGTGTGAAGGTAGGCGAGGGTTCAGGGTATGAAGGCTGGGAGGATGCAGGGTGTGAACTCTGGGAGGATGCAGGGTGTGAAGCCTGGGGAAGTGCTGGGAGTGAAGGCTGGGAGAGTGCAGGGTGTGAAGTCTTGGAGGGTGCAGAGTGTGACACCTGAGAAGGTGCAGTGTGTGAAAGTATGGAAGGATGAGCCAGTGTGGGAAGGGAGTCAGGGGTGGTGAGCAAGGGAGAGGAGCCTGTGCAAGCAGGAGGCAGGGGGTCCTGAAGCTCCTGGTGACCAGGGAATGGGCACCAGGGTGGGCGTGACAGGAACAGAGGCTCAAGCGGAGGGGAAGCAGTCCACTTCAGGGTTCTGTGATCCAAGGAAGGAAGCTTGTGGTTCACCCTGTGCACGATGTGAACAAAGCTGGTGCTTTGTTGTCAAGAGATCTGGAGAGACTATGGTGTCAGCAGCCCACCCTGGCTGCTGTGTGCAGAGTGGACCTAAGCAGGTGGGACTGGATGTGGGAAGACCATGTGGCTCTCGAGGCAGTCTGCCTGGGTGTGATGGGCTTCTAAACCAGGCCATTGGTGGTGAGCTTAGGAAGACAAAGGAGGCAAGACATCCATAGGGGTTAAAATCAGCTGGATATGGGACTTAAGGAACATGTGAGGGATGCAGGGGACAAGAGGATGTGAAGGGAGGACACAGAGCTTGTGCTGGCTCCAGGCTTGGGCTCAGACAACTGGAAGGTAATGAGAGAAGCCAATTTGGAGGAAGGTAATGAGTTTGGTTTTGGATGTAAATTTAAAGTCCTGCAGGACACCCAACTGACTAACAAGGAATGAACAGTCTGCTTTAAATGTTAGGGCAGAGTTTGGGGCTGATCTCTAGGTCTGGAAGCCATAAGCCAGAAGGAAAGTTTAAACTACAAGCACTTGTAGGACCAGTGCTCTTAGGGTGAGAAATGCAGCGTTCCAGGATAAAGTAAGGAGGCCGTGGAAAAGAAGAACCCATGACCAGGACTAAGACATGGAGGCCAGAGGGGTGAGGTGGGCAGGGAGGGGTTGCACCACGGAGCCCACAGAGCACAGAGCCTGTGGCAGAGAGGGCTTGATATGGTCTGGCTGTGCCCCCCACCCAAATTTCATCTTGAATTGTAGCTCCTATAATTCCCACGTGTCATTGGAGGGACCTGGTGCGAGGCCATCGAATAGTGGAGATGGGCTTTTATTGTGCTGTTCTCATGATAGTGAATACGTCTCATGCGATCTGATGGTTTTATAAAGAGCAGTTCTGCACATGCTCTCTCTTGCCTGACACCATGTAAGATGTGCCTTTGCTCCTCCTTCACCTACCACCATGATTGTGAGGCTGCCCCAGCCATTTGGAACTGTGAGTTCATTCGACCTCTTTTTCTTTATAAACTATTATTAATTATTATTATAATTAATCTTTATTAGCAGTGTGAGAACAGGCTAATACAGGCCTATATAGCCTTCAGTGATTCTGGTGTCTAGGGGTCACGATGGTCCCGTCAGACCATGGCAGGGGTGCTGAGTCTCCGACAACCATTTCTTCTCCCTGTTTGTCCTCTGTCTCATGACCCCAAATATAGACCTTTGTGGTTTCCATAGGCTTTTGTCATTGAGCCTTCTCAGCGCTGGGTCTCCAGATCCATTGCTGATGCCGTGTTTCCCAGGGTTTTTCTGGATGATCATTGGCTACCAGGGCCTAAGACAAGAAGGGCAGGAGGATCAGCATGTCATGGCCTCAGGGTCCCTGTGTTGTATCAGGTGCTGTGCTGAGCATGGGGCACCTGCAAGGTCAGGTGAGATTCCCCCTTTTCAGGAATCATCATGCAACAGCAGAGGTGGTTCACTCAGGGGCCTGCTCAGCCCTAAAGTCCACAGTCTCCATGTGGCCTCTGCTGCCTCCTCCCACACTGGAGAGTAGCAGTGGGCCTGAGTGGCACTGTTTTCACACATTGCTGTCAGCACTTTACATCCTCATTCAATATTAGATGACCAGATGCCTGAGTCCATGAACCAAGGAGTAAATGATTTTGGAGCTGGAAGACATGGCTTTCTTACCAGCAACATTTCTGAACTCTTGCAGGGACTTGATTCACATAATGGTAGCTCCTGCTTGCAGAGCCCTTTGCAATCTTCCAAGCACTGTCACAGAGGGGGCTGCAATTCACAATGTTTCTGTGTGGTGGATGACAAAGAAGAAGATGGAGCTTCAGTGAGGCTGCGTGACTTTCTCCAGGTCACCTTGTCAGCAGGTGCCCCACAAGGACTTGAACTCAGATCTCTGACCCCAGGTCTCCTGGTCCATTCCCTGCACTTTACTTTGTAGCTGAAGGCAAGCTGGGGGTGAGGCCTCAGGAGCAGCAAGCTCTGGGCTGTCCTGGCCTGGTTGGCGGTACTCACAGGCAGCTTCCCATCTCCAAGATGCTTTTCTGGGTTTCTCTGTTTACAGTTAGCTCTTTTGTGAGCATTTGGCCAGATGGCACCCAGGCAAACTCGAATATCCACCAGAACATCACTCCTTCAGATTAATTAGTTTCCATTTATATGCCTCACCTCACTCAGCTTTAAATGCACACTTGGAGCTTATAATTCTGGTCTTCAAAGCCTGCCCATCTCCCTGTCTTTCTTATGCTTTTTTTCCCCTGCAATGCTTCCTGGAGCAAAACCTGGATACCCCAATGGGGGCATGCTTGGATATTCTCAGAGCCCAGTTTTTCTATGTTCTTTCTCAGAAAAAGCTACCATGAAACAAAGTGACATTCATGTCTCCTGGGCATCTTTCAGACCAGAGTTCACTTTGATATCACCTAGGCCTATTTTAAGAGGGATAAAAAGCTTTTTGTAGTTTAAGAGAACAATGATTATTAAGGAAAAAGAAGAGGGTTTAGCAAACATTGCAGACTAAGCACAGTGCCTGGATCCTGACCCACGAGCCTAGGAGGTAAGTAAGGAGTTTGTTTGATCATTTATTTATTTTATTCTGATGCGTTTATAGGTTTCCTGCCATGTGATAGACACAGGCATGTGTTTTCAGATCATGAAGGCTGTGTCTTGTTCTCAGGAATCTCACACTTCTGCAGCAGTGTGACACAGAGGGGAAGAGCTAACTCTGTTCCCAAGTCCTTTAGGTACAAGGTAGGAAGTAAGCTCAAGGTGCTTTGGGAGGACAAATGAATAGGTCTTGGGGGAGACCAGGGAATGACTCTGACGTTCTAGCATAACCTGGAAAGTGGACAAGATTAGAGGTAATAGAAGGAGGGCAGGGAAATTCTGGCAGAGAAAAAGTGAAAAGGTTAAAAGACATAAAACATGATGTGTTTGAAGGACCTCATCCATTCAGTATTGTTGGACAATAACATATAAGGGCCCAGGATCAATGAAAGACTTGGGACTCGGTAAGGTGTCTCTGAAGAGAAAGGGAGGGCCAGATTATGACATTCATTCCTCATGACTTCCATGCATCGACTGGTCCATGCATCATGACTTCACGCATTATGGCCTCCATACATCATGACTTTCATGCATCATATCTTCTATGAGTTATGGCTGACCCACGCATCATGGCTTCCATGCATCATAATTTCCATGCATTGTGGCTGGCCCGTGCATCATGACCTCTTTGCATTTATGGCCTCCATGCATGATGACTTCTGTGCATCATGACTGGCCCATGCATTATGGCTTCCATGCATCACGACTTTTATGCATTATGGCTTCCATGCCTCTTGACTTCCATGCATGATGGCTTCCATGCATCATAGCTTTCATGCATGATGGCTTCCATGCATCATGTCTTCCATGCATTATTGCTTCCACTCATCATGTCTTCCATGCATTATGGCTTCCATGCCTCTTGACTTCCATGCATGATGGCTTCCATGCGTCATGTCTTCCATGCATTATTGCTTCCACTCATCATGTCTTCCATGCATTATGGCCTCCATGCCTCATGACTTCTATGCATTATGGCTACTGTGCCTCATGTTTTTCATGCAGTATGGTTTCCATGTGTTGTGACTGTTTGATGCAACATGATGACCATGCAGCATGGGTTCCGTGCATCATGAGTGGTCTGTGTGTCATAATATTCAGGTATTATGGCTTCCATGCAGTATAACTTCCATACAATCATGACTGGTCCATGCATCTTGACTTCATACACAGGTAATTTTGCTTGCATGAAAAAATAAGCCAATGAAAAAGTAACTTTAAAAATCACAAGTGGTCATTCTTTGCCTGCATCCCCCTCCACCACTTCACCTACACATCTGTAACTAAAGAAAGCTTGTTGAATCAACCTAATTGAGGATGACCACTTCTTCATTACTCAGAAATGCAGGCATGGTTTGTTCTGTGGCCTCCAGAGCCAGATTTTAAATTCTATTTTATTATTTGTCTGTCTTCACTCCAAATCCCAAGCTCTTTCTATTCCATACACTGTCTGGGGATCAGCTCTCTGGGTACCTCTTACTCTATGTCCAGGCTTGCTGCAAGGGTTGG
The DNA here is from genome assembly GCF_000001405.40 of Homo sapiens. Lineage (NCBI taxonomy): Eukaryota > Metazoa > Chordata > Mammalia > Primates > Hominidae > Homo > Homo sapiens. Next base: position 2,775,339 of record NC_000002.12, on the reverse strand, counting down.
ACCTGCATTAGTCATCACCTCTAAGATACTTGTGAATATGCCACAAGTCCCATTTGAGAATATGATATATGATGACATTGCCTGAGCCAAACAGCCCACGTGTGTGAGAAAGCTGTCTTCTCAGATATTAGCTGTGATGATGGAGTGCCAATGCCGTCAGCATTTTGGTCATCATTGCTCTATGGTCATTCAGCACCAAGGCCAGGTGCTCCACTTGCTGCTGCCAGGGTCAAGATTGTGCCTGAGTTCAAGCTCTGGCTGAGTCACTTTCTGGCTGTTTGCCCTTGGGAAGGATTCTTTCTTAGGCCCCTCAGCTGTAAAATGAGGATGGCTGTGAGGTTTCAATGAGAATACATATTAAAAGCTTAGTGGTAAATCTCACTTAGGGTAAAGCCAGTTAAAGTTTATTGTTGTTAACATAAATAGAATGTGGTCTCTGTCCTCAAGGAGCTACAGCCAAGAGTGAAAACTTGCAATTAAAAAGATAAATGGCATATTTGACGAGCGTTGGCCTAAATATATAACACAAGGAAGAGCAGAGGGGCATAGAGGCTGGGATGAGCTCTGCCTGAATGGCCAGGGAAGGAGTCCCAGGGGACCAAGGCAAGGGAGCTGAGAACCAAGGCTGGACAGGGGCCAGAGCCCGAGCACAGGGGACTTCTGGGCAAGGTTGACCACCCCAGCCCCATCCACCTTATCATGTCTTGGAGGAATGCCAAAGTGTTGGGGGAAAACAACTTGAATTGTTCTTTCCAGAATGTCGCCAAATTTTGGTGCTGTCATGTACCCCAAGGTCATAAAAGGCTTAGATGCAGCTTTAATTTTGGCTATATTAGTCCAATGTGAAGCAGTAAGGGTTATAGTAAAAAAGAGAAACTGATCCTCTCCATTTGAGATGTCTTTTTCGTTCTTGTTTTTAAGACATCAAAGAACAATAAAAGGGAAACCAAAGCAAGCTTTGAGAAGGATGGATGATTTCAGCAATGCGTTCCCCTCGTCCTGCCAGGCTGGGATGCACTGGGGCAAGGCAGGCAGGCTCAGGGCACGTTCTCCAAAGGTTTTCCATGCCATTTCCCCCTGCACACGTATGCAATATGCGTGGTTTGGATTTTATCATGGGAAATCTCAGCATATGGTGACTTGAGCCTTTCTGGAAGGTTTCAGTGGTTTGGCCATGCATGGGGAGTGGAATGGAAGCCTCCATTTCCCCAGACAGCCTATGGTAGCTGAGACCTGCTCAGTCAAGTGACAAAGCATTCCACTTGTATTCTCCCCGGGTGAGAGCAGCAAAATCTGCCCCACAGTTAATTATAAAGAGTGTTTTTCTGACCGTCATGTTTCAGGTAATGGGGACTCACTAAGCTGTTGTAAGCAGAGGAATGTGGGTAAGTCCAGTAGGGCAGTGGCGTGGTGTGGCGCTCCCTTAGCAGGAGGATGAGGAGCGCCTTTCCTGGGTGGCGCTGGGGAGGTGCTAATGGCTGGGTGGGTGAGGCATGGCTCTGAAGCAGATGTGGAGGCCCATTTTCCAGCAGTGATGCTCTGATGCCAGTCACGTGTCCAGTGATTCAGTGAATTCTGAGGCTAACCACTTGGAGTTAATGCTGAACCCACGGGCTTAGGGGCTCAGACACACAAGAATGCTCTCACTCCAGATGCCAGCTCCAAGTCCTGGGGACCACCTGCACTTCTGATCAAGCAGCTGTATATTTGAGGATTCCTACGACCCTCCTCAAGTTTGATAATTTTCGAGAGCAAGCCACAGAACTCAGGAAAGCTTTATGCTTACGATTACTGGTTTATTCAAAAGGACAGGAATGAATGGCCAGATGAGAAGCACATGAGGCAAGGTCTGGGGAGGGGGCAGGAGCTCCGTGCCCTCACTGGGTGCTCCACCTCTGATATGGTCTGGCTGTGTCCCCACCCAAATCTCATCTTGAATTGTAGCTCCCGTAATTCCCACGTGTTGTGGGAGGGACCCAGCTGGAGATAGTTGAGTCACGGGGGCGGTTTTCCCCATACTGTTCTCATGGTAGTGAATAAGTCTCGCGAGACCTGATGGTTTTATAAGGGGAAATCCCTTTCACTTGGCTCTCATCCTCTGTTGCTGCCACCATGTAGACGTGCCTTTTGCCTTCTGTTATGATTATGAGGCCTCCCCAGCCACGTGGAACTGTGAGTCCGTTAAACCTCGTTTTCTTTATAAATTACCCAGTCTCAGGTATGTCTTTATCAGCAGTGTGAAAACAGACTAATTCAATGCCCCTGCGTCTGCCTGCATTCAACAACCCAGAAGCCCCTCAAGCCTCCTTGTTTCGGTATTTTTAGATGGAGTTTCATTGCTGAGACACGGTGGATTCAATCATCGGCCGTTGGTGATTGAGCTCAACCTGTAGTGTTTCTTCCCTTCAGGGAGGATGGGGCTGGGGTGAAAGTTCTAACCCTCTAATCAGGGGCACATGCTTGTTCGTCTGGTGATCAGCCCCCTTCCTGAAGCCCTCCAAGGCCCCCTCACAGTGCGTCACCACATTAGCCTAAACTCATGTATGTTAGAGGGGGTTCTCTGTGAATAACCAAAGTCACTCCTACCATTCAGAAAATTCAAAGCGCTTAAGAGCGCCATGCCAGGAACCAGGGACGAAGACCAAATATATTTCTATTGTGTCACAGGAGGGCCAGGATAAAGGAAACAGAGATTGTCGACTAGATTTCTGACTCAGAGCCCTGGTCTAAGTTTGGCTGGAGGCAGCAAATAAAGTTTAGAGAATACCTGAGCCAGTGATTGGGGGATGAAAACAACCATTTGGAGCTTAAAAAAAAAAAAAAAGCAAAACGCCCATTCTTCCCAATTAAAGAAGTAGTAGCCCCAGAGCTTAGAGTAGACCGAAAGGTGATCGACAGCCCAGGGTGTTTTTGTTTTTGATGTGGGGACAACCATAAGCCAATTACCCTGGAATTAGCATAAAAATAGGCATGGAGGGGAGGCCTCCTGGACCATCTCGTGGAAGCAGAGACTAATGATGGCAGGTGCAGTACCTGGACTCTCCCATCGCTGCAGCCTTTGCTGGGAGTCATCTGGCTCCGGTGAGATGGCGTAGGGTGGGGACACTTGCCGTGGAGAAGGGATACTTGCCAGGGGCGGGGACGCTTGTTGTGGGCAGGGCTATGGCAGAGGCAGGGCTGGCACCGTCCAGAAGACGCCTGCTTGGTCCTCGCTGTGCCTGCAACTCCTTTGTTTCTTTCTGTGACTCGGGATGCTGCTCTCTTGGTTCCCAGTTGTCCCTTCTGCCCACAGAAGTCTTGTTTCCAGTTTAGCAGTCAGCCTACCAGGAGCCGTGCCTTCTGGAGGTAACTGGCTTCTTACATCTTCCCAGCCCTGCGTTCACCCAGGGACTCTGCCAGGTCTGAGGCTCCACTGTCGTCCTTTTCCCGCCTGCAACCAGCCTCACACAGGTTTCCATGGGAATGAGGTGGGAGAAGAGACTGGCATTCCCGAGAACCCGTGACATGCTGCCTGGTCTTTGGGTAGATATTTTCTCTTTACTGCAGAGGGAGGCTTCTTTGCGCTTTCTCTATTGTCATCTTGACATTTGAGGCAAGTCTGGCATAAGTAGGATGGGTGTCTTTAAATCCAATTTACAGATAGGGAAAGTGAGATTCAAAGAGATTCAGTTTCCACCAAGGTCTTTCAACTAATCAAATGATGGAGCCAGGACTCAACATGGATAGCTGACTGCACGTTTCATGCTTTTCCATGATTCCACAGTTGAAACCATCCTGTGAAGAGCTGCGTGCTACCTGCATTTTGTTATGCTCAGTGCAGGTTCAGCTGATGCTGTTGGGTAAATCCATGTCCGCTGGAGATAGAGCGAGTGCCCCGTCATCTGGAAATAAGGGGCGGCTTCACTGCCCTGCATGGTAGGCTGTGCTCTGCTTGTAGGAGAAAGAGATACATCAGATGAGCATGAATTAATATTGAGGCCCAAATTAATTTTGTCCCAGTGGCAACCTTGGGAGCTGAATGAATCCCACTGTCTGCTTCACCCAAGGCCTGGGACCTTTGGAACAGGGGCTCCACCCCACGTCAGGTGCCTTTGTCAACAGATGTCCTGGCTGTGCTGGCTTGGAACAATCACCATGCCTTTGAAAATGATCTGTAAGATAACAAAGTCAAAAGGATAATTCTGTCATATCTTTGGTTACCTATAAGATTTACCTGTTATGGATGCATTCAGATGCTAAGGTGAGGGCGAATTATCTTGAAAAGTGTGGCCAGGTGCAGTGGCTCACACCTAGAATCTCAGCATTTTAGGAGGCCGAGACCAGTGGATCACTTGAGGTCAGGAGTTCAAGACCAGCCTGTGCAACATGGTGAAACCCTGCCTTTACTAAAAATACAAAATTAGCTGGGTGTGGTGGCGCACGCCTGTAGTCTCAGGCTGAGGCAGGAGAATCTCCAGCCTGGGTAACAGAAGAGACTCTGTCTCAAAAAAAAAAAAAAAAAAAAAAAAGTGTCTCCTTTCTTCTAAAATCTAAAAATAAGTCAGAGCATGGGGTCCTGTAGTCCTAAATCCAATCCTTGACTTCTTATTTAAAAATAAGGACATTTCTGATACATTTTACCTGTATCTGTTTGTTATGGAGATGGTGCTGAACACTGGTGGAATGAGTGGGACTCATTAAAGCCCTGTCTTCAAGGTAGTTAAAATCTGGGAGAGATAAAGGATTGTTTTGAATAACAATAGTAACTGGCAGACTGTGAGATGCACTATACTGATGCTCTAATACATTGCTGTGCAAGTCCATGGAGAAAGTGCTCAGACGCCAGGAGCACAAAGAAGCCTTGGCCTAGCAGAGCATCGGAGGGCGCATGGGTGCTGTGCAGTGAGGATCGGGGCGGGGAGTGGGTGCTGGTGAGGAGGGCCCATGAGCCAGAGGCCCAGTGCAGAGCTGCATGGAGCAGGGGATGCCTCTGTGCCTGGCTGAAGTCAAATTCCAAAGGACAAGGTTGAATCTACAAAATCTGTACCTGACCTGGGCAGAGGAGGGAAGACCTGCCGGGCAGCCTGTGCCCAGAGCCACTGCCCTTGCTAGAGCAGCGGCCACAGGGTGGTGTCCTCTGGAATGACCGGGTCTGGCTGGGTCACATGTGGCCGGCATGGGGAGGTGCAGCTGGCCTTGTAGGCGCATCACTAGACGCCCACAGGCAGGCAAGAGTGCCTATCTGGGCTTGTCACCAGACAGTTTGTGGAGCTGCCAGGGATGGGAGGAGGGCTTGGGTTACCCTGGGTCAGATCACAAGGCTTTCCATATTTAGCTGGGAGCATGGGTTTTATTCTGTTGGCTGTGGGATCACTGCTGAGAGGTTCTGGGCAATGAAGCACACAGAAAATAATGATGTTCTGCAGCCTTCCAGCCTTCCTAGAGTGCTGGTTCCACGGCTTCTCCCAGGCCTGGGTCTGTGTCTCCTGTGCCTTCCGATCAGGTCCCAGGTCTCGCCGGCCCAGGGTTCCGTGCTCAGCGGGGATGCTTGGCGGAGACAGAAACTGGCCTTTGTTGGGGCGGCCAGCACTCATCTCCCCTCCGGGCCGGATCTGAGTTCTGCCCGGTTTGAGCCCTGATTAATGAGGGCCGTTAATTAGAGCGCTGTATTCCCAGTGTCATGGACCTGGCTGGGAGCCAAGACCGGAAGGCGCGGATTCATTGTCAGAGCGGATCTGAGAAACTGGGGTGCCCTGAGGGGTGGAGGCAGAAGCCAGGCTGAAAGGATGCCGTCACCCTCCTTGCCACCCTGACCGCTCGCCATCGGCCTGCAGGCTCACGCTTGGTGTTCCCTCCAGCTCTGCATGGCCCCTGACTACAGCCATTTTTCCAGCTTCTTTCCCATGGTGGTGGGGGCAGTGAGTCGAGGTAGGGGTTTCTCTGCATATAGAGGGGGCTTAGGAGCTGAGGGACTAGGAGGAAGGAGGCGTAGGGATAGTGTAAATAGGGGAGGGGAGTATAGGAGGATGGGGGACATAACTGGAGGGGGACCTGGAGAGAAAGGGGACCTGGATGGAGAGAGGAGAACTGTAGGGGAGGGGTGTTCTGGAGGTGGGGAGGTACCTGGAGGGAAAGGGGCCTGGATGGGGGGAGAGGTGTGGAGGGGAGGGAGGTTCTGGAGGTGGGGAGGGACCTGGAGGGAAAGGGGCCTGGATAGAGGGGGAGGTGTGGAGGGGAGGGAGGTTCTGGAGGTGGGGAGGGACCTGGAAGAAAGGGGCCTGGAGGGGAGGGAAGGTGTGGAGGGGAGGGAGGTTCTGGAGGTGGGGAGGGACCTGGAGGGAAAGGGACCTGGAGGGGGAGGGGAGGTGTGGAGGGAAGGAATTTTCTGAAGTTGGGAAGGGACCTGGAGGGAAAAGGGCCTGGAATGAGAGGGGAGGTGTGGAGGGGAGGGAGGTTCTGGAGGTGGGGAGGGACCTGGAGGGAAAGGGGGCCTAGACGGGGAGGGGTACCTGGAGGAAGCACTGACCCCAAGGGAGGAGCGCAGGGTCTGCTGTCATGGCCAGGGAACACCCTGGGTGAGGTCACCTTGGGGCAGTAGCTCTTGAGTCTGACTGTGTGTTGGGCCCTGCAGAGCTCCCAGTCCCCTTGTCCAGGTGACAGTCAGTCCTGAGCCCTTGGGGGCGTCGTGGCAGCACCCAGCAAGGTCATGGGTAACGCTGTCCTGGTGATGCCATGTGCAGCCACACCTGGGAACCCTGCTTGGGACAGACGGGTGCCTCCCAATCCTCCCACATGTGGATCTGGAGGAGGCCCAGGACCCCAGGGTCAGCCCTCCATATTGGCTTTAATGTCACCTGCCTATGTGGTAAGATTGTAATAAACCCAATATACCACCCCATCACCCTTCCCAGAGATTGGAAGTTTCCACCATTACAATATTTTTCCCATTCATCCACTCCGCAAACATCTGCTTATCACGGTTCTCCTGTCATATGGTGTAGGGAGCTCAGAGCCCTCGAGAGGAGGAGTCATATGCCCTGCAGAGGTGGCACTGAGGGAGGAGAAGACAGAGGCGTGGGCAGGTGATGCCTGCATCCAGGACCATCTTGTAGTGGAGGTGTCCATCCAGCATGGGGGTGAAGGACGCTGGGAGGAGAGGGATGGAGAAAAGAACGGCTTCTAGGGGAGGGGGCCAGACCCCAAGCAGCCAAAAGAAGAGACACACAGCCTGGGCTGCAGAGCAGCCTGGACGAACCCACCGGGCAGGGCTGGCAGGACAGGCACAGGTGAGGAGGGGCGGAGGGCACAGAGTGAGCCAGGCAGAGCCTGCTGGAGGCCGGAGAGGGCCACATCCTGGCAAGTGGGGCCTCACCTCATGGACAGCCTGGCATGGGTGGTGGGACTGGTGTGGGACTTGCAGGGGTGAGTCTGGATGCTGGAGCTCCCGGGAGACCTGGCCAGGCAGGTCACGAGGCCAAGGAATCCAATACTCCCACAGCCCAGGGACAGTGTCCTGCGCTCCTCATTTCCCTTTTAGTCCTCACCTGATTCCTGCTAGAGCAGTGCTCACCCCCATGGGGAAACTGAGGCTCAGAGCAAGAGTGGACTTGCATCAGGTCCTGTATGCAGCTAAGCCATCAACCAGGGAACTGTCCTCTGCCTGAGGGTCCAGGAAGAAGCACGGTGCCTCAGCAGCAGCAGAGCCGGACCCCAGGGTTCCAACGAGAAACCTCATCTGGTGAGACCGTGCAGTCTAGGGGTCTGTCTTGGGGAGCAGGGGCTGGTGTCGAGTGGGAGCCTGGCCCAGGGGAGGCCTGGGCCCTGCAGGAGATGGAATGACATTCCCGGAGGAGGGCCTAGGAGGAGCCCAGGAGAGGAGCTGGGCTTGGTCAGCACTTGGACATCGGAGCTTAGGAACCCCCGCAGGGTCTGTGGCCTCCCTGAGGGCGTGGGGCATCCCGTGGGTATCCCAAGGGGCACCGATCACAAGTTGCTCTTTATTAGCACAGGTCACACAGACATGGCAACAGGACCTGGGCGCTCACAGGTTTCTGCTGGTCCTGGTGTCCAGGCTGCATGGGGATCCCTTGTCCTTAATCAGAATGGAGGGAAACAGGGTCGGGGGGAGGAGTTGTGAGGGAAACCAGGTCCCTCCCTGCAGGGAGCTCAGAACGCAGCATGGAGCTGTGAAGCTGAAACACTGGGGAGCTGCATGCAGTGAGGCCGCAATTCAGCAGCAGTGCAGTGGGTCCACCCAGGGGGTAAGCAGGGGTGTGGGGGGGTGCCCATCTGGGATGTGCAGGGCCCGCTGGGACCCATTCTCTTCTCAGGCTGCCTCCACCATGGTGGCTGCAGGCGGGATCCATACGTCCTGTGCTGCCCTGGCCTATTCTTACTGGTAAAGGAGTGGTTTGGAGGAAAAACAAAAACCTTAATTCAACGGAGGGCTTGCTATGGGTGGATTTTTGCTCCCAGATGGGAAGTATTTTAAGTCAATGAGCCCTTCCTGTCCTGCCAACATGTCAGCGAGGAAACACTGCCTCCTCTGCACCACCCTGGCTTTCTTAGAAAAAAAGACCATTTGGAGGAAGGAATTCAAGAAGTTCGTTGAAACCATCACTGATACATCTCCAGCACTGATACATCTCCAGGGCTGCCGTGCGGTGGGTGAGGAAGGACAGTGTGAGATAGGCTGGACACAGTGAAAATGGCAGCTCAAGAACAACGGATCACATCATTTTCTTCCTAGAAGAATCTGGGTTTGGGTTGCAGCTCCACTCAGCAGGAGGCCCGGGAGGAGCTGGGAGCATCCAGTCGCGAGGGGAAGGGGCGGTGTGCACTCAGGAGTCTCCTCACAGGAGCATCAGACACTCTCATGCCTTAAGATGATTGCGGCCGCTTCCTAACGGTGCTGTGAGAGCACTTCCGCCACGCCTGAAGTTTGAGCAACACTGAACCCTAGAAGCTACTGAGTCCTCAAAGGGCAGGGCCTGGTGGCAGTGGGCCAGCCATGTGGTGACACCATCCGGAGGTTGCCGGGAGGTGTGCAGAGTGCCCCACTCCATGCTGGGTGGCTGGGCAGTGGGTCCCACCCTTCACTGCGCAGGGCAGTCAGCCGTGACTGCTGATTCCACCAGGCCTGGAGGGGCGGTCCTTGAGCGTGGAACTCTTGTTATCCAATGGCACCAGCGACTCATCGTGACATCAGGGACTCCAACCGAGAAAGGCTTTAGAGGCTGCCCTTGCAATGGCTCCCCCGCATCTCCTCCTCTGTGCTCCCTTTTCCTGCTCACATGCCAGGAATTGACTGAGGGACTCCGTGGCGCTTCGGGGCCAGCTCACAACACCCACGGGGCAGCTGCAGACTGGGGAGACCTCCCTCACGGGATCTAATCTTCTCGCAGTTCCTGGGACTCACGGGTATGGGGAAGGAGGGGACAGGGGCTGCCCTCCAGTTCTGACCTGAGAACCTGGTGAGGTGGGGTGTCCCTTAGTGGGATGGCAAGACTGGAGAGATGTGGAGAAATTTGATCCAGATGCCTTAGGTGTGAGGGGTCTCAGGAATTCAAGGCGGGCTGTGCAGACGTCCATTAGACTTGGGGAGCTGGAGCTGCGCCCACCGAGGTTCCCTCCAGGGAAGGTCATGCCCGGTGCCCATGGCAGCTGCTGCCCAGGCCTGGCCACCTGCGGGGTCTTCGGCACAGCTCCCAGGACCCCATGGGAGCAAGCTCATTGTTCCGCCCTCCCCACCTGCTGTGGCTCCTTTCTGTGACAGGCGCTTGTTCTCCAGGGAAGCCTTTGGGACCCTCCCAGGCAGCCCCTCTATAGGCCCCTCCTGTATCTGTGGGGAGAAGAGGGCAGCAGTGTCCCCTAGGAGAGGAGCGGAGGCAGCCTGGGAACCAGGCCACCATGGAACCACCCCTAGCTGGCCATCAGGGAGAGGACTGCCTGGCTCAGCCTGCACCGTGGGGGGCAGCTGGGGCTGCCTGGCAGCCTTGCAGGGTCCGAAGTGCCTCTTGGGATGGGACGTGGTATCGCGTTAGCAGGTTTGACCTGGGTTCCCTGTGTGTGGAGGGGCACGGGCTTGTCAGAAGCAGCAAGGTGCTTGTGTGAAGGACTGTGCAGGTGTCACCTCCAACTCAGGCCTCTGCTAGGGACGTTCCAGCCTCTCTCTCCCTGTGTCCTACGTGCCTGAGTGCCACAGAGTCACCCTGGGAGTAGGCTCTGTCCTCTACGTTTCTCTTTGGCCACAGGAATGTCGGGGAGGATGTCTTCGTGTGGTTATCACCAGCGGCCCCTGACCGCTGGTTAGAAGGGACACTTTTCTGGTGCTCGTAGGCACGCGGTTCCTAACAGCGGGGAAGCCTTCTGCAAAATGCACCTCATTGTGCAGACATCACGGAGTGCACTTACCCACCCCCAGATGGTTCAGCCCACGGCACGCCTGGGCCACGTGGTGCAGCCTGTGGCTCCTAGGCCACAAGTCTGAACAACATGGTGCCACACTGAATAATGCAGGCAGCTGTAATACAGTGGCCACTGTTCATGTGTCGAAACATAGAAACGTTACAGCAAAAATATGGTGCTATCGTCGTATGGGACCACCATCATATACGCAGCTCATTATTGACAGAGAGATTGTGGTGCATGACTGAATTTCCAAAAGTGTTCTCAAGGTCAGAACAGGAAGAATTCTCCCTCCCTCCTTCCCTCCTTCCAGATTCCCTCTGCAATTTTTTCCTCTGCGCGACCTCACTGGCTTTATTTATTTTGAGAAAAATGAATTCCAAAGGTCACTTTGAGTCCTTTCTTGTGAGAAGTCCTTTCCATAGACAGAACAGGCCAGAAGTGACCATTTCTCATTTTTATCTGCTCACAGGTCAGGAGAGACCCAGTTAATCTCAGGAAGGCTGAGAGCCCCCCACTGCTCTTCAAGGCCTTCCAGGTTGAAGGGGTCTCAAGTCCTGTGTGGCTCCCAAGGCTCACTCTGCTGACAGCCAAAACCTCTGGAGTGGATCCATGCTTGCTCCTCTGGAGTGGATCCATGCTTGCTGGCCTGGCCAATTGAGTGGGGACTCGGGGCCCACCCTGGTGGCCCATGGGTCCCTGAGTGTGCTGGAAGCATTCCTGCCCTGGTTCTGGATCCCTCCGCCTTGCAGGGCCAGAGGCTAGGTGGGCCTGGGCCTATGCCAACTCTCAGGGTGAGCCCAGGTGACTGAGCCTCCGGACAGTGGCTCTTGGTATCCTGATCCCAAAGCTGGCCACCCTCCTGTAGAGAATTGGATGAGCTCCCGGAAACTGAGTGGGGGAAATTTGATGCTTTGCCGCTTTTCAGGGTTCCTTTCAGGCAAGAATGGGAAGGGCTAATGGAGGGCACTTGGTAAGTGCGGGTTCCAGCAGCCACAGGCTCAGCAGCCCTCCTGAGCACAGCTGGAGGGAGGCCCTGACCCCACGCGTGAGGAGGCTTGTGAGTCGTTCCAGAGCCTTCTCTGGCTGAGCAGTCATAGGTGGGAGGCGGCTCCCTGCGGGGGGTAGGAGAGTGACCGCGGAGAACCTGCAGCTGAGTCTTAGGCGTCTGTGGGGCTGGTGTCCCAGCCTGTTCCAGGTGCAGACATGCCCGGCTTCCCAGCCGCCCCTACCGTGCAGCTGCGCATTCCTTCCTGAGTCAGCCCCATGCGTCTGTGTCTTTCCCTCAGTGGAGTCACCTGCGGTGCACCCAGCCGGACCCTCTGCTAGGGTGACCCTGAGTCTGGTTCTTAGCACCCCCCAGGCTATGCTGGTCAAGGGGCATCCCCTTCCTCTCGCAGTACGCAGACACAGCAGCGGCCTGAGTTGGGCCCTTCTGCTCCCACCCCCGCCTGCCCAGCCTTTCAGAAGGTGAGGTCTGGAGGCGGCCGCGCCACCCTTGACTGCACGTGTCCCAGGCCACGGCTTATTTGATTTTCTTAGTGCTCATGGTTTTGGTTTAAAGGAAAGGATTCTCAGAGGTGAAGACCAGAAGCCATGAGTGGAAAAACCCCACACAGCAGCTGGCAGCTTCTTCTCTGGCCGGCATTCATTTTGCATTAAACTCAAAATCTCAGCCTGAGGTTTGTCTCTGGGAAAGGCAAAGGCAAGAGTGCCTTCCTTCCCATAACTGAGCTTTTCTGGGAGGAGGAGGGCTCTGCGCTCAGGGATCCACCCCCTTGAGGGCCCCCTCAGGGCCCTGAGGCTCAGAGTGGGAGACATGCCCGGACACACAGAGCCCACTGAAGCTGCAAGCCCGGCCAGCCCTTGGCTGGCTTGAAGGGAGCAGCGTGTACTTGGCAGCTGGGCGCCCCCCGCATGGGGAAAGGGGATCTGATGAATGACCCACGCCTCCATGAGAAATAGGTTAATGCATCATCTCACCCGGGTATTGGCATTCTCGTAGAGGAGCGGAAGACAGGAAAAGCCTCTGAGAGTGAACCTCCAGCTTTGATTGTCGGAAGGATGAACGGGGACCTCTGGCCTCACCCTTCCGGGAGCCCCTCTCCAGCCCTGGATCTGGGTAGGAGGTGGGCATACTGCCTGTGCCCCTCTCCAGGAAGGTCTCAGGTGGGGCCCAGAGAGGCTGTAGGTGACTGCTGGTGACCGGGTGTGAGCTGCGTGGCCGTTGTGCTTTGCTGGGGCTGAGGCAGCCACGCCAGAGGTCCCCACTCAGGCCAGGCCTGCTGGGACCCCAGGGGCACCTGATCTGCCTTTGGGGCTTTGGGGCACCCCTCCTCCTGGGGCTCTTGGACCAGGGTCCCAGAGTATGACAGGGGTGCTTGGGGAAGCAGGCTCTGGAGTTCACTGCTACTTGGCTTGGTGAAACCAGATCCCCTCACACAACCCAGAGGGTGAAACCCCTATTGAGAAAACGAGGAACTATACACATGGAAGCTGACAGGGCCCTCAAACCCCGGGCGCTGGGCCTCCCGTCACGTTCGCTGGGGGCTCTCAGAGAGGCTGAGTGTCCCTGAGCTCACCCTGGGCTCCAGCTGCAGTTCTGCTCAGGGGGCCCAGGGGCTCGCTCTGATCTTCCTGACGGCATGGCTTAGGCAGGGGCCGTCTGGTCTCTCCCCAGATCTCTCTTCTACCTGTGTCTCTGTTCTTGCAACTGCCAGGAGCACTGCAAGCTCCCAGATTGGGCTGAGTGGGGCCAGGTCCTTCCTGCTGTCTTCGCTGTCTGAGATTCACTGCACCGGGCTCCCCTGCCCTCTGCAAGTTCTGAGCAGGCCTCCGGCGTTGGTACTGAAGTTCAAGCTCTAACACTTCCTGCCTCCAATCAGCAGCCTGAAAACCTTCCTTCTTTCACTGGGCTTCCCGCTAAAGCCCAGCTCTCGAGTTAGCTGGGTTGGCCATCAAGAGGCTACGTGGACCCTTCTGCCTAGCACTCCATAATCGTATTTGGTGAGTGTCTGTGTCAGGCACTGTACTAGGGGCAGAGGCTTAGGAATAGGGAAGGCGAGCCATCAGATGACCATGTCAAGTGAAAAACAGTGTGTGGTGTGAATGTGGGAAGAACACACTCACTTCTACCTAGAGGGGTTGAGGAAAGCATCTCAGGCAGTTCTAGCTGCCTGGCAGCATCCTGGGAGAAGCACCCTATGAATGACACACGCCTGTCAGAGGCCTGCGGGATGCAGGGTAAGGGGGTGGGGTGAGGGTTATTCAGCAACAGGAACCCCAAGGTGAGACACAGTGTGGGGCTGTGAAGGACTGGGGCCACGTGCCCACAGCAGGATACGGCAGGACACCATTAGAAGGGTCTCTTTAGATCCCATCCCAGAGGCAGAGAAGGGCTGCAGGGTTATAGGGTCTTGACACTGGGGAAACTCACTTCTTATCCATCTGCAAACCCCGTCAGTGCCACCTCCCAAATCAAGCTGAGCACGACATCCCTTGACCTCACACTGGTCATTGCCCTGTCAGGGCCAGTATCCTCTGTGGAATGGTGTGTACAGTGCCCATCTGGCCTTTCTGCTCTGGCCCTGCCCTCCTGCAGCTCAGAGGGGCCCTTGGAAAGCCAAGGCAGCTGTGCTTTCCTGCAGCTTGGCACCCTCCAAGGGCCCCACCTCATTTACAGTAAAGTCAAAAAATGAGGTCCTGAGGTGCACCAGTCCTGCACCACAGGCCCCTGCCACCCCCACTCCTAGGTCCTATCCCTGACCTCTGGCCTCTCTTCAGCAGCAACAGCCCCAGCTCTTCCCAGACAAACTGCACCAGCTCCTCCCTTGGGGACACTGCACTGGCTGATTTAGCCATGGAGATGCCCAACAGTTGTAATGATGCCCCTACCTCCTTCCAGTCTTGGATGTAGTGTCACCTTCCTGGTCTGTGGTGGGCACTCTGTGGGGGTCCCCATGGCTCCTGCCTCCTGTGTTCAGATCCTGGTGTAACCCAGCCCTCTGGTGTGACACGGCCTGTGTCTTGCTTCCACCCTATAGAGTGGGCTGGCTGTGATGTCGTGCCACACTTGTGAGTGCATGATGTCATGAAAGACTGCATTTTCCCAGCAGACTCACTCTAGGGAAGTGACCACCTGGAGCAAGTTTGCTGGAAAAACAGAATCTTTGATAACATCATGAATAACTTTGAATAACCAAGTTATCCCCATATAGAAGGAAATTCTGCCAACAGCCTGAGTGGGCTTGGAAGGGGATTCTTCCCCAGTCAAGCCTCCAGATGAGAACACAGCCCGACTGACATCTGGATGCTGTTTCATGTAAGCCTAGGCAGAAAACCCAGCCAGCTTGACCAGACTCCTGATGGCAGGACAATGAGTTCATAAGACGGCTCTTTCCAGCTGCTGAGTTTGTGATAATTTGCTTCACAGCAATAAAAACATTCTATGCATCTCATTTATTTTTCTTGTTTCCTTACAATGTAGGCTCAATGTCTGTGTCTGCTTTGCCATATTGCCAGTGTGTAAGGGGGTTCCCATCCCACGGTGGGCATTGCGTGAATGCTTCCTTCATGAAGCTCTGTTTTATTGATTTCAAAGACAAGTGACAGACAAAGAGAGAAGCATTTTGATTAACAAAATCCAAAATGTTTTTGCTTTGCAGATACAGCAGTGGGGTCCCATGGTCACTTTATTTTTTCTGTAATCTCATTTAATAGCCATTCCTTTCCTCAAATAGAGACACAGGATGTGATAATGAGAAGGGGACTTCATGACCACCTAAGCTGACCTCCTTTACAGATGAGGAAAGTAGGTCTCAGAGAGAGGAAAAGACTCATTCAAGGTCACATAGTGAGTTAGTGAATATTGTGCACAGACAATAAAACAGACACAAACAGAAACAAAGGCATTTCTCTTAATCCCCAGTTCAGGGCTCTTACCCCGATACCATACAAAAATCCAAGTATTCAGTAGCTGAAAAGACCAGCTCTTTTGTCTGTTTTAAAAACAGGTACAATGCTGAAATAAGCAAATTATATGTTGTTTGTAAATTTAAATTTACTATTAATGTGATGTAATTCTAGTATTAAATAAAGCGATTTTCCTAGGGAATGTCTGCACTGGCAACAACTACATAATAGTAATTGTGAGGAAAATGAGACATCACATGGTCCAGGCCTCCCGGCCAGTGACTACATGTAGTGCATCTCAAAGAAACTGATTTCACATTGGGGGCAATAACTATTTATTTCTTTATGAGTGCAAGCGTGCCTTTTAGTTTATGGAAAAGTCAGCCATATTTTCTCATTCTTTTACAGTCAACCATCTATATTATCTATATGATGAAATTTGATAGACTTTATTTTGCAGCAAATAAGTCTGTGGATATATTACAAATACAATTTCAAACAATGCATTACAAATTATGTAGGCAGAGATGATTTAATATTTAATGGTATATGTCTAATTAATACAATGTGATAGAATGGATCAAATTCAAGCAGTGTAGCCTTTTAGGCAATGAATCACTTGCTAGGTATCGTCATAGATATTTGATCAATATTGCCATTTAAAATAGGCTTATGTAGTGTCAGATGGGTAAATAGTAATAACACAGGCTTGGTATTTATTTTTGTCCACTTTTATTATCTCAGCGAAAAGATATTTCATGCTCATCTTTGGTCTGGTAATTTTGGAAAATGACAGAGTTAACATGCAGCTTTTTCTCCTGCTCCTTCAAAGATGCATGGCATTTGCTGTTGGTTATGGGAAGTGAGTGAAGGTGTCCTGCTGGGATTCCGTCGTCAGTACAGATGCACACGATCCCCTGTCCCTGTGTGCACTCCCTCTTCCTGAGTGCTCAGAGGAAGTGACTGCAGGCGTTCTGAGCACGCTCATGTGCCTGGCACCATGCGTGGGAGCCCCTTTGGTGCCTCTTTAAGATCTGGGTCAGAGGCTGGTAGAGAGAGAAATCAGGACCAGGAGATGCCTGGATGGCTGCCCCCATCTCCGGCCACCTGTCCCTAAACTCTGTCTGGCCCCGAGGCCGTTCTTCTCTCTGTGCCTTCTGCTCTCTTCTGCCAGTGCTGGGCTTCACCTGGACTCACCCCTATATCATCTCATCCACTCTGGCCTAGCTTGCCTTGGCACCATTTTCTGCTTGTGCATGTTTTGCTCCTGCATGTTTGGCACATGCTCCTGCACCCAGGTGTGCATCCCTGCTCTGTTGTCCATGGTAGGGGGTGCTCCTGAGCATCTGGAACCACCTTGTCTAAAGCCTGACCCCGCCCCAGGCCCACCAGTCCCACACATGTCCCGACAGCCTGGGTCTGTTTCACGTGTCCAAGTTCATCAAATCCAAATTGGAGCAGAGGAGGGCGGTTCCAGTTTGGGATTAATTCAGCAGATTTACAATCCCCTTTCTCTTAGGAGAACAGCCCCTCTCTACTTTCATCCGTATCTGCCAGTCTCAGCTCCACCTCTAAGTGACAGTGACCCTTATGGGGTGTATTAGTCCACTCTTACTCTAGTATAAAGAACTACCTGAGACTGGGTAATTTATGAAGAAAAGACGTTTAATCGACTCACAGTTCCATATTCTGTACAGGAGGCATGGCTGGGAAGGCCTCAGGAAACTTACAATTGTGGTGGAAAGTGAAGGTGAAGCAAGGACATCTTCACATGATGACAGGAGAGAGGGAGAATGAAGGGGGAAGTGCTACACACTTTGAAGCCATCAGATCTCATGAGAACTCACTATCACAAAAACAGCAAGGGAGAAATCTGCCCACATGATCCACTCACCTCTTACCAGGTTTCTCTCCCAACTTTGGAGATTAAAATTTGAATGGGGACACAGAGCCAAGCCATAACACAGGGCTCACTAGAACCCTTCTGTGGGATTGATAAATGGAGGCCAGGAGTGGGGATTTCTATTTTCTCTGTCTCTAAGTGTGAGAAATGAGTCAGAGTTGCTCGTGGAGCCTACTGGGAAGTGAAACCAAGAGTTTGCGGGCCCATGTGGGGGAACTGGGAGGATTTAGAATCCAGGTTCTCCGGTGCTGTGAGCTACTCTGGTGTCCTTTCTGGCTGCAGCCATCAATAAATCCATCTTTTTCTGAATACTTTGGTGTGGATGCTTGCTACTTGTGGGCATTCATAACCATCCCTGTGTGGTGTGCATCATCACCCCCATCTTACAAAAGGATAAACTGAGGCTCCCAAGGTGTGCAGAGTCATATAACTATTTTGCAGCACAATGAGATTCTGCCCTTCTCTTCTAAGTCTCTGCTCTTGGCAACCGGAGTGTCTCTTCTCGTCCTTCCCCTGTTTTGTCCACAGAGAGGAAGAAGCAGAAAGAAGAGGAATGGAATTGCCCGAGAGGAGCACACAGAAGTAGCACTGTCCTTAAACATTTCCATGTTGATGAGGGAAGGTGGGAGCCTGTAGCCTCATTAGTTGTGAAGCTTGCTGTGCATATTTCATGAGAGAAACTTTAAAGACATGACCCTAAAGAGGCAGAAACTTTCAATTTTTCCTTCTTCTGCTCTCTGGAGAAATAGGTCTGCTGTGGTTTGGAATCCGACACCTGCAGCCTTGGCCTCCTGGAGGGTAGGGTGCTGCAGGTGACAAGCCCCAAAGGAAGTGAGAGTGGTACCTGTTTGAGGAAAGGCAGATGCGTTAGGTCTCCCAGGAACCTTGCCTCCTATCTTAATCTCACTTTGGGATATGAAAGAGCAGTGCTGGACCGAAATTACTGTCAGCCACACCTAAGCAAGAGTGTGAATGGACTCAGAGAGAGGTCCCACCCCGGGGGCATAAAGATGCCTCTGCAGACTTGGGCCTGCTCTGAACTCTGCCCACGGCTGCGCGGATGCCAGGCCCCTGGTCCAAGCTGCCTCGGCTGTAGGTCCTTCTTGGGGATACATGCAGGAGCCCTCTGTTCCCATCCATGTTGCTACATCTATAATGGTTGCCAAGCCATCATTTTTAAAATAGCTTTTTATTTTGAAATTAGTTTGAGATTTCTAAGATGTTGCAAAAATAAGGCAGAATTCCTGTGCCCCTCCACCCAGTTTCCCACAGAAATCCCTCGGCTCTCAGCCCCTTCCCAGGCAGGTCAGAGACCTGTCTTGTGGGCAGCCCAGTCCCAGTGACTGGTGTGGTGGGGTTGTAAAGACCCAGGTCACTGGCCTTGCCTCAGCTCTAACTCTGAAGGTCTCCGGGGCCTCAGTGCTGCCCTAGGGTGGGCCAGAGTCTGCACTGAGACCGTATCTCTGCTCATGCCTCTGTCCACCCTGCCTCCCTGCCTGACTTTTCTGGGGTTCATGGAGGCCTCCCACACTGACCTCTCTCTCAGGCATTCTTTCTAGGCCCCCAGCCCTGGGACACATTGGCCCGCAGTGGCTGGAGGATGCACAGGCTGACCTTGAAGGCAGTGAGAACCCTGTCACTGGAGGTGGGAGAAACAAGTAGCTGCAGCATGAGGGCCACCGCTTTGCTCAGTGTCAGAGGCGATCCTATTGGGAGTGACTGTGGTTGAGGGACAGGGAAGGGGTTGGGGAGACGGTGGGCAGCGCGGACACCTGTTGGGCTACTGTGAAACATGGCAGGGGCCGAGCTGACCTGAAGAACTGTGTGGCTGGTGGGGTAGGGAAAAGGACTCAGCCTCTAGGGAGGACCAAGGAAGCCAAAGGATCAGTTCTAGG
Organism: Homo sapiens; assembly: GCF_000001405.40. Classification (NCBI taxonomy): domain Eukaryota; kingdom Metazoa; phylum Chordata; class Mammalia; order Primates; family Hominidae; genus Homo; species Homo sapiens. Next base: position 2,756,244 of record NC_000002.12, on the reverse strand, counting down.
TCTGACTCACAGGAGTTGCTGTATCTGAACAAGGCTGGGCTCTCAGTCCAGGCAGGCTGGCAGTGCCCAGGCAGAAGCTGAGGGTGGCAGGACTCAGCTTTGATGTGTGAAGGGGTTGGCACTTTTGCAAATCTGGAGCTCCCTGGTTCTCCAACACCCTCTGAGCCCAATGAAGGGACACCTCCTTAAGAATGGGAGCCAGCACTGCCTCTCTGGTTGGGGTGATGCAGGGGCCTGACACTGCACAGCAACGCTAGTCCCCAGGACTTGCCCAAGGGCCCCTCCTGGTCCCAGTGTATCCAGGTGGGGAAAGCCAGCTCTGGTGAAGGAGGAAGAGGGCTGTAGGGCCCAGCCAGTCCCACCAGCAGGGGTAGGGGAGAAAGCAGAATGCTGGATGGAGAAGGTATTTGCGCAGGAATGCAAGGGAGACAGAGCCCGGTGTGGTGGAAGGGGATGAACTTGGGAGTGCTACCCCGACCACAGGGCTCAGTGTTGCAGGGCCCCTGGGCGGTGGTGTGGAATGTCCCTAGGATGTCTCCAGGGAGCAAGGAACATTCGATGGCCCCTGTGTGTGGTGGCAATACCAGCATTCACATAGCAGATGTTGAAGGGCTTGTGAAAGGCACGGAGAAGCAGGGAGCACATCGCAGAAGACATTCAGCATGAGGCTGGAGACCTGCAGAGAGCTGCCATCCATATGAGGGCCCAGGAGACACATCAGTCCCCAAAGCTTCCTGCATGGTGGAGGCAGGCAGTGTGGACTTACTCTGTAGGTCAGGCTGGCTGTAGAAGGGGCTATTACAGAACTGGGACCACCCAGGGCAATTTGGGTACTGGAGCTTAGAAAGACAGAGGCCAGGTGTCAGGAGCCAGTGGACACAATTGCCATGAGCTGGGAAGTAGGAGGGGCATTGGGAGACCCTCATGTCCCAGATATTCATGGACAGGCTCAAAAGAACATGGTGCCCTGAGGTCAGAGCAGGTGGGTGGCCAGCATGGGCCTGAAAATGCAGCTGATCCCCACCAGAAGAATCTGGGACATGCTGGCAGGACTTGACACAGTTGCAGCCTCAGACCAGCGGCTGTGGCAGAAGCTGAGCTTCCTCCTACTCGCCTTCTCTTCCAAAGTCCCCCAGGAAGGGTGGCCCACTTGAGTTCTGGAGGAACTGCCGGGGTGTGACCAGTGGCACTAGCCCTGGAAATGGACTGCCCAGGTCCCCTGTGGCAAAGGCGGACCTATGAGTTGTCACCACCTGCGAGTACCTGGTGGATGGGGGCCCCCTTGCTCAAGGTCAGTCTCCTCTCAGGGTAGTCTGCCTCCAAAGACTGGCTGACCACTCGGCAGGTTCTTAAGGGACATCCAGCCTCAGACTCGCTGTATTAGTCTGTTCTCATGCTATTAAGAAATATCTGAGACTGGGTAATTTATAAAGAAAAGAGTTTAATTGGCTCACAGTTCCCCATGGTTGGGGAGGCCTCAGGAAACATACAATCATGGTGGAAGGCACCTCTTCATAGGGTGGCAGGCAAAGGAATGAGAGCCGAATAAAGGGAGGAAGCCCCTTATAAAACCATCACCCCCATGATTTAATTACCTCCTACTGGGTCCCTCCCACAACACATGGGGATTATGAGAACTACAAGATGAGACTTAGATGTGGACATAGCAAAACCATATCATTCCACCCCAGCCCCTCCCAAATATCACATCCTCACATTACAACACACAATCATGCCTTTCCAATTGTCCTCCAAATTCTTAGCTCATTCCAGCATTACCTCAAATGTACAAGCCAAGAGTCTCATCTGAGACAAGGCAAGTCCTTTCTATCTATGAGGCTATAAAATCAAAAGCAAGTTAATTACTTCCTAGATACAATGAGGGTACAGGCATTGGGTAAATACACTGGTTCAAAAATGGGAGAAATTGTCCAAAATGAAGCGGTTAGAAACCCCATGCAAGTCTGAAATCCAGCAAGGCAGTCAAATCTTAAAGTTTCAGAATGCTCTCCTTTGACTCCAAGTCTCACATCAAGGTCATGCTCATGCAAGAGGTGGGTTCTCATGGCCTTGGGCAGCTCCATCCCTGTGGGTTTGCAGAGTACAGCCCCCTTTCTGGCTGCTTTCATGGGCTGGCATTGAGTTTCTGTGGCTTTTCCAGTGCAAGCTGTCAGTGGATCTAAATCTGGGGTCTGGAGTAAGGTGGTCTTCTTCTCATAGCTCCACTAGGCAGTGCCCCAGCGTGGACTCTGTGTGAGGGCTCTGACTCCATATTTCCCTTCCACACTGCCCTAGCAGAGGTTTCCCATGAGGGCTCTGCCCCTGCAGCAAACTTCTGCCTGGACATCCAGGTGTTGATATACATTCTCTTAAATCTAGGTGGAGGTTCCCAAACCTCAGTTCTTGACTTCTGTGTACCCACAGGCCCAACACCACATGTAAGCCACCAAGCCTTGGGACTTGCACCCTCTGAAGCAATGGCCTAAGCTGTGTGTTAGCTCCTTTTAGCCACAGATTGGACACAGGGAACCAAGTCCTGAGATTGCACAAAGCAGCAGACCATGGCCTGGCACAGGAAACCATCTTTCCCTCCTAGGCCTCCCAACCTGTGATGGAAGGGGCTGCTATGTAGACCTCTGACATGCCATGGAGACATTTTCCTCATTGTCTTGGTGATTTAACATTTGGCTCCTTGCTACTCATGCAAATTTCTGCAGCCAGCTTGAATTTCTCCTCAGAAAATGGGTTTTTCTTTTCTATCACATTGTCAGGCTGCAAATTTTCTGAACTTTTATGCTCAGCTTCCCTTCACGTATTTTGTGATTACATAAGGCTGAATGTTTATAACATTGCTCGGGTCATCTCTTGAACACATTGCTGCTTGGAAATTTTTTCTACCAGATGCCCTACATCATCTATCTCAAGTTCAAAGTTCCACAGATTTTTAGGGCAGGGGCAAAATGCCACCAGTCTCCTTGCTAAAACATAGCAAGAGTCACCTTTATTCCAGTTCCCAACAAGTTCCTCATCTCTATCGAAGACCACCTCAGCCTGAACCTTATTGTCTATATCACTATCAGCATTTTGGTCAAGGCCATTCAACAGGTCTCTAGGAAGTTCCAAATTTTCCATATTTTCCTGTCTTCTTCTGATCACTGCAAGCTGTTCCAACCTCTGCCTGTTACCCCGTTCCAAAGTCACTTCCACATTTTCAGGTATCTTTACAGCAGTCCCCACTACCCAGTCCCAATTTACTGTGTTAGTCGGTCCTTATGCTGCTGTGAAGGAATATCTGAGACTGGGTAATTTATAAAGAAAAGATATTTAGTTGACTCACAGTTCTGCAAGGCTGGGGTGGCCTCAGGAAACTTCCAATCATGGTGGAAGGCACCTCTTCATAGGTTGGCAGGAGACAGAATGAGAGCCAAGCAAAGGAGGAAAAGCCCCGTATAAAACCATCACCCCCATGATTCAATGACCTCCCACCGGGTCTCTCCTATGACATGTGGGGATTATGGGAACTACAATTCAAGATGAGACTTGGGTGGGAACACAGCCAAACCATATCACCCGCGGGGTTGCCGACGTCCTGCAGAGGATGCCCCACAGCAAGGGTTCCCTTTCCTCTGCCTCCCTCCCTCCCTGCCCACAGGACTGTATCCCAAGAGCCTTCGTGGTAAACCACCTGTAAGCCCACGTCCTGAGGGGCGGCCCAGGACAGGAGAGGACACAGAGCTGGTGGTCGAGGAGGGCCATGGAGGGCTCCATGCTGCTCCTCCGCTTCTGCTAGCTCACAGGAATCAGAGGTGCTCCAGGGCTGTGTTCTCAGGCCTGCATCCTGAGCCTGCTGCTTTCCCTCCGAGAGGTGGAGTCTTGATCTCTTCCACCTGACACCAGACTGGCCTCAGCAACTTGTCTCTTCTATAGAATGCAGAGGGCACCTTTGGAGGCCTGAGGCTTGCTCAGGAGGAGCTGGAAGTGGCCTCTTGGAACACCACCTGTGGCAGCCCCGACACCAGGGAGAATTCCTAGCACCTGCTGGGGAGGCTGCCTGGACAGGGTGGGGCCTCCCTGGGTGAGGAGAGGGGAGGCTCAGTTCTGGCCAAGGCCCCCCCGCAGTGAAGGGAGCAGCCCAGCACCTCCCTGTGGCCAGGCTGACCTCTGAGTAACCCCGATGGCGTCATGTGGAGAATGGCCCGCCGAGGTTTGCATGAGTTGCTGACCCACACAATTGTGAGATGTAATAAAATGAGAGAATTTTTAATCCATTAAGTTTTGGGGTAATTTGCTATGAGCAATCGATAAATGGGGCAACCAGTGAAGTTGGCCGAGCGATGTTTGGTGCGGGTGGGATGCCAACGTGGCCCCCTGGCAGATTTCCTGTGTTTTGGGAGTGGTGTCTTGGAGGGCTGGGAAGTGGGTGCTGGAGACAGCTGCCCGTCCATGTCGCCTCCCTGCGGTGACCCTGCTGCTGGGCCTGCAGGATGTCCACAGAGGTCTCTACTCTGGTCATGGAGGCAGAATCTCATTTGCTTTTATTCTTCACAGCACGTGGAGAGGCCTTTTTCCCAGGGAGGCGGGCGATGGAGCAGTGAGTCCCAGCCCAGCTGTGTGCTGGACAGCAGGACGCGCTGCTGCAGGGAAGCTCGGGCTGGACAGAGGAGCATTTGCTGAAAGCCACAGAGTTTCGAGGGAAAGCGGGTGGCAAGACAGGAGAGGCAGGAAACCGAGGTGGGGTGGAGGGGGTCCCAGGGCTGAGTGAGAGGGGTCTGGAGGGAAGAGGGAACTCAGGAGCCAGACCATGCGAGAGGGAGGATGAGGCGGCACTGTGGCAAAAATAACAGGGGGCCAGGACGCTCAGATGGGGAAGAGCCTGCGGGCCGCAGCGTTGCCAGCAAAGGTGAGGTCTGCAAGGATCCTCCCCTCTCGTGGGGGGTGCGGAGTCAGGTGGGTGTCCCCGGGGCCACCCCTGGGCTCTGGGTCGCGGAACCTGGTTTAACTTCTCCCGTTTGCTGTGCGCTCTGAACCAGCTGGTTCTCCGGCAAATATGGAAATTAAGGAAGTTAACTCGTCCAGGATGTGCTGGGTACCGAGTACGTATTCGTCCATCTAAGGAGCAGCGTTTCCCGGAAAAGGCACCAGTGGAGAAAGGGGCCCTGGTCGCCGCGGTTTAGCCCCGCGGGAAGCGAACCCCAGGAGGGACCGCAAACCTCAGCTCCCCCGCGGGGGCACCAGGGACCTCGGGCGCGGTCTGAGTGACCGAAGGAAAAGGCGGTGTTTTCCAGAAGTCATTTAAATGATCAATGAAATTCAATTTTACTCTACGTAATTTAAAAAAATTAATAGACTTTCTTTTTTAAAGGAGTTTTAAGTTTACAGAAAAATGGAGCCCAGAGTACAGAGAATTTCCATCTACTTCCTACCTTCACCCGCTCCATTCCCTCCATAATTAACATATCCCACCCCCCCCACACATATACACACCCCACCCCCCCAACATATATACACATGCCACACACACCCCATCCCACACACCACTCCATACACACCACCCCACCCCCGCACACCACACATATATACATACACCATACACACTCCACTCCACACACAACACACATACATACACACGCCATACACACCCCACCCCACACACACCACCACCCCACACACACCAAACACATATACACACCACATGCACACCCCACTCCCCTACACCACACATATAGACACACGCCATACACACACTACACCACACACACACACCACACATATATACACACACCATACACACCCCATCATCCCCCCATACACCACACATATATACACACCCCATCGCCCCTACACACACCACCACCCCCCAAACCACACACATGTATACACACACCACCTTACACACCACACGTATCTATACACACCACGTCACACACACCACACATATATACACATACCATACACACAGCACCTCACACACACCACACATATATACACATGCCATACACACCACCCCACACACACCACACTCATCTACACACACCATAAACACACCACCCCACACAGACCACACACATCTACACACACCATACACACACCACCCCACACACACCACCACCCCACAAACCACACACACACTACACATACACATGTACACACCACAGACACACACACAGGCCACACATGCCTCCTACACATCCATCTACCACTGGCACACACCCCCATCCCTACACACACACATCCACACCCCTCCCCATACACACATCCACACCCCCATCCCTACACACACACATCCACACCCCCATCCCTACACACACACACCCACACCCTCCCCATACACACACCCCCATCCCTACACACACACATCCACACCCCTCCCCATACACACATCCACACCCCCATCCCTACACACACACATCCACACCCCCATCCCTACACACACACACCCACACCCTCCCCATACACACACCCCCATCCCTACACACACACATCCACACCCTCCCCATACACACACCCCCATCCCTACACACACATCCACATCCTCCCCATACACACATCCACACCCTCCCCATACACACATCCACACCCCTCCCCATACACACACACTTCGCTAGTGAAGAACCACAAAGCCAAAAGCCTATTAAGCTGCCGGAAGTCGAGTTTATGAAGCTGTAACAGCTTTAGGAAAAGACGTCCCAAGCTCCTGGACTTTTGGAGTTGGAGGGAGCCTGAAGGTGTATCCCCGGCTCCTCTCCAAGGTTTGGGAACAAGGGCTGGTGGCCCAGTCACTTCCCAAGCACTCAGGGAGCAGCAGGCAGGGTGGCTGGAGAGCAGACTCACAGGGCTCCTCACTGCCTCAGTCACCAGCAACACCTGTGGGCTCCTGGCCTGTAGCCGCCTGACTGTGGTCACTGCGCTCAGCCCGTGGTGTGAAGGAGGCCATGTGCTTGACTGCTAAGACAGCTCGTACCCCGCTATGGAGGTTTCAGATCCCGTGAATGCCCCCATGTTGTCTAAAAAGCAAGCTGTGGTAAGGCTAGCTCACCTTTTCTGAGTATTTACCACGTGCCAGGGAAACTGAGGCTGTACACAGAGTATCCCACTCAATCCTCACTTCTCTCAGGAGGCGCTGTCCTGATGTTACATGGGGAAACAACCTTGAGCACGGAAGCAAATGAAACCAGAGAGCAGGGCGTGAATTCCATTGCTGGTGCTGGAACTCTGACCTCCTGAGCCTGTGTGGCTGACTGGAGCCCAGGAGACTTGAGTGGCAGGGGCCACTCTGCCCAGTGGCCATGCACTGCCTCTGCCTGGCCTGCCCCTGGTTCTGAGAGCTGGCTCTGGGCCCTGCTGCAGTCCTCACACGTGCATGGAGCCTCCTGGAGTGAAGGTCTTCCTGAGCCTCCCCTCCCAGGTGGGCCTCACCTCTCCAGCATGCAGCTGCCCAGCTCCTCCTCCAGCCACAGCATCGCCCACTGCCCAGCCCCAGGGCCAGGCAGGGTGTGTCTCTGGTTAAGCATAAGCAGACTCACTGCCCTTGAGGGATTTGCTGAAAGGAGAAAGACTCGCTGAATGGCCCTGCCTATGGCAAAGTAGACCTGGCGTCTGCCAACTCCAGCTGATTGACGCACAGGGGCCCTCATGAGGTGGCTGGTCACTGTGGTGGCCTCATGCTGTCATCCGGAGAGCAAAGGCAGGGCAGGTCACCAAGCTCAGGTATGATGAGGCTCTCAGGGGAGCGCAGAGGCCCTGGCTCTGAATGAAGAAGGCAGGTGTTCCAGGTGTGCACGGCAGTGAGAAAGGCACCAGCACCCACCCACCCACCGGGAGAGGAGAGAGCTCTGCTCTTGGCCACACACACCACACACCATCTTATTCAATTTCAACACAAAGTGCATCAACTACTCCATTTGCAAATGAGGAAATGGACGCACAGAGAGATTGCACGGGCTGACCAGAGTTGCTGGGCTGAGGACTGGCACTGCCAGGGTGGGCTGCAGGCTGTGGGCCCCCCGCCTGGTCTCTCCACGAGCTCCAGCCACCTCTCATGAGGAACATGAACCCAGGCCCAACCAGCTGCAGCAGGCAGGCTTGTTGATTGTCCCACCTCCCGCTCCAGGGTTATTAAAGGTGGCCGTGTTCCCTGATGGGCCTGCCCTGCTGAGATGAGTGTGCACACAGCATTCTTGGCAAATCTGGGCATGCCTGTGGAAAGCCCAGGGGCCCTCTGGGAAGACCAGGCCCATGGAAATCTCAGGGGTCAGTGGGAAACCCAGGCTCCTCTTACACAGTTGCTCCCTGGCTCTTCCTGAAGGGACGGAGCTCCCAGTTTAGATCCTGCGAATGGTGGTGAATAACACTCATGTTCAGTGTGAAACAAAGAGAAACCACAAGTGTGAGGCCCTCTAGGTGCTCAGATCGTATGTCCTAATTTATTCCTCATAATACCCTTGGTACAGGCATGCCTGGTCCTATTTTTAGATGAGGAAATTGCGGTTTAGGGATGTTTGGTGATTTGACAAATCGCATCACCAGTGAATGGCAGAGCCATAATTCAAAACAGCATCTGTTTTACTGAAAGAAAAAAAAAGTAATTACTGGTCAGCTTATTTCCTTATTGATCCTTCCAAAAATCGGTGTTATATCCTCAAGTAGAATACATGCAGACTGTATATTTTTGCTAATATATAATAGTTCCAATACTTTCTTTCAAATGTTTTATCGCCTTGGAAGTATGGCCATAGGAACCGGAAGAGGGAAAGGCCGGCTCTGGGAAGAGCTGAGCTGCCCTGCTCATGAAACTAGGGCTCCCTCCTTTGCTTACCAGTCACAGCATGCATTTTCTGAGTTTATTTCCCCTTAGAGAATCTCAAGGAAATTTATACTTTGAAAGGGAAATAAACTCCTTGGAGAAATGGTTGATTCTAGGACAGAAGCAGTAAATGTACAAGACGAGCCCAGAGCATCTTGCAGAGCAAGAAAGCAAGGAAGTGCTCAAAACCCAAATTAAAAACAAAATCCAAATATAATGGGAGGCAAGGTTGAGGGGAGACAGGAGCTGACTGCAAGGACTCTCCAGTGGCTGAAGCTGGGGCAATTTCAGCAACAAAATAAATAATGTTGTGCTGAATTATAACCCAAAGTATAAAATGCATGCCAGTGCTTTTATACACATATAAACATATAATTGAGTAAATACATGGAGGAGAATAGACAAATCTCTCATGCAGAGAAATTCTAATTTATGAAGATACTGCACCCTTGTGCAGGTGTGGCTGAGCTCCCACCCCTACAGCGTGGGCTGTGCACAGCGACTTCTCCCACAGAAGCAGCCCGCAATGGGGAGAGATTTTCAGTGAGAAGCCTCACAAACCTTTCCTCGGCCAGGTGACTATGTCGAGCAGCAGCAGAGGCAAGTTATGCTGGTGGCAGATACCTGTGATAGGACGTGATGGGAGGACACTTACCTCTGCATCTTCCTCCCCAAACACAGAACCCAAGTCTAACCATCAAGATAAACCTCAGCAAAACCCCACTGGAGGGGGCATCCTACAAAACACACCCAGCCAGCACTCCTCACAGCTGTTAACAAAAACTAGGGAAGTCCCAGAAACTGTCCCAGCCAGGCGGAGCCCAAGGAGACACGATGGCTCAATGTCCTGTGGGATCCTGGGTCAAAAAAGGTGTCAGTGACAGCTATGTCCACCTGAATACATTACAGGCTTTAGGTAATAATGTAGAAATAGTAACTTATTAATTGTGATAAATGAGCTAGATGTAGGTTAGGTGTTGGTAATGGAGAGAGATGGGCACTCGGACTGATCTTCACAACTTTTCAGTAAATCTAAAACTATTCAGAAATAAAAAGATTATTAAAACAAACAAACCTAAATAAGTGAATTTTTAAAGAAACCTGACTTTCACATAGTTAATTGATAGCTCACTTAAGAAAATAAGCCCATCACAGTCCATCAAGCTGAGAGGTTGGCATGTGCGTGTTTTGGATCTGTGTCCCCACCCAAATCTCATGTCGAATTGTAATCTGCAGTGTTGGAGGTGAAGCCTGGTGGGAGGTGATTGGATCATGGGGCGGATTTCCCCCTTGCTGTTCTCGTGATCATGAGTGCTGGGAGATCTGGTTGTTTGAAAGTGTGTGGCACCTCCCCGCTCTCTCTCTCTTCCTCTTGCTCTGGTCACGTAAGACGTGCCTGGTTCCCCTTTGCCTTCCACCATGATTAAGAGTTCCCTGAGGCCTCCCAGCCACGTTTCCTGTAAAGCCTGCAGAACCGTAAGCTGACTAAACCTCTTTTCTTTATAATTACCCAGTCTCTCGGGTAGTTCTTTATAGCAGTGGGAGAACGGCCTAACACAGCGTGCTACAGGACTTCTATCACCAAGGGGCCGCAGCGTGTTCCTTAGCAGAAACTATTTTTGCTTTTCTTGAGGTTTAAGATTTGGGGGCTATAAGTGATGTTGGATCTGCAAGTATTTAAATAAGATAATGCTGATAAGAGGATCTACCCATACAAGCTGTGAAGCTGAGGGCTATGGCCATTACCAATGGTGTGTGTCGATGAGGGCTCCAATATGGGGTAGATCCAACTCCCTACTGAAATTCCTCAAGCACCCTAGAGTTCCCACAGCTGGGAGACAGACATGGTGTGGTCCAGTGAGAGCACTCTTCTGGGAGAAGCCACCTGGCCCCGTGCTTAGTCTGTGGGATTAGGATCACACACGTGGCTTCCGAGGCTGAGAGGAACATGAGAATTTTCACTGATGGATAGATGAGTCTGTTGTAAAACAAACACAGTTCTGCAGCCCCTGAGTGTCCATTGCCAGGCTGTGGTGTAGCTTCGGGCCCCAGACATGGGAGTCAAACGATAGAGAGCTGAAAACCAAAGATGGAACCCAGCAGAATTCTTCAGAACAACTCACAGAATAAAGGCATAAGAAGTGTGTTCTTTCTTTGGGTGCCACAGCCTGCAGCACTGGGAATCCAGGATATTTGAGCTTCCAGGGAACTGGCATCCATGACCCTGATCTCCACTCCAGCTGGGATGAGCCAGAGGCCCAAGGCTGCGCCCCGTCGGCCCTCTGCACTCTGTCCCTTGGTCTACATCGATGGGCATCTGCACCCCAATCCTGAACCAAAAGCCGTCAAGGAAGTCTCCATGCAGATGTAGTTTGCCTGCAGCCCCAACTCTGTAAACTGGGGGTTCGTCCACCACTTGGAGAATTGTGAGCTCACTTCGGAAGCTGCAAAGGCTGCCTCAGAGGCTTCAGGATGTCCTCAGAGATACTGGCCTGAGTTGGACAGAGAGTCCACATATGCGCTTCCCATAACAGTTTTTCTCCCCTTTTTTGCTAAGAGAAAACCACAGTGAGAAAATTCTAGCACTGTTCTTTTTGGCTCCAGACCCTTACAGGGCTGTTGGCACTGGGTAGATTCCTCTCAAACCTTTTCACTTGGGCCCACGTCGCAGTCCTGTGTTTCCCACTGCCCCAGCACCACTCCACCTAACGTCTCGTCTGCCGCAGAAGCTGAACTGACCTTCATTCTCTCCAAACGTGCCCTTTGGTTCTTCTGCTTTGGCTAACAGCAAAGTGTTGTCAGTTTAATTTTCTACTCTTAAATGGAGAACTTACTGTGTGCTGGGTTTTCTTCCAGACAGCCAAGACAAAAGAAAGAAAACATGAACAGGGGAGAGGGGGACTAACATTGATGGAGTGTCTGTCATGTGGCAGGCTTTGTAAACACATGGAAAAGAGAATAATAACCAAATCCTGAGAGGCAGCCATTTTTATTCTCCTTTAGAGGGGAAACTGAGGTGTAATGAGATTGGTCCTTCTCCAACATTCACACAAACAGTGACTGGCACAGGCTGAATTTAAGCCCAGGTATGTAGATTCCAGATATGATCCTGGCGCGTGATCTGCATCTGAATGGCTTTAGTCCAGTGGGGTGTCTGGAATTATGCACAGCCTAATAGAGTCGCTTTGCATAACCTCTTCTAAAAAGTAGATCCTCGTGAAACACGTCACTTTCTCCAAGGAGAACTGATTTAGGAGAGCAAAGATTAAAGTAGTGGGCCACAGACTGAGAAAAAGAGCAAGGTTTATTGTCTACCTGTGCTAAGCAGTGTCCTTTCTTTATTAAATCAGGTTGTTATAGCACACACACTTCCTCAGCTGTTAGTATAAGGCAGAACACATATGCAAACAATGCCCACGAGCCCTCCCTCACTGAGCTTGCATTCTGGTAGGGGAGACAGGCACTAGACACGTAATCAAGCAAGTCAGTATTGGAATGGAATTCTGGCGAGTTCTGTGAAGGAAAGCGGTATGTTGGCCTCTAAGGAGCAGCAAGGACTCACCCGGCTCCAGGGCAGCCAAGGAGGCTTCCTTGAGGAGGTGATTGTCACTGGGTGGCCTGCAGGTTGAAGGAGAGTTAATCAGACAGGAAGAGATGGGGATTCCGGTGGGGCGTAGAAAAAGAAATCTTGCAGACACACACAACGACACGTGCAAGGGTCTCAAGGTGGGGAGGGAGCGGAGAGAGTGGGCAGAGGGCAGGGCTGGAGGAATGAAGGAGCATGTGCTGTGCAGGGTAAGGCAGGTGGATTGCAAACACGCCCATCTCTGCATCCTCTGGGGACTCGTGACCTTCTCACTCTGAGCCTGCAGCTTCTGCCTTCAGGAGTTGGAGTCTAAACCCCTCCAGCCACCCTGCCGCCAAAACCGGGCCTGCCTTGCTTTGACTAAAAGGACATGGTGAGCACAAACCCTTCTGAGCCTCAGCCTCAGCCTCAAAAGGCCTGTGTGCTTCTTCCCACTCCCTCTCTGTCTGTCTCTCTCAATTCCGCCCAGGCAGAGGCCAGTGACACAAGCCAACGCCATCCTAGGCCAGCCAGCTCCAGCTCCCCCGTCAATGAGACAGACTCAAGCATGAGCCCAGCTGAGATCAGCAGATCCAGCCCCCATGAGAAGGGCTGCCAAGCTGACTCATAGACTCAGTGAGAAGTAAGAAATAGCTGTAATTTTAAACCACTAAATTTTGGAGTGGTGCGTTAGGCTGCAATAGCCATTTCATCCACACAGGAAAGAAGTAGGGATGGTGAGAACCGTAGGTCACATTAAGAATTTTTTATTTTATCCCAAGGGCAAGCCAGTGAGGCATTTTTCTTTTCTTTTCTTCCTTTCTTTTTTTTTTTTTTTTTTTTTTTTTTTTTGCAGGGAAGTGATATGATTAAGTTGGCATTCTAGAGAGACAATTTTCTGAGCAGTCAGAGAACAGCAGCTGTGTGGGAGGCTCTCATTCACAAATGACATCACCAGTATGTCTCTAGGAAACAAAGCCTGACCTCTTTGTTTCTGTTACCTGCTATCGTGCTCATTAGCTAAATTTTATCAACCTCTCTGGGTCTTAAATCCATGAGCATTAAGGCAGCTCTGAGTGAGAGGCTACAACCATTCACTGCGGCCACAGATTTCACCAGAGAGCTGGTGACAATAAGTGAATATTCACTAATCCATTCCATGTACAACACCAGCCAGCCACCCACATACCTTCACATCCACCCATCTGCCCACCCCGCCATTCGTCACTCCTTCCATCCCCCCGTCCATCCATCCTCCCTTTCTTCCTTTGATGGAGGGTGACCTTTGCACCTGTCTAGCTAAGTATAATCCCTCCATTTTTCCTTAGGTCTCAGTGGCCTCACCTCTGTAAAGACCTTATTTTCCAGACATTCTTCACTCTAAATCCTGCATTGTCCCTTTCTTCTCTCTATTGTTTTATTTCCAAGAGCAGATACACATGATTTATTTCTTCATTCCTTAGTAAATCCTCTTGACTTTTCTTTGTCCTCAAGGTATCACCTTGTGTATCTAGTTCCCTTGATAGACAAACTCCCTGAAAGGGTACCTACCTGCACTTCCTCCACTTCTCCCCTGCTATGCTCTCACAGCGGCCATCAGTCTTCTCTGCATCCTCCAACAAAACTCTTCTCATCAATATCAAGTGATCAGGCCTTGTTCTTTCCTCCTTGAAGCCATTTCTCTATGTGGCCTTCAGGACATCACCTGCCTCATGTTTCTCCTACTGCTCTGTCTCCTTCTTCTCAGTCTCCATTGCAGATAACTTAAAGCTGGCACATCAGGGCTTAGTCTTTGAAATGTTTTTATTATGGTCACATTTATGCTTTACTGATTCCATTCAGAGTCATAGCTCTAAACACCCTCTGGATGTTGATGAGTCCCATTGCATATGTGCAGCCCCATTCTCTCCACAAACTCCACACTCATCTATAAAACTGTGTGTGTACAGCAATTCTGCTTAGGTGTTCAACAACTGCAAGAGGTCCCATGTGAACTTCAAAGCCTGCTTCTCTTGCTTTCTTCCTAAGTCAGCTAATGATTGTCACATCCTTCCAGTTACTCAGCCCAAATACATAAGAATGACTTTTATCTCTTTTTTTTAATTCTCTGAATGCATTACTAATCCATCTTCAAATCCTGTTGAGTGTGCCAACAAAATACAAACAGCAATGACTACTGCTCAACAGCTTCTTCTGTCTGGGTATAAAAATGGTCTCAACCCACTCTCCCTGCACTCACCTTGAACCTTAGAGTCAATGCTCAGCACAGGAACCAAAGTCACTGTAAAACACAAATGATACATGAGCATTCCACTGATTAAAAGCAAGATACTCATAAGATTTGCTGTGTACTCAGATTAAACCTAAATCGAAGCCTGTGGGACAGAGTCCTACGTGATCTTACCTCCATCAGGACTCTGACCACTGGATTCCATAGTCACTTGTGCTTATTCCACATTACCCATGCTAGACGCCTCCTGGTCTTTAAAGAAACTCGGCAGGCTCGGCTGGGTGCAGTGGCTCACGCCTATAATCCCAGCACTTTGGGAGGCCGAGGCGGGCAGATCACGAAGTCAGGAGATCGAGACCATCCTGGCTTACATGGTGAAACCCTGTCTCTACTAAAAATACAAAAAATTAGCTGGGCATGGTGGCGGGTGCCTGCAGTCCCAGCTACTTGGGAGGCTGAGGCAGGAGGATGGCATGAACCCAGGAGGCGGAGCTTGCAGTGAGCCGAGATCCCGCCATTGCATTCCAGCCTGGGCGACAGAGCAAGACTCTGTCTCAAAAAAAAAAAAAAAAAAAAAAAAAAAAAGAAGGAAAAATAAAGAAACTAGGCAGGCTCAGGCCTAAGAGCTGTGGCATTGATATTCCCATTTATTGTAGTGCTCTGCCATCAGCCTGATCCTCACGCCAGCAGGGGATTCTCCAGCAGCCTCCTCCTCACACCAGCAGGTGATCATCTATCAGCTTCCTCCCTCAGTCCAGCAGGTGCTCCTTCATCAGCCTCCTCCTCACTCCTACAGGTGCTCCTTCCTCAGCCTCCTCCCTCAGTCCAGCAGGTGCTCCTCCATCAGCCTCTGCCCTCAGTCCAGCAGGTTCTCCTCCATCAGCCTCCTCCTCACTCCAGCAGGTGCTCCTCCATCAGTCTCCTCCCTCAGTCCAGCAGGTGCTCCTCCATCAGCCTCCTCCTTCAGTCCAGCAGGTGCTCCTCCATCAGCCACCTCCCTCACTCCAGCAGGTGCTCCTCTAACAGCCTCCTCCCTCGGTCAAGCAGGTGCTCCTCCATCAGCCTCCTTCCTCACTCCAGCCAGTGCTCCTCCATCAGCCTCCTCCTTCAGTCCAGCAGGTGCTCCTCCATCAGCCTCCTTCCTCACTCCAGCCAGTGCTCCTCCATCAGCCACCTCCCTCACTCCAGCAGGTCCTCCTCCATTAGCCTCCTCCCTCACTCCAGCTGGTGTTCCTCCATCAGCCTCCTCCTCACCTCAGCAGGTGCTTCTCCAACAACAGCCTCCTCCCTCAGTCCAGCAGGTGCTACTCCTTTCATCTCCTTCTCATTCCAGCAGATGGTCCTCAATCAGCCTCCTCCCTCAGTTCAGCAGGGGCTCCTCAATCTCCCTTCTCCTCTCTCCAGCAGGTGCTCCTATATCAGCCTCCTCCTCATTCCAGTAGGTGCTCCTCCATCTACCTTTTCCTCACTCCACAGGTGCTCCTCCATTAGCCTCTTTCTTCAGTCCAGCAGGAGCTACTCCTTCTATCTCATCCTCATTCCAGCAGGTGCTCCTCTATCAGCTTCCTCCCTGAGTTCACCAGGTACTCCTCAATCAGCCTCCTCCACTCTTCAGCAGGTGCTCCTCCATCAGCCTCCTTCTCTCTCCAGCAGGTGCTCCCCCATCAGCCTCCTCCCTCAGTCCAGCAGGTGCTCCTCCATCAGCCTCCTCTCTCACATTTTTTTTATAGTACCCATCTCACTGAGGCTTCTCTCTCAACCTCATTTCTCAATTTTTACCCCACACACTTCCTGTGCTTGGCATCTATTTTTTTTTCTTTTTAGGATACTTCCAACAGTTTACATACTTTACATATTTCTCTTGTTCATTGTCCCCTACACTACTAGGCCTGAGCCATGGGGAGAATGATTTTGCTGTTTTCAAGGCCAGATCAGTCATCATGTTTTTCAGTACTCAGGAAATGTTGATAGAATGAATGAATAACTGGATGAATACACATAAATGTGTTGAGCATCAGGACATGACAGGATCAGACTTGCCAGAAATTCTCCTTGCCTGAACCAACCTGCGCCAGTGCTGGACGTGTCGGCGCCCATGGCCCTGCGTGGGAATGGAGTTGCTCAAATGCCCTGCAGAAAATGTGCCTGGGTGTTACCACCTAGGTGAGCACAGAGGCAGGGCCTCCCTCCTGCATGGTGCTGAGGCCTGGGTGGAACAAGCTCATCTCTACTGAACCTTCACTTTGTGCCAGGGACTACTTAGACACCGTGTAGAGGTTGGGGCTGATGCCACCGAGGTGAGCACAGAGGCCGGGCCTCCCTTCTGCATGGTGCTGAGGCCCAGGAGGAGCAAGCTCATCTCTACTGAACCTTCACTTTGTGCCAGGGACTACTTAGACACCATGTAGGGGTCGGGGCTGATGTTGGGTAATGGGGTCCCTGCTCCCAGTTAGACGTCAGCTCGAGGAAGTTGGCAGCCCCTCTGTCCTGGGCTCCTCACCTGCCTCACGGGGCCTTGGGCTGAGCCTCCAGCTCTGTCTGGTCCTAAGCCAATGATCCATCCCCTGCTGGCCTCGTTCATGCCCTGCTCTTTTCCAAGGCTTCTTCCCGTGACTCTGCCTGACCTGTCAGCTGCTCTGCAGATCAACTTTGAAATGCACATTGTCAGGAGCACCTAAGCCTCCAATTCCAGGCTGGTGGGAGAGCCACGTTGAATGTTTAATTGTTTTTCACGTGGTTGCTGCTGAGAGCTGCCCAGGGTAAGGTCAGCTCTGAGATCATCCGAGTTCGTCCGTAATCACCGCCTTTACAGACTTCTCCAAGGGTTCAGTAGGAGGCTCAATTTTCGCCCCATTAATATTAATTCGTTGGCTGTGGGGGCTTGTTCTGATGACATATTCTCTTGTTAAATATTCATGGCTGGAGCTAGAGGTGCACCGCAGACTAACTATTACCAGGGGAAAATTGGAGCAATCACCATTAACTGCTCCTGACAATCGTCTCTGATTTGTCTCTCTGCCCTTTGAGAAGCAGCCTCCCTGTCAGAGAATGTCCAGCCTGGTCCTTGTCAGGAGACAGGTGGGATGGGAGGCTTCTGGCCAGTTGCACAAGGGCTCTTCTGTGGCTCTTGGATGCACCAAAGGCCGTGCGATGGGGCCCCTGTTCTGAACGAGAGGCCCCGGCGCCCTGGCGGTGCAAATCCCCGAGCGCCAGGCCTTTCGCCTCCTCTCATTGTGCACAGCCTTCTGCTGGCTTCACAGACAGTGGGCTGTTGGGGCTGAAGGTATTTTCTCCACCACATCTGCATGTTTACAGATAAGAAACCGATTCAGAGATGTGAAGGGCTTTGATCAAAGTTCACATATTAACTAGGGTGGGGCTGGGAGAAAAATCCCTGACATAGTAGGCTTCTTATTGGTAAATCAAAACCGGTAATCAATATTCTATAGCTGGTTCCATCAAGTGATGTTTAGATCCCACAAGAGTGAGAGTCAACCTGCTTATAGTTAAAGTCAACTTGCTCATCAAATTATTTCAGATGAGACCGGGTGCGTTCAGGGTGGTATGGCTGCGGACTCATCCAGTTATTTTAAACAGCAATCAATCAACAGGACTTGACTGACCCTCTGCCCAGCTCTGAGCACCATTCTAGGCCTGGTGGAGGAGCCCGTAATGCCAGGGCCTCATATGACTCTAGAATGAGTCCCCAGCACAGGCACTGCCATTGGCACAGAGCCACCCACTAACCTGCAGATGCCTCCAATGTGCTTTGAATCCATTCAGTCTTGTTTTAGTTGGACCAAGCCAGGCTCTGTTGCCTGCTGTCTAGAATCTAAACCATTAGGTTGATGCAGAAGTATCCCAGTTTTTGCCATTACTTTCCATGGCTAAAACCATGATTACTTTTGAACCAATGTAATAGTGTCAAGTGTCAGCTGAAAAGAATTGGACTAAATGCTTTCTGGTACAAAATTCTTCTTGGGGAATACACTGAGTATTTTGGGGGCTAAGAATCTACTTCTTGGCCTAGAAACTCTAGCCCACTGCCACCTTTTTTCTTTTCTTTTTTTTTTTTTTCCTGTCTTGGACCTTTGTTTTTTTGGTCATTTGTGTTTCAGTTCAGTTGTCAATTTCTTCATCTGACCTTAATGTAAAGGGACTCTTGGAGCCAGTGGCCACCTGAGATGTGGGAAGGAGCAACCAGTCACAGCTACACAGGAGGGGCCTGCCAGGGTGCTCTCTCTCTGTCACAGACACATACTCAAACACTCACACACATGCACACGCACACACACGCACATTAATTCTATGCACATCCCTGCATTCAGGGCCAGAGGAGGTGGGATCGTACTCAGTGATAACACAAGTTGCTGC